>NC_000007.14:90385566-90688597 GCF_000001405.40 Homo sapiens
ATATTTCAAAACATGTTACACATGATAAATCCAGTTTTTCTACGTCATTTTTTAAAATTATATTTAATTTTTTTATTTTGAAAGTTTTTTCACAGATCTTTTTTTTAGTATTATTACCTTCTGATATATGTGTCATTATTGAAGAACCATACCTTTTAAAGTTATTATTTTGTAATTAAGTATGTCAACAGTAAAAAATAACCAGTGGCCAGGCATGGTGGCTCATGCCTGTAATCCCAGCACTTTTCGGAGGCCGAGGAGGGCAGATCACTTGAGGTCAGGAGTTCAAGACCAGCCTGGCCAACATGGCGAAACCCCGTCTCTACTAAAAATATAAAAAATTAGCCAGGCATAGTGGCGCATGCCTGTTGTAGCCCCAGCTACTCAAGAGGCTGAGGCAGGAGAATTGCTTGAACGCGGGAGGTGGAGGATACAATGAACCCGAGGTCGCGCCACTGCACTTCAGCCTGGGTGACAGAGCTAGACTCCATCTCAAAAAAAAAAAAGAGCTAAAAAATTACATTTTACAAGTTTATGGCCAGCCCACCTGTAATAACATTCTCTGATATTCCTTTACTTAGGATGTCCCTATTGAGATCATTTTTTAAATTTATGTGGAAGGATTCTCTAGATTATTATTAGAATGAGCAATTCAGTTTTGTTTGTTTTTGAGCCTGTCTTGTACCTGGTTGCACTAAATATATAATAGTTATCTTTTGTGGAGACCTTAAAACCCTAAATTTGAATACATGTTCAATGATAGTAAAGATATGACAGAAACTAGAAGATAGCTGTTTATGATTTGAGCTTTTGGAAAATTTTCGTTTCTTGAATGTAATAGTATTTTTTCCTGAATTGGAGGAGACTGATCTATATTGTTTCATTTTTCTTTTGTCCTAGTCTATTTCACTTTCTTTTGTCATAATCTATTTAATTTCCCACTTTCTTATTTTAGTAAAGAGAGAATAAATAGCAAGTGCAGGCCAGGCATGGTGGTGCAGGCCAGACATAGCGGTACATGCCTGTAATCCTAGCACTTTGGGATGCCAAGGCGGGAGGATTGCTTGAGCCCAGGAGTTCATGCCTGAGCAACATAGCAAGACCCTGGCTCTCTATAAAACAGAAAACGCAAACTTTAATATTATCAACAATCAATATATTATAAGAGATTGCAATTTCTAAGTTTCTACCTGAGTGTTTCACAAATACAAACTGGACATTTTCCCTTTAAATGAGTTTTATTATAAAATGTACATATTGATTGTAAAAACAAAAAATTCAAATAGTACAAAAGCATATAAGTAACTAATAAAAGCTCCCTTTCTGCATTAGGCCCCTCAGTTCTTCCCAGGGAAAATGATTAATAGTTTACATTCTTGCAGAAATTTTTTATGTATAAATTTTTACCCAAATGAATTCATTATATAAATTTTTTCCAACTTAGTGTTTTTTTACATAATAGTAGCAAGTTAAAAAATTGTACTTCAGGCCAGGCACGGTGGGTCACGCCTGTTAATCTCAGCACTTTGGGAGGCTGAGGCAGGAAGACCACTTGAGGTCAGGAGTTCAAGACCAGCCTGGCCAACATGGTGAAAACCCATCTCTACTAAAATACAAAAATCAGCTGGGCATGGTGGCGCATGTCTGTAATCCCAGCTACTCGGGAGGCTGAGGCAGGAGAATCGCTTGAACCCGGGAGGCGGAGGTTGCAGTGAGCTGAGATTGCGCCATTGCACTCCAGCCTGGAGGACAAGAGGGAGACTTCCTCTCAAAAAACAAAATATTGTACTTCAAAAAATTATTCTTCAATGCTATTTTTAAATTACTAGAAATTATTTTGGAATTTAATGTTGCATACAGCCTGAGATATGGCTGTTCACCCTTTGGTAAAGTATTAAAGAAAAATAATGCATTGTTCTCAGCTTAAATTTTTTTCTGATTTGACAACATGAGTGATGTTTTCCCAGTATTATTTCAATTATATTTGTTTTATTTTCTGTTCCTCACTCCTACCTCTCATTCCAGTCCCCAAACTGGCTTTTCTTTTATTTCTTTTTTCTTCATTGCTGATGTATTTATTGAGCAATGTCCTGTATCAGGCACTGTCCAAGGTGCTGTATGTGCCATGTTGAAGAGAACAGACAGGACCTACTGTCCTTGTATATCTTGCCTTTGATAACAGAAACTGCAGGGGATTGGAATAGCCTCTTTACAAGAAAAGAATAAGAGTGAGGAAAAGCGTTTGGAATTTATAGTGATCACAGTGACCAGGTTTTGTATTGGGTATGTTTTACATTTGTAACTTCAGTGCTATTTTTTTTTAAGCTCCATTGTTTTCTAAATGTAAACAAGTATCAATGTAAGGACAGTTTCATCAGGTGAATATCAGAAGTACTGACACCATAATCTCATTTTGCACTGTGGCAAAGGGTAGTAGATGTGTGTTCAGGATTATTTGCTCTGTCAGTAGTGCCCAGGGTGCCACTCCATGACTAACCGAAACATTTTATTATGTGACTCACTAAGATGTTCAATTCATTAGTATTTTCTGGTTACTCAAAGTGTACTCTATGTACCTTTTTTTGACCTTTGATTTTTATTCTGATGGAGAAGATCAGATTCCTTTTTTATCTTATAAAAAATAATTTTGAAACAAAGACTTATTTTGAAGTAAGTCTTTTAACATTATCTCAGATGCATTTTATTTTGTCCTTAAGTAAGACTTTTCATTTTTACCTTTCAAAATGCAATTTTCAAAATATATGCTTTTTTGAAACACTTATTATGTTACTGAATAACCAGAGTATTAAATTCAATGTACAGCAAATTTTTACAAAGTCCCAGTAGTTCTTGCAGAGCTTTCTATAATATCAGATTTATTTACCATCATGAAATATGTTTATACAGTATTAAGTATATTGTACTATGAAGTTGGACCTGCACACTGAAAAATTCCAAAATACCTATTATGTTGTGCTTTTTGTGATATATATTCATATTATTATTTGTCATAACAAGGTGAACTTTTTTAAAATGGTAAACATGTATTAGTTACATAATCAGGAAAAAAGTCATCTTTTATAATGAGAAAAATTAGGTCAAGGATATTTCAGGTTTTATCCAATTAGATTTCTTGTAAAGTTATGTGTTTTCTTTTATCTCAGTGCTTATTTGCTTTGCAAGGATGAAGGTTAGAGATTCCTTTCAGTAGTTAATGAAAGCTACAGACTTGTCTTGCCGAAAAATGTACATAAACACATAAACTATTTTCCAAGCAGTTTCACAGTGTTTGCAAAGTTCAGATTGAAAACCCAGTTTTACAAATCCCATCTACAAATTTGCATTGTCATTAAGATATATTAAAAATAATTTTTCAAAGCAACAGCACAGATGCACTTTAAAACTGTAGCTTAAAAATAAAAATTAGTAATATAACTTGTGTAAACCTACACAAAAGATAAAAGATATCTTATTGCAAAAATAGGGCAACATTTTGTTTTAAAGACCAAATAGTGAATTGAATTTAATGCATATCTTTAAATCCTTAATAGTATCTCAAATCTGGTTTAAATCTGTCTCTCCTTAACGGAATAGAAAGTGAAACAAATCCAGAAATCTTGTTCGAGTACATGGTCTGTGCTAGTAATCATATCTAAAGTGGTAATGTTACCATATGCTGGGTACTGGGCTGAGTAAATCACATATTTTAACTTATTTAAACACTGCACTGTATTGCCTGCTAGCGATGTCATTTTTTTAAAGTTGGATGGTGAATACATGAGTTGTTTTTTAAACTCTTTTGGGAGCCTAAAAAATTTGAATTTTTTTTTTTCCCCCCCCAGACGGAGTCTCGCTCTCTTGCCAGGCTGGAGTGCAGTGACATTATCTTGGCTCACTGCAGCCTCTGATTCCCTGGTTCAAGCAATTCTCCTGCCTCAGCCTCCCGAGTAGCTGGGATTACAGGCATCCACCACCACGTCCAGCTAATTTTTGTATTTTTAGTAGAGACGGGGTTTCACCATGTTGGCCAGGATGGGAAAATTTTTTAAAAGACATTTATTAAAAAAAAATGTCTATGCCTTATCAAAGTTTATAACTCAAGAATTAATGAGATAAACAGTGGACAAAAAGTGTTGGCAGATAACATGCATAATTTTAATTAAAAGTTAAGCAGTGAAAAATAAACATCTTTTTTTCTTAAAGAGATATTTCATATCTGTTCTATTTGTTTAGTTTTATTTATTCTTTTTAGAGACAGGGTCTCTCTGTGGAGTGCAGTGGCATGATTATAGCCCTCTGCGGCCTCAATCTTCAGGGCTTAAGTTATCCTCCTGCCTCATCCTCCCAAGTAGCTAGGACTACAAGTGTGTGCCACCATACCTGGCTAATTTTTAAAAACTATTTTGTAGAGACAGGGTCTTACTATGTTGCCCAGAGTGGTCTTGAACTCCCATCCTCATGGAATCCTCCCACTTCAGTCTCTGAAAGTGCTAGGATTATAGGCATGAGCCATTTATGCCCAGCCAGTTTTCTTTTTTCTAATTGAAGCTTGGCAAGCAGAGGGAAATGTATTAGGGAAATAGCTTTAGTTTTGAGTGGGTGTCAGTAGCCAGCTGAAGAAAAAGCAAAATGAAATAGGTAGTAGAAATGAGAAAGGGAGAGAGGGAAGAAGAAAAAAATGGATGTTGGAAAGTTGTTGCATGTCTCTCTGGATAGCTCAGAAGTATCAGTTGTGGTTATTGCCTCACTTGGCTTTTGTAAGCATGAAAAAGCCAGGGACAATTTCAACTACCATTTCTGACCATCATCAACCACAAATTTTAGGCAATTTGTTAGAATTTTTTTTAAATGTTCTTAATAGTTGTTGGGTACCTGGGAGATTTCAGAGAAAGTAATCACCTTTGTATATATTATTAATGTGTTTATAATAGAAATTAAATTCTTTGGGATGTACAGGTAAGATAAGCTATGTGAAGCATAGCTGTTATCCAAGTCGTGTGCCTTTGAAATACTTGGAATTTGAAGAACAGGACATGCAGCTTATGTTATAATTAATTTGCGAGCAATATATGGCATGATAGTATTTTCTTATCTAAATTCTGAGTGCATTGAAAGTTTAAAGCAAAGGACAAAAGCTTCCTTTGTTCATGGCCCATATTCCAGTATATTTTTCTGAAACTGCCAATATTTTCTGATCGGTACTTTCATTTTTCTAGTTGGTTACCAAATACTGTTATTGGTATTATTTCTATATAAAAGGCTTTAAGAAGACTATAGTATAATTTTCTTAAGAAAAAAGACATGATTATAAGCTAAAATATGCCTTCGGTTTTGTGTGCTACAAATTGAGGGAGATTGAGAATATTTTAAATCAAGGGCAGACATTGAGTAAAAGCTTATGACTTTGGATGGATTTGAAACATGATTAAATGACAGAGTAAATAAAAGCCCCTAGTCAAGTGAATTCTAATGGGGGAAATAAGAGGACTATATAAAAATTGAACCTCTGTTTTGAAAACAAATCTTTCCAGGAAGTGGTACCACTCTGGGGTCAAGAGAAATTGTAAGAACAATAAAATGAGCACACATGACCTTCCTTTCCTATAAAAATATGAAGCAGAAAACTCCCCCATGATTTCCTCATGTTGCTTAGAATAGTGTGTATTTCAGAACTTTTCCATTTAATATTTTTGGACCACAGTTGACTGAAACTGAGGATGGGAGGAAGGGATGCTTAAAACCTTGGATAGTACCAAACCCTATATATATTATGTTTTTTTCTATATATACACAGCTATGATAAAGTTCATAAATTAGGCACAGTAAGAGATTAAAAATATTAAATTGGGCCAATTAATATATTGTAATAAAAGCTATGTTAATGTGGTCTCCCTCTCGAAATATCTTTACTGATTATATGAGATGATAAAATGCCTACATGATAAGATCATGTGAGGTGAATGACGTAGGCATTGTAACGTACCTGGTGTTAGGCTACTGCTGACCTTCTGTCAATACCTCAGGAGAATATTTTGCTTTGATGATCCTGGATCATTGAGCCATGTTGTTAGGAGCAGGTGATATCTATCCATGGTGAATGGGAGGGTAGCATATACAACGTGGATACGCCAGATAAAGAGTTGAGTCACCTCCTGGCAGGATGGAATGAGATTTCCTCATGTTATTTAGAATAGTGTGTATTTCTGAACTTTTCCATTTAATATTTTTGGACCACAGTTGATTGTAAATAACAAACTGAGGATGGGGGAACGGAGGACTGCAGTAAATCCAAGTTTATAATACCTCATCAAAAACTCAACATAAAAGTTTCTATTTAAAACTGCGAAAAAAATTAGTGGTGATGGTAGGAGCGGGTAGTAGGCATGAAAAGAGAAAAAAACACCTTAATGCAGTTACAGGCAAAAGCCTTTACTTATCCTATTAATTGGCCAATTCTTTTGTAAATCCTCTTCACTCTCTTCTTCCTTCCCCCTCTTCACTAAGTAGCTTTATTCAAGAATCTTAGAAGCAAATGTGCTATCAAATTTGATGGTGCACTACAAATTTCTAACAGTTTGTAAAGTGACATCTCACTGTTTAATTTACTCAGAACTTTCCTTCCTTTATTACTTTGCTAGGGCTGCTGTAACAAAGTACAACACACTAGGTGGCTTAAACAACAGAAATTTATTATCTCACATTTTCTTGAGCCTGGAAATCCAAGATCAAGGTGTTGGCAGGGCTGATTGCATCTGAGGGCCATGAGAGAGAATCCGGTTCATGCCTCTAGCCTAGCTTCTGGTGATTTGGGACCAGTTTTTGGCATATCTTGTCTTGTAGAAGCATCATCCCAATCTCTGCCTTCATCTGTACATGGTGTTCTCTTTGTGTGTGTGGTTGTCACCAAATTTACCCTTTTTATAAGGACACCAGTCAGATTAGGGCCCACCCTAATGACATTTTAACTTGATTACCTCTATAAAGACATTATCTCCAAATAAGGTTGGATTCTGAGGTAATGTTGATTAGGACTTCAACATACAGTTTTTGAGGGATACATAAAACTTAACACTTCCCTATTTGATGTGGTTTGAATGCTCCCTCCAAATCTCATGTTGAAATGTGATTCCCAATGTCGGAGGTGGGCTCTGGTGGGAGGTGATTGGATCATGGGGGCAAATCCTTCATGAATGGCTTAGCACTATCCCCTTGGTGATGAATGAGTTCTTGCTCAGTTTACATGAGATCCGGTTGTTTAAAAGAATCTGGAGGCCGGGCGCGGTGGCTCACGCCTGTAATCCCAGCACTTTGGGAGGCCGAGGCGGGCGGATCACGAGGTCAGGAGATCGAGACCATCCCGGCTAAAATGGTGAAACCCCGTCTCTACTAAAAATACAAAAAATTAGCCGGGCGTAGTGGCGGGTGCCTTTAGTCCCAGCTACTTGGGAGGCTGAGGCAGGAGAATGGCGTGAACCCGGGAGGCGGAGCTTGCAGTGAGCCGAGATCCCGCCACTGCACTCCAGCCTGGGCGACAGAGCGAGACTCCGTCTCAAAGAAAAAAAAAAAAAAAAAAAAAAAGAATCTGGAACGTCCCCTTCTCTCTCTTGTTCCCTCTCTCACCATGTGACACGATGGCTCCCTGTCAGCTTCCAGCATGATTGTAAGCTTCCCGAGGCCTCACCAGAAGCAGATGCCAGCACTGTGCTTCGTATAAAGCCTGCAGAAGCCCAGCCTCAGATTTTTTTAATAGTAATTCAAGAACAGACTCACTATTTTTCCCCTTTTCACTTCTCAACTAATAGTGATAATATACTTTGCAATTACATTTTCCAATTTTGCAATTAATAGATGTTATTTTTTTATTTCGCAGGTTTTTTCTAAAAAAGTATATGGTGAGTAATTTTTATTAATCTGTATTTATTGAATTTCAGTCATGGACTTGGAAATACTCTGGTGAGATATGACTAACAAAAAGGGAACAGTATCTGCAAGTTAGTTTACATTTTGGAGTTTATGAATTGTAAAAAGCTTAGAGAAGACACAAATATTCAGAGAAGGGTGAATGTATATAAGATTTGGGTTAAAAGAATAGTGTAAGGCCATTCCAAGTTCAGGAATACCGGACATGAGCATTTAGAGTAAGTCTTAGAGACAGAAATCTAAATTAAGGAGATTGGCCTGAGTTTATAGAGTTCTGAGCAATGACAGCAACCTTTTAAGAAGGTCCACCACTTAATACTTCTTGACGTGGGGCACATTAATTACTCTGTATCTCAGTTTCTCTGCTGGTAATGTGGAGTTACTGGAATTAAATAATTGTGAAAAAGAGCCCACTGCTTAGTATGTAATAAGGTTTTCTGTTTTAAATTTAAAATAATAGGCTGGGCGCCATGGCTCACACCTGTAACCACAGCACTTTGGGAGGCCAAGGTGGGCAGATCACTCGAAGTCAGGAGTTTGAGACCAGCCTGGCCAACATGGTAAAATCTTATCTCTACTAAAAATACAAAAATTAACCAGGCATGGTGGCACACACCTGTAATCCCAGCTACTCAGTAGACTGAGGCAGGAGAATCGCTTGAACCCAGAGGCGGAGGTTGCTGTGAGCCAAGATTGCGCCACTGAACTCCTGCCTGGGTGACAGAGCAAGACTCTGTCTCAACAAAACAAAACAAAACAAAAATGTTAAATAATAATAAATTATTGGGTTTTCTAGTATTTTAAATTCACCATTACTTATGGAAATTTTTGCACCTATCTTGATCTAAGGAGGTGAGGCCTTGAATAAAATTACGATAATTATTTGTAGTGAATAAAGGGCAAGTGGGTATTTCAAAGGAAGAATCAAAAGAATGTTTCCTCAGTAACTGACCCTAATGAGTTGGAGATACGTGAGCTCTCTAACCAAGAATTAAAAGTAGTAGTTTTGAAGAAACTCAGGGATCTCCGAGATAACACAGAAAAACAATTCAGAAACTTATCAAATGTAACAAAGATTTAAATGTTAAACAAATCTTGGAACTGAGAAATACATTGGCTAAACTGAAAAATTCAGCAGAGTGGATCAAGCAGAAGAATCAGTGAACTCTGGCTATTTGAAAATACACAGAGGAGAAAAAAGAAAACAGTGAAAAGCCATGAAGATCACCTTTTGGGAGTAAAATATGAGGGGAAAAAATCACCTAGAAGATATAGAAAATTACCTCCAAAGACCAAATCTAAGAATTATTGGTGTTCAAGAGTGAGTTGAGCAAGAGCAGGGATAGAAAACTTATTCAAAGAAATAATAACAAAACTAGAGAAAGAGATAAATACCCAGGTACCGGAAGGTTAGGGAACACCAAACAGATTCAATACAAAGATTACCACAAGGCATTAATAATCAAACTCTCCAAGGTCAAGGACAAAGAGAATCCTAAAAGCAGCAAAATAAAACAAGCAAATAACATAAAGGAGTTCCAGTTCATCTGGCAACAGACTTCTCAACAAACCATATAGGCCAGGAGGGAGTGCAATGACATTTTCAAAGTGCTGAAAGAAAAAAAGCCTGCCATCCAAGTATACTGGAACCAGAAGTAATCCTTCAAATATGAAGGAGATATATGTCCCTTCCCACACTACCACCAAATCCATCTTACAAGAAATGCTGCCGGGCGCGGTGGCTCACGCCTGTAATCCCAGCACTTTGGGAGGCCGAGGCCGGTGGATCACGAGGTCAGGAGATCGAGACCATCCTGGCTAACATGGTGAAACCCCGTCTCTACTAAAAATACAAAAAATTAGCCGGGCATGGTGGCGGGCACCTGTAGTCCCAGCTACTCGGGAGGCTGAGGTAGGAGAATGGCGTGAACCCGGGAGGCGGAGCTTGCAGTGAGCCAAGATCGTGCCACTGCACTCCAGTCTGGGCTACAGAGTGAGACTCCGTCTCAAAAAAAAAAAAAAAAAAAAAAAGAAATGCTGAAGGAAGTTCTGCAAAAAACACTAACCATGCAGAAAAAAAATCCAACACATTTGAAGATATAAAATCCGCTGGTAAAATTAAGTACACAGATAAATCCAGAATATGCTAGTATTGTAATTATGGTGTGCAATTTATTTATAACTCTAGTATAAAGCGCAAAAGTCAACTCTATCAAAAACAATAATAGCTACAGCAACCTGTTAAGAGGTAGGTAATATAAAAATAGGTAAATTGAGATAACTAAAAGTCAAAATATGTGGGACATGGAGTTAAAGTGTACAAGTTTTTTTTCACTTTTTTTGCAATCTAAGTTGTCATCTCCTTAAAATAACATTTTTTGTAAGCCTCATGGTAATCTCACACAACAATCTATGATAGATTTATTAAAAATGAAAAACAACTAATTAAAACATACAATGAGAGAAAATCATTTAACCATAAAGGAAGACAGGAAGAAAGAAAGAGAGGACTTACAAAACAACCAGAAAACAAGCAAAAAAAAATGGCAGTACTTATCAAATAATAACTCTGAATGTAAATAGATTCAATTTTCCAATGAAAAGGCATAGAGGGGCTGAATGGATATGAAACAAAGTATATGCTGCCACTTCACCTATGAGGATACACATGGTGAAAGTGATGGGGTGGAAAAAGATATTCCATGTAGCTGGAAACCAAAAAAGAACAGGAGTAGCTATTCTTAAATCAGATAAAATTGACTACAAATAAAAGACTGAAAAGAGACAAAGAAGGTCACTATATAATGATAAAGAGATCAATTCAGCAAGAGGATATAACATTACAAATATCTGCACCCAACACCGGAGGTCCCAAATATATAAAGCAAACATTAATAGATCTAAAGGGAGAAATGGACAACAATACAATAATAGTAGGGGACTGTAACTCCCCACTCTCAGTAATGAACAGATCATCCAGACAGAAAATCATCGAAGCAACACTGGAGTGAAACTGCAAATTAGGCCGAAAAATGTATCTGATGAAGCCATATTGGCTGCCCTGGAGCCTCCAGAACTGAAAAAGAGCTGCAAGTGTGTGCTGCTATGAACATCTTTCCAGAGCCTTTCCTGCACAGCTGGTATTGGCATCATACCAAAAGCAGTGTTTATCAAACTAGAGATTAAAAATCAAAATTCATTTTTGCGATAATGACAAATGCCCTGGACTTACACACATGCACTCGTGTGAGACAAGGCCCATAAGTATCCCCACCTTCCCTCTCCCAGTACTAGTTAATTTTGAGTAATTGTGTATTGTCAGAAAAGTGATCAGTATTAGTTTTTGTTTTGTTGTTCCAAAAAAAATTTTATTTTTTAATTTAATTTTTTGTTTAAAAGCAAGGCATGCTGTGTTGACTCTGTAACAGACTAATTTGAATTGTTAAAACTGCTCCCTGGTTCTATTCTGGAGAGTAATCTGGGACATTTTAGTGAGTTTTTCCCCCTCTTTTTTGGGAGGGGGAGTATGGGTGGGGTTTGATTTTTAGTCTTGTTTATTTTAATTAACCAATGGACAGCCCTTAAGGGGAGGAGGACAGATTGATTCCACATTCCACTTTTTAGATCTCATTTAGAAAACATGTTCTCAATCTGGTGCTCTTAGGAAGAAGTATAGTAAATGCTTCATTTAATAATGTGCTACTTTTTGAAAGTTGCCTTTTCTCTTTACCCTTGAATAGATCCAGTATCTGATGATACTCATGAAAGTGCGTGGAACCTGTCTTGTCCCTCCTCTTTTCTAGTATGCACTATATATGTGACTGTGACTTTCAAAGACATTTATTTGCCATTTCCTGATTTGGGGGAAAATTAATTCCTAACTTCTTTCACTAATGAAGAAAAGTATTGCACATTGGAAATACACTAACTGGATTGAATATGTAATTTTTTTTTTTTTGATATGGAGTCTCGCTCTGTTGCCAGGCTGGAGTGCAGTGGCACAATCTTGGCTCACTGCAACCTCCACCTCCCGGGTTCAAGCAATTTTCCTGCCTCAGCCTCCCCAGTAGCTGAGACTACAGGTGCATGCCACCATGCCCGGCTAATTTTTGTATTTTTAGTAGAGATGGGGTTTCACCATGTTGGCCAGGATGGTCTCGATCTCTTGACCTCATGATCCGCCTGCCTCGGCCTCCCAGAATATGTATTTTAAAATAAATTTTTCCCTGTCAGTCATTGTCTTATATCCTTAGCATAGATTTGCAACTCAGTAGTATATTTTATCCCTAGAATGAAGCTGGAGACCTGGTATGTACAGGAAATATGAGAGGTGGTGCTAGAAGACAGACATCTATGGAATGATCCATATCCTTTCAAGTTATGGGAATGAAGACCTACTTCATTAAGAAGCTGGGGGTGAAGTGAGGGTGAGGAGAACACTTAACAACATTGGGACCAGTCAGGGAATCCCCTTATTTCTGTTTCACATATGAGGAACCCTAGAGCAGCTAGATGAGGCTCTCTAGTTTAATAAAATCATGGAAAGAGTCTTATGAAGGCTCTTCATAAGTGTTAACAGGGATTTATCAGCTTATTTTTGTTGCAGTTCCCAATTTCTAAAAATGTTTAGGTAATCTTTTCCTTTCCCCAATCCTAATTCTTATAGATTCACTAGTGTTGAACCAATGCTTTCTCATGTCTCAACTCTATATATGCATTCTTTTCAGATGTATTACATTAAAAAAGCCCTACACACACACACACACACACACACACACACACACACACACACACGACTGAACCATGAAGAAATAGCCTCAATAAACCAATAATGAGTAAAAAAAAAAGTCTCCCATCAATAAATAAAAAATAAGCCCAGGACCTGATGGCTTCACTGCTGAATTCTACTCAACATTTCAAGAACTAACACCAATTCTACTAAAACTCTTCAAAAAGATTGAAGACGAGAGAAAACATCCAAACCCATTTTATGAAGCCAGAATTACCATGATACCAAAACCAGACAAGGACAGAATGAAACAAGAAAACTATAGGCCGATATCACTAATGAACATACATGTAAAAATTCTCAACAAATTTTGAGATACTAGCAAGCCAAATTCAACAATATGTTAAAGACTGTGTGCAGTGGCTCACGCCTGTAATCCCAGCACTTTGGGAGGCTGAGGCAGGAAGACCGCTTGAGGTCAGGAGTTCAAGACTAGCCTGGCCAACATGGCGAAAACCCATCTCTACTAAAATACAAAAATCAGATGTGCATGGTGGCGCATGCCTGTAATCCCAGCTACTCAGGAGGCTAAGGCAGGAGAACCGCTTGAACCAGGGAGGTGGAGGTTGCAATGAGCCAAGATCATGCCACTGCACTCCAGCCTGGATGACAGAGCAAGACTCTTTCTCAAACAAAACATTATAAAGATCATTCACCATAATCAAGTGAGATTCATTACAGGGATGCAAGGATGGTTCAACATATGCAAATCAATAAATGTGATATATCACATTAACAGAACCAAGAACAAAAACAATATGATTATTTAAATAGATGCTAAACAAGCACTTGATAAAATCCACATCGCTTTTTGATAAAAAAAAAACCCTCATCAAATTGGGTATAGAAGGAACATACCTCAAAATAATAAAGGCCATCTATGACAAACCCATAGCTAACATTATACTGAACAGGGAAATACTGAAGGCCTTTTCTCTAAGATCTAGAACATGACAAGGATTCCCACTTTCACCACTTTTATTCAATATAGTACTGGAAGTCCTAGCCAGAGCAATTACGTAAAAGAAAGAAAGAGCATCTAAATTGGAAAGGAAGAAGTCGAATTAGCCTTGTTTACAGATGACATGATGTTTTACTTAGAAAAATCCACCAAAAAACTATTAGAACTGATAAACAAATTTAGTAAAGATGCAAGATACAAAATTAACATACAAAAATCAGTAGCATGTATATATGCCAAAAGCAAACAATTGAAAAATAAATCAAGAATGAAATTTTATTTATAATAGCTCCAAAGAATATAAAACACCTAGCAATTAATTTAACCAAAGATGTGAAAGATCCACACAAGGAAGACTATAAAACACTGATGAAAGAAATTGAAGAGGACACACAAAAAATGGAAAGATATTCCATGTTCATGGATTGAAAAATTAATATTGTGAGCATGACACTAACCTTGGCTATTGACAGATTCAGTGCAATCCCTTTCAAAATACTAATGACATTTTTCACAGAAATTTTAAAAAATTCTAAAATATATATGAAACCACGAAAGACCCTAAATAGCCAAAGCAATCCTGAGCAAAAAGACCGCAGCTGGAGATATCACACTACCTGACTTCAAAATTTACTATAAAGGCATAGTAATCAACACAGCATGGTACTGGCTTAAAAAACAGACACAGAGGCCAATGGAACAGAATAAAGAATGCAGATATAAACCCATGCATTTACAGCCAGTTCATCTTTGACAAAGGCACCAAGAACATACAATGGGGAAAGGACAGTCTCTTCAATAAATGATGCCAGAAAATTGGATATCCATATGTTGAAGAATGAAACTAGACCTCTATCTCTCACAATACACAAAAATCAAATATAAATGGATTAAAGACTTAAACCTAAAACCTGAAACTATGAAACTACTAGAAGAAAACATTGGAGAAACCCTCCAGGACATTGTCTGGGCAAGGATTTTTTGTGTAAGACCTTAAAAGCACAAGCAATGAAAGCAAAAATAAATAGGATTATATCAAGCTAAAAAGCTCTGCACAGGAAAAGAAACAATCAACAAAGTGAAGAGACAACACACAGAATGGGAAAAAATATTTGTGATCTACCTATCTGACAAGGGATTAATAACGAGAACATATAAGGAGCTCAAACAATAGCAAACACACATACACACACACAAATAACCTGATTAAAATATGGGCAAAAGATCTGAATAGACATTTCTCAAAAGAAGACATGCAAATGGCCAACAGGTATATGAAAAAATGCTCAACATCACTACTCATTAGAGAAATGCAAATCAAAACTACAATATCCCTCCCCAGTTAAAATGACTTTTATCTAAAAGGCAATAATAGATGCTGGCAAGGATGAGGCAAAAGGGAAACTCTTGTACACTGTTGATGGGGATGCAAATTAGTACAGCCATTGTGGAGAATAGTATAGAGGTTTCCAAAAAACCTAAAAATAGTACTACCATATAATCCAGCAGTTTCACTACTGGGTGTATATCCAAAAGAAAGGAAATCAATATATTGGAAAAACAATACACTTATGTATATTGTAGCACTATTCACAATGGTCAAAATATGAAATCAACCTAAATGCCCATCAGTGGATGAATGGATAAAGAAAATGTGCTATATTTACACGATGGAACATTATTCAACTATTACAAAAGAATGAAATCCTGTCTTTTGCAGCAACATGGATGGAACTAGAAGTCATTATGTTACGTGAAATAAGCCAAGCACAGAAAGACAAATAACACATGTTTTCACTCATGTGGGACATAAAAAAGTGAATCTCATGAAAATAGAGAGTAGGCTGGTGGTCATCAGAGACCGGGAAGGGTAGGGTGGAAGAGGGGTTTGAAAAGAAGTTGATTGATGGGTACAAATATATGGTTTGATAGAAGAACTGAGAACTAATGTTATATTAGTATGGTGACTATAGTTTACAGTAATGTGTTGTATATCTCAAAATAGCTAGAAGAGAATTCAAATGGTTTTAGCATAAAGCAAAGACAAATATTTAAGGTGATGAATATCCCAAGTACACTGATTTGATCTTTACAAATTATATGAATGTATTATATGATCATATCTACTTCTAAACACTATGAACATCTATCACACATTAGTAAAAAAGGGGAAAAACCCCTGCTGACATCCTGATTTTAGCACAGTGAGACCTGTGTCAGATTTTTGACCTCCAGAATTGTAAGATAATAAATTTATTGTGTTTTAAGCCTTTGAATTTGTGGTAATTTGTCACAGCAGCAATAGAAATCTAACACAGTGACCAAATGGGAATCTCTGTAGAATTTTGGTGGTGAATGGTACACTGCAGTGAATTTAAGATTTGACTTTCTCCTTGAAGAATCTCTAATGAGAAAAAGAGGAAAGACAGGATTGTTAATTGCAGATCTAAATTCTTATCTAAAGTATTTTTGAGAATTATATTCCAATTATCTAACTATTGAACTCCAACAGGGTATTTAAGTATTCTGTTCCATCTTTGCTATGCCAGAGGCAGGCATTTTAGACCCCAGCTTGAACAGTAAGTCTAGGAATAGGGTTGTCTTTCCTTCCTTTTTGTGCTGTGATTTTTTAAAATTATTGTAATCAATTGCAAGTACCTCCCAGCTAAAGTCCTCTAATCAGGCAGTATTCATCAGTGATTGGGAAATAAGTTATAAGATGATTTTGTACATAGTTATTTGATTCAATTCAGCTTTATAGATGAGAGAACTGAAGTTCAGAGGAAATAAGTGATTATCGTTTGTCACATTGCTATTATCCATCTGCTATTGCCAGAGCTGGCCTGGAGCCCAGAAATCTTTTCACCACCCAATGCTATCTTTCTTCCTCATTATTACATTTCCCAGTCTGGCTTTGGGATCGGATTGCTTCTGGCCTTAGATAACCTTATCCATCCTCTAAAGCAGTATCACACATAAGAAGGAGGTAGCAGTGGACTGATAGTAGCCTCTCTACCCTCCCTTTTTAAAAAGTCTCTGACAAATAGTCTCATTGTTACTAGAGCAACGCAAAATGGAAAATGCTAATAGCAAACATATAGTCCTTATTATGCGTCAGATACTGTTGTAACTGTCTCTGTAGTAATTCATTTAATCCTCATCACAATTTTCTGATGTAGATATACTGTTACAGATGAGACCTTGAGGCACAAAGGGGTTACCTTACTTGCCAAGGTTATACTTACTTGGGATGGGTGCCATCCTTTTGTATAAACTATGATACTTTTTCTTCTTTTTATTTTGAAAAATTTCTAAGATACAGAGAATTTGAAAGAATAGTACAAGAGACACCCACAAACATATTCTTCATGAATCCAACAATTATACACTTTGCCACACTTTATATCCATTTGTGTGTGTGTATGTGTGTGTGTATGTGTGATCATTTCGAAGTAGTAGGCATCACAACACTTCAGCATCCTTTATTTTTTAAAAAATCAGATCATTGCTATTTAGGACTTTGGAATCTTTTAGTTTAATTCAGATATTCATTCACTAATGCAGGACTTCACATTGGAGAGAAGCCAACAGAGAAAGGGACAGGACAGTAGAAATTGTGTGGGAGAGTAAAATTAGTTCAAATATCTAATAGCTAGCTATACTGTACTTTAGCTATATTAGGTCCCTCAGTTTTCAAGACAACAGTATGATGTGGGTGATCTTATCCCCATTTTTCCAGATAACCTCCAGATGTAGAGATAACTTTCCCAGGGCCACCCAATCAATACACAGCAAAGCCCCATACAAATCTGGGCTGTTTGGTTCTAGACTTTGAGCTCTTTTTCTACTTTTTGCCTAGATAAACACTTTGAGGGGAAAAAAAATCCAGATTTAAGAATTTTTGCTAACCTTCCTACGGGCAAGTCACCTTCAAGTCACCTGGGTACTTAGGTATCCAACTCAAAACTACTTTTAGTTTTGTTTCGTTTTGCCTTTTTTTTTTCTTTAACCGATAACCCAATTCTAGACGGAACATAAGGTGCAAGAGAAATCCGGGGAGGTGGAGGCAGAGAAAGGGAAGGGCAGGAGGTGGTCGCAGGATGTTGCCTGCGGCTGGCGGCCCAGTGGATTCTGGGAATTGTAGTCCCAGCCATCCAGGGCATTGCCGTTCAGGGCCACGGGAAAACCTGACTGCGCTCCCAGAAGCCTCCGGTGTACCTCGCTGGGAACGCACTTCCTGGGACGCTGAGAGGGAGACGCTCCAAGAGGCTCCTCAGTGTGGGCGAGTAAAATGCCCTGCGTGTGAGAAGCAGGTAGGTGTGGTCAAGATGTTCCGATTTCTGGGTCTTTTGCATAAGTAACTGAGGATTTTATGTAAAATGGCTAAATCCAGGAGAATCAGGAGCGTTGGAAAACGCTGACCACATCTGTGGATGTGAAAATTGAGTAGGTATTTGGTAAGGCTTTAAAAAATTATTTTGTACACAGGAGTATGGAAATGTCGAGGTGTGTTGCCGGAGCCGCCAAGGACTGGGAGCTTTGCTGGCGCGGGTTTGTGGGGGAGCCCAAGCTGCTATTTTTGAATAACCAGCTGATGCTGGTTGCGTAATGATGACCTGCTTGCGGTTCAAACCCACTCAGTGTTGCAGGGATGGGCTAGCTCTGAGAGCGTTAACAGTCACTGTTGCGGTCTCTCTCCATTGGCTCTAACTAGTAGGGCGTTTTCTTCCTTCTGCCAGGTCTGGGTCTACCACACACAGGGCTCTTCGAAAAGAGGGAGGAGGAGAGGAGGCGGAGGGGGGAGGAGGGGGGCGGAGGGGGATGCGGATTGCTCTGGAAGCTTGGTTTGCTTTCCTGTAAGTTCTGTGCACCCGGCCTTGTAAGGGGCCCATAGCCACGTTAGGGAAAGGTCAGACTTGGTGACCTCACTTAAAATGATTGCTCAAGGATTCTATTGTGCGTTATTAATTGTAAAACGATTTCCTCTGACTTTGGAGTGTGCAATTATGATTGATACCAACCCAAGAAACACATTTGGGGCGGGGGAGGGGTTGGGGGGGACTTGACTGAAATCTCCGAGCAGCCAGTTGCAGAGAGCATTCTACATAATGATCGTAATAGGGCTAGTGATGAACGCCTCAATCCAGGAAACTCTCAGGCGCACATAATAATGAGTTTCCATTCTCATCCTACCTGTTTGAGATAAATGGTATTTGAAGAGGAAGTGGCTAATGTTTAAAGTAGATATATAGAAGCATCTTTAAGTATCAGGTTGAGCCATTGGTGGAACTATTTTTTTTTTAAGCATTCTGGTTGCAAATTTCAGGATGCAGAATTCAGATCAACTTTGTCTGGTCTTGTTGTCAGTGTCCTTTTTTAAAAATGTAAAAGAAAATTTCTTTTACTTCCAAGACAACTGCACAGTCTTTCACCACCTTCCTTATCCTTTCACCGTAGTCATGAAAATGATCTAAAACATTCATTAAATATCAATCATATATTCCCAAGACAGCAAAGTGTTTTTCATCCTCATTTCTCCTATATTCTCAAGTCACAAGATGAGTTAATTTTTTTCTTCTATTTCTACGTATTTTTCTATATTCTATATATTTCTCATATATAATGCATGAATTAAGGAATAAACAGCCTTTTTATTTTTTTTTTTTTATTATTTGAGACAGATCATTGCTATGTCATCCAGGCTGGAGTGCAGTGGCATGATCATGACTCACTGTGTCCTCAAACTCCTGGGCTCAAGTGATCCTTCCATGTCAGCCTCCCAAGAAACTGGGACAACACGTGTGCACCATCACACCTGGCTAATTATTATTATTATTATTTTTTGAGCCAGAATCTCTCTCTGTCACCAACACTGGAGTGCAGTGGTGCAATCTCAGCTCACGGTAACCTCCACCTCCCAGGTTCAAGCGGTTCTTGTGCCTTAACCTCCCACATGGCTGGGACTATAGGCATGAGCCACCATGCCCAGCTAATTTTTGTATTTTTAGGAGAGATGGGGTTTTGCCATGTTGGCCAGGCTGGTCTTGAACTCGGGCTCAAGTGATCATCCCGCCTCAGCTTCCCAAAGTGTTGGGATTACAGGTGTAAGCCACTGTGCCCCTGCTAAACTGCCTTTTTAAAAAACTTACTGTCTGCCCTTTTTAGTATAACATTTCATTGGTTTTAGGTGATTACTAATCATTTCTTCTAATCCATGGGAATTCAAGCAGGGTTTTTAGAGAAGTACTATGTTAATTTGGAGTATTTTTCCTATTTCTTTAGGCTCAGATTATTGCTACTCTGTATTCAGATCTTCATGTGTCTCTTCTAAGCTGAATAAAGCTGTTTTGGAACTGTCAGGTACCTCAAAGCGTAAGTACGTCCTTTAATTATATCTTATTTCCCTCCCTCCTGCTACCACATCTGCCAACAATGACTCTTTTTTTTTCTCTTGTTCAACAAAATAGAGGTATAGGACAGACCTCTCTTGTGAGTACAATGACTGATGACTTACAGTTTCTAAGAAAACCCAAATTATAGGTAGAAGGAACTCTCAATGTTACCATCAAGAATTAAGTTAGGGCTGGGCATGGTGGCTCAGCCCTGTAACCCTAGCGCTTTGAGAGGCTGAGGTGGAAGGATCCCTTGAGCCCAGGAGTTTGAGACCATCCTGGGCAACATAGCGAGATCCTGACTGTATGAGAAAATTTTAAAAAATTAGCCAGTTGTGGTGGTACATGCCTATAGTCCCAGCTACTCTGGAAGCTGAGGTGGGAGGATTGCTTGAGCCTCGGAGGTCGAGGCTGCAGTGAGCCATGATTGCACCACTGTGCTCCAGCCTGGGTGAGAAAGCGAGACCCTGTCTCAAAAAAATAGAAGCTAGCTGCTATTAGACATATGTACTCTCGTAACTCTTGTAACTATAACTCAGAATTGTGCCTGGAAAAAATAGTACAGGGTCTATTGGATACATGACTTCCTAAAGCTCTTAGCCACTGTTCCTGCTCCAGCCTTCTTTAAATTCTATTCAAAACCACAGAAAATATATAATTTGAAAATATTTTTATTCGTAATTATGTCTCTGATAACATTTAATTGTGTATCAAATTTTATCTACTTTTCTGAGTCACGGTGGAACAGAGAGTCAAATGACAAATGTGAAGTGGTTATTTGAAATAGAGTCTCTATTTGATTTGGTCAGTATCTCCAAAGAGAATGTTCTGTCCTTCTTGTTATATGACTATAACCATCTGTAGTCATTTGCTGAGGGTCCAGAAGAAAAGTATGTTTCTAGCTGAAAAAAGTAAATAAGCCTGCTAATAATCATTACTGACTTACATTTCTGACCATATTCTGGTTTACAAAGGACTTTGCTATTCATGATTTTACTACTTTGTGGGACACTTTACAGATGAAAAATTGGAGGTTCAGAGGACATAAGTGACTTGTCCAGTTTGTAAATGATAGGTTATGAATGTTATTCAGGTCTTTGGTCTCCTGGACAACAATACCAAGCAGCCTCCTGGATGGAAACAACAAACCACTTATGTGTATGTATGACCTAGCTCAAAGCTCTCATCCAGCTAGTACTCATGACTGCTTGACAGATTTGTTAAAGTGTTCTTAGCCTTGCACGTTTTCCACAGTCCCTAATTAGGGATTTTCACATGGCAAAAAGATGTTTTTTTTTCTCCATTAAAAAAACTATATATTGTTTAGCTTTAATAAATATTAATTTGATATATTAACCACTCTTAAGAGAAGTATGTCTAATTCATGACATACCTGTTAAGTTGAAAACAGAAAAATCAATACCGGAACAGTGGACTTTTTGTTTTTGAAATGGAGTCTCGGGGTTTCACCATATTGGCCAGGCTAGTCTCAAACTCCTGACCTCGTGATCCACCCACCTCGGCCTCCCAAAGTGCTGGGATTACAGGCATGAGCCACCACGCCGCGCCAGGAATAATTGACTTTCAAACCATTTGTTGAAGTTAGACAGTGTTGCTAAACCTAGATATATATTTCTAGAATCATAGTCTGCATGTAGGTACCTAAGGATGGCCTTGTCTTTGCTAATCACAGGTTTCTGGGGTAAGAAAATGAATGTTGTTTTGTAAAATGGGAGTCTTTTGGCCAAAAAGGAGAAAGCAGGGGCACAGTCTAGAAACAGTCTGGATGTATCAGAACACAGGGTGGTGTGAATTCTCTCAAATGAAGTGAATGGAACTGAGACTAAATTTCTGTCTGTATTCTGACCAGAGTTATACAGAACCTCCATTTGTTTGTTCATTCATTCAGCAAATAATCGAGTGCCTTTTATGTGCCAGTATAGGGAACAGTGAACAAAACAAAGGGATCTCTGTCCCTGGAATTCACAGTCTGATGGGAAAGAAAACTACACTGAACAAGGAGTTATAAGAATGATCACTGCTACAGAAGAAAAAGTGCAAAAGTGCTACCACAGCATATAACCAGGGACAGGGGGAGGTTTAGGACAAGCCTCCCTGGACACTAGAAGAATGAGTAAATATTAGCCAAGCAAAGAATAGGTTGGAATTAAGAAAGTTCTAGGAGAAAGACCATGAGGGAAGGCCCTTAACCAAATCAGAAAGTGGAAAATTTGGGAAGTCAAAAGAAATGTGGTTTGGCTGCATAGACTGTAGTGTGTGGGGTGGGAGAGTGGCACATACGAAGGTTGAGAATTTGGTAGGAATCAGGTGGTGTAAGCTATGGGGAGGAGTTGAAACTTTAGAGATTTTATTCTGTGGGAAATGGGAACTTATTGAATGGTAAGAAATGGAATGGCGGATGAGGTTTGCATTTGAAAAAAATTATTGTGGATTAAAACTAATTGACACAGCACAAGAGTAGAGGTCTTTTTACCCTTGCAAGTATGAACAAATCCTAATCGGGAAGTCAGCATTATCTTTGTTTTAAAACATCAAACATATTCTTTCCCCAAACTATCCTATAAAATTTTACTTCAGGCATGGTGGCTTACTTTTGTAATCCCAGCCCTTTGAAAGGTGGAGGTGGGGGGATTGCTTGAGCCCAAGAGTTCAAGACCAGCCTGGGCAACACAGCAAGACCCCATCTCTAGGGAAAACTTAAAAATTAGTCTGGCATGGTGGCATGCACCTGTTATCCCAGCTACTCAGGAGGCTGAGGCAGGAGGATTACTTGAGCCCAGGATCTCAGCTCACTGAAATCTAGTGAGCTGTGATCATGCCCTGCACTCCAGCTTGGGTGATAGAGTAAGACCCTGTCTTAAAAGAAATTACTTTATCTCTCTGGTGGGATATATGACTTATCAAATCATAGGCATTTGAAATTAAGAACAGGGCATACAAGGTGAAGTAGCCAAA
Organism: Homo sapiens; assembly: GCF_000001405.40. Classification (NCBI taxonomy): domain Eukaryota; kingdom Metazoa; phylum Chordata; class Mammalia; order Primates; family Hominidae; genus Homo; species Homo sapiens. Next base: position 90,408,605 of record NC_000007.14, read on the forward strand.
AGAAGCTAGACATTAATTCCAGTATCAGGCCAAAATTTAGCTTAAGAATTAAGGTTAATAGTACTTCCCTTCTGAAAAAGTGCCGTGGTATCCTTGTTGACTCTGTATAGATAGGCCTCTGTCCATCCCTGAGATCTGAGCTAAGAATGCTTCATCAAAGGCAATTTCAGAGAACCAATATAATATTTGTATTGATTTGATGCAGAATATAGTTAAAAGCACTTACTACTGAAATATATATTGTCGTACCTCTCTTCATTAATGTCATTTGATAGTCTATAGGCTAAGAATTATAGGAATTTATTTATTTTTCTTAATAATTAATTTTTCTTTTTTTTGTAGAGATGGGGTCTCGCTATGTTGCCCAATCTGGTCTCAAACTCCTGGGCTCAAGCTATCCTCCCACCGCAGCCTCCCCAAGTGCTGGAATTACAGGCATGAGCCACAGCACCTGGCCTGGAATTTATTAATAATGGAGTTATACATCCTGATCTTGTTTCTCACTCCATTTACATTTCAGGAATCAGTGTTACAGGGCAGTTTGATTGGAGAAATCTCAATTACATTGAAATTCCAATTATTTCTATACTACTTTTGTTTTTTGTTCCTGTTTGTTTGTTTGTTTGTTTGTTTTGAGACAGAGTCTCGTGCTCTGTCACCCAGACTGGAGTGCAGTGGTGTGATCTGGCTCACTGCAACCTCCACCTCCTGGGTTCAAGCGATTCTCCTGCCTCAGCCTCTTGAGTAGCAGGGATTACAGGCACGTGCCACCATGCCTGGCTAGTTTTTGTATTTTTAGTAGAGATGGGGTTTCACCATGTTGACCAGGCTGGTCTGAAACTCCTGACCTCAAGTGATCTACCAGCCTTGGCCTCCCAAAGTGCTGGGATTTCAGGCATGAGCCAATTCGCCCAGCCAGTATATTACTTCTGAAAGCAAGAAGGAATTGTGATTGCATTAGGACTTTGAGTGGGTTATCTGAAGACTTCTGAAGCTTGAAAGAAACGAGGGAACCTTTTTCCTATGTCTTCACAACTTTAATCAAATCCTTATTCTCCTTCATTTCTCAGTCTTTAACTCCTGCCTGATAAATTTTTATGAACAGGTACCTTATTCACTTTGCTTAACACCTAACAATAATCACTTGATACGTAGTAATTATACAGTTGATTCACCACCAACACTTTGAGTTTACATAAGACAGCCGTTTCTTTCCACAAGTCTCTATAAACACATTGGGAGCAAGGTCCAGTTATCAGTGGTCTTGGTGTCTTTCCAGGGCCTAACAGAGTGTTTTGCATATGCTAGACACTCAGCATGATGTAAGTACTTGCTGAATGAATGATTGCTTCTTAGTAATAGCTACTTCCTTGTACAGTTCTTCATTACCAGTGGCCCACCTTTGTGAGTTACTGGGGTCTTTGTACAGAGCCCAATACTCGTTTATTCAAATAATCCTAGAATCACTTGTGTGCCAGGCACACAAGTTGTATGGGGGAGATAGACAGATGAATAAGCAAAGACCACCAGAGAGCTGTATCCTAGAGCTTGGCATTTCTAGTAGCTTTTTCCAGTGCAAACATTCTCAAATCTGTACTAGTTTCCATTGCTGTACTGAGGTGTTTGGTTGCCACAATTAAGCAAGACAGCTTTTTCCCAATTTGCTTGAAAAAAATACTGTAATTAGTCTCTCCCTTTCATAAAATTTTCTTAAGAAATTGCTACTTCTGATAATACTGACAGAAGGTAACATAATAAATACTAAACTAATACTAATGGAAAAACTTAGAACTAACCATGTTTAACTTGAGGGCTTTAAAAATGGTTACTTGTGCTTAAACTCTGATTTTTATATTGTACATTTATATATGCTATTTGTGTATATTTGAATATATGTATGTACACATAGGCATTTTTTTGGTTAGTAAAATTATTCTGGCTGGGCGCAGTTGCTCATGACTATAATCCCAGCTTGTAATTTCAGCACTTTTGGAGGCCAAGGCAGCAAGATTGCTTGAGGCCAGGAGTTCGAGACCAGCCTGGCCAACATGGTGAAACCATGTCTCTAAAAGAAAGAAAAGAAGAAAGGGAATAAGAATTGTGGGGGTGGAAGGAGGAGGGCTGGTTCACACCTGTAATCTCAGTACTTTGGGAGGCTGACGCTGGTGGATTGCTTGAGCCCAGGAGTTCGAGACCAGCCTAGGCAACATGAGAAAACCCCGTCTCTACAAAAAATACAAAAATTAGCTGAACATAGTGACGTGTGCTTATGGTCCCAGCTACTCAGGAGGCTGAGGTGGGAGGATCGCTTGAGCCTGGAAGGTCAAGGCTGCAGTGAGCCATGATTGTGTCATTGCACTCTAGCCTGGGCAACAGAGTAAGACTTGTTTCAAAAAAAAAAGAAAGAAAAAGAAAAAATTATTCCTATATTATATGACTAGATTAAATATACAAATAACATTGTTTTCTAAAGAACATTGTGCCCTCCCACTGGAATTCATGCAACAATCACATTCTAAGCCAGCTTCCTAGCATTTTGGTCATAATTGTCTTTCTGATCCTGAAAGCTTGGAAACACAACTTCACCATCCCAGCAGATGTTTGATTCTGCAAAGGTTGATGGAACTGTATTCAGAAATAAAAATTATTCTCAACCTTGCCCCTTCATCATGCTCTGAACAAAAAAGTAAACCTTACTGAAGTAGTCTGCTCTATTGCCTCATAGTAGGCATTATAGAAGGCAGAGAAAATACATTTGAGTCCTGCTTTGAGAGTGAATATCAGACCCTTGAGGAAATTAAAGCTGAATAAGATGCAAGCTTTTTATAGTTTGCCATATACAGAAAAAGAACATGGCCTTTTAATTTGGAATGAAAGGCCTGGCGACTGTTTTTCTTATAATAGCATTAATAGAAATAGGTTGTCGTTACTTGAAAAATGTTTGCATTCGTCTTATATGAACAGTAGTAGTAATAACCAACAAGTGCTGTAGATTTCCCTGAAAATCTACATCTTGAATCAACAAGGAAGTAATTGGGTCATGTTGAATCAACAAGGAAGTAATTAAGCAGAATAATTTCAGGGACCATTGTTCTCATCTTTTCATTTGACTGACTCATTGGAGATGAGCTCATTTACTTTTTATAATTTCCTAGTGTGCCTAGTACATAGGAATGAGATCAGTTTGTTTTTTCTTATTTAACATTCATTCAATGAATGTTCTTTGAACTCCTGTGATGTGCCAAGCAGTGAGCTGGGTCACTGAATGCTAAGAAGTAGTTAACACTTGGCATAGCATTTGTTGTGTTCTAGACATGTTTTAAGCACTTGACATTATATTATCTCATTGAACCCATAGAACAACCCTGCAAGGTTGGCACTGTTATTTTTTCCATTTCACAGATGAAGAAAACGAGGCACAGGGAAGTTCTGAATCTGGCCCAAGGTCAGTGAGCTAGTAAGTGAGGAGATGGGGATTAGAATTCAAGCAACCTTGCTAAGAGTTGACTCTCAACCATTCCCCTGTCCTGTACTGCTTCTTTCCCTACACCTTTGCTTTTTATGAGCCACCTTCACCCCTGCTGCATGAGCATTTGAGGCTGAATTTGTGGTGTTTGTAGCTAACTGATGATTGATGAGTGGGCCCTTGCTGTGTGAGTGCCTGACACATACAGAGTGCTTGATGTATATGTGTTGAAAGAACGATTATTGACAAAAAGAAGATTGAAGGTGTGATTGTAAGAGACTTTAACATTATCTTGGTTGTTTTTTTAATTGTGAAGAAAAATACCGATGGCTAAAGATTTTAGTTGCTCTATGACCCAGTCAGTAATAACCAAATGTGTGTGCACCTGTGCTCTGAGGTCACACACACCTGCATGTATATACATTTGTACTGTACAGAGAGGAAACAAGGGAGAGACTTTCCCTCTTTGCATTGACATTTCATCATTAGATGTGTTGCCAGTTGGCACCACCCTTCCTGCTCTGTTCTGCTATTGTCCCCTCATGATTTGTCCTCTTGTGTGTCACCCCCTAGTCTGACTGACAGTACTCCACAAGCTTGCCTGCCATGGGCTGTCGGGATGTCCACGCAGCCACAGTCCTTTCCTTCCTGTGTGGAATCGCCTCAGTAGCAGGCCTCTTTGCAGGGACTCTGCTTCCCAACTGGAGAAAATTACGATTGATCACATTCAACAGAAACGAGAAGAACCTGACTGTTTACACAGGCCTGTGGGTGAAATGTGCCCGGTATGACGGGAGCAGTGACTGCCTGATGTACGACACTACTTGGTACTCATCAGTTGACCAGCTGGACCTGCGTGTCCTCCAGTTTGCCCTACCCCTCAGCATGCTGATCGCCATGGGTGCCCTGCTGCTCTGCCTGATTGGAATGTGCAACACTGCCTTCAGGTCCTCGGTGCCCAACATCAAACTGGCCAAGTGTCTGGTCAATAGTGCAGGTTGCCACCTGGTGGCTGGGCTGCTATTTTTCCTGGCAGGTACTGTGAGCCTCTCCCCATCTATCTGGGTCATCTTTTATAACATCCATCTGAACAAGAAGTTTGAGCCAGTCTTTTCATTTGACTATGCAGTGTATGTCACTATTGCTAGTGCTGGGGGCCTGTTTATGACTTCCCTTATACTATTTATTTGGTATTGTACATGCAAATCTTTGCCTTCTCCTTTCTGGCAACCATTGTACTCCCATCCACCCAGTATGCATACTTACTCACAGCCCTATTCAGCACGCTCTCGCCTCTCTGCCATTGAAATTGACATTCCAGTAGTTTCACACACCACTTAATGGGGAAATAGTTAATTGTTAAAGAAAACTTCTTGTAGCCTCACATTCCCCTTGTGCAAAGAGCTCTTTTGGACCTACATACATTTTCCTTTGTTTTTGACCAATCAATGAAGCCAAATTTATATGTCCTAGTAGAATGAAGTGCTGCTAGTTTTTATGAGAAGTATATTATATTAAATGTGAATTTTTTAAATTTTGCTTCTTATACTGGAAGGAATTTTAGCCTTCATATTGATATCTAATTAATTATTTAAGTGGAAGAGGCCTGCATCACAATTGAGGTAATGTAGAGCAACATGTTAAAGAATGATGGTTAGCAGAAGCTGTTGTATACAATCTTCATGAAAATTTCAGTGTGTATTTTTCTTTTTCTATAATACCTTTAACTGCAAAGAAAAGGCAGTTTCAAATATAAGAAATTTATTTCAGGTAAGGGTAATATTTTAATAGTAGTCAATAATCTAGCTTAAGGCTGTAACTCTTCTATCGGGGCTAATTGTATGAATAGGTGTCAGTATGTTGAAGATTACTTTCTTTTGTGACTTTCTTCTACCTCATGCCACTGTTTAAAAGTAAAACGTATTTTAACGATGTTAGAATAAGACTACCATTCTAAATATCACCTACTTATGAATAACATGTAATAATTTTTAACATTAATGATTCCATAAATTGTATTATTGGGATTAGAATGTGCTTTATGACAGGTTAGTGTTTCCTCTGAGGCAGAAAACTCTTTTTTGGAGATATCTTCCATCAAGCAGTACTCGTGCCCATATACAATCTCTTAGTGGCTAGGAGAAATAAATAAAAGGGCCATAATGGTTTGTTCTCTTTCAGACATAATTTAGTAGGGGACAAGAAGTCTGTTCTTCAGTGAGTACACTAGAGATTTACTCTGGTGACTGCCTTTTGAGTTATGGGTGAAGTAAGGTATGGCTTTACCATAACCTTGATTCATTCACCCTTGATTCATTTCTCGCCCCCGTCACTGATTATTTCCTTGAGCATATATCTCTGCCTAACACTTTAGTAGGTGCTATAGAGGATACATGAAAAGTATGAGATCTGGTTCCATCCAGTAAGACATTTTAATAGAGAAGATCAAAATGTTACCTGGCAGTTGGGGAATAATCTGACTTCGTTGGCAGTTGGCCTTAACTTCTTAATCATTGATCCAGGAATATTTCAACCAGAGACACAACTTTCTGGCAGACAGACAAATTGTACAACACCAACAATATCCTGGACCTTGAAATTCTGTTTACTTCAGTCCATTGTATCCTTTAAGGCACCTGTGCTAGCCTAGATTTTGTAATAACACTGATTTATGAGAATGGACAAAAGTGGTAGGGAAATTGTTCCCTCTCCACTTCTGAAAGTATGATGATGTATTAAGGATGGAGGAGTTATTAAAAATGTCTCTTCTGATGAGGTAACAATTAGATGAAACCATGTTAAAGCTGAGATGAACACTTAGAAATTCAGGGATATTGGGTCTTTAGCCTTATGAATTTGAGCTGCTTATTTAATTGGTGTAATTTACTACATATTAGTACTATATTCGTAAGGATTTTTTATTAACCATTACAGATTTTACAAACAGCTAGTTATATGGTAAACAGATTATTATGCCTTTTTGCAATTCTGAATATGATTCTAGTATTTGTGTAGATGTATTTGGTACTTTTTCCCCTAATTCCAACACTAGTTTATATATATAGCGAATAAATCTAGTTGTATAAATTTTTAAATGCCGTCAGTAGAAAGCACACAAGGTTATGATTTTTTTAATTACTGGCTTCTGATTTCTTTCACTTCTGATCCTTTTCCTTTTTCTCAGATGTAGCTGAGTCTTGATCATTTTAAGACAACGATGGGTAGAATTTTGAGATTAATGTTAATTTTCCCTTTTTGTTAATTTCAGTCCCCTCTCACTATGCTTTTGTCCAGAAGGATCAAGAATTCTACCATCCCTTGGGTCTTTGTGTATAAACAATGTTAAATAAAGGTAGACTCAGTCTTTAAGATATTAGACAGTTTTTTTAGTCCATGGGATTGTAAATATAAACATTAACTTTCCTATAAGAATATTTTGGCTTTGTAATCTATAGCCTCAAATTGGTATTTATTATGGATTCACTAGACAAACAGCTGTTTCCTTATTGTCTTTTTTCTTTAGTGTTTCTGATTTGCTATCAGTAGCTGTTTTTAAAGCCGTCCAAGGAAAATAATTATTTACAGTTTTTGAAGTCACTTTTGAGCCCTCATCAAGCTCTCATTGTGATGGGAGGGATACCTTTTTGTTGTTAAAAGCCTATTATTGTTAAAGGCCTTTTATGGAAACCAACTTGGAAAACAACCTTAAATGTGGATGTATCAGATTTGGTTTATCCAGCCATGGGAGAGAAAACAAACCTAAGTTTACTTTACTTGTACATATACACTACAATGGATAGTATATTTGCTGTAAACTACAATGTAAAACCTCAATAAAAGTGCGCTGTACTTCTTAATGTTTATTAAAAGATGTATTTTTACAAGTTTCTGCTTCTGTTTTTTTCCTCAGTGTTTTAAGGTGAAATATTTTGAGAAATGTTTCTCAGATATATGTAAATTGAAAAAGACAGTTCCATTTAAAGCTCTAAAACGTGTGAACTGGAAGGCTGGGTGCAGTGGCTCACGCCTGTAATCCCAGCACTTTGGGGGGCCAAGGCAGGCGGATCACTTGAGGTCAGGCCCTTGAGATCATCCTGGCCAACGTGGTGAAACCCTGTCTCTACTAAAAATACAAAAAATTAGCCAGGCATGGTGGTGTGCACCTGTAATCCCAGCTACTCGAGTGGCTGAGGCACGAGAATTGCTTGAACATGGGAGGTGAAGGTTGCAGTGAGCTGAGATCATGCCACTGCATTCCAGCCTGGGTGACAGAGACTTTGTCTCAGAAAAAGGAACTAGAAAGGAATTGGAAAACATGGAACTTTTATTCCACAAGTGCCAAGACGTTTTATCCATTTCTAAGAGTAGTCCAAGTAGTCCTGTGGTCCTAACAGTTCACTGGGCTTTTTTTTTTCTCCTTTTCTTTTTTTTTTAAACAGTCTGCAAAGAGACAAGTTGTGGGCCAGATTTGCCTCATCAATGGAGTTTTCTCAGCCTGTGATCTTAGAGACTGGGAGTTCAGTTCTCAAACAGTTAAGTAGAGGGAACTTTCCGTACTCTTCAAAGCTCGAGGTTACCAGGAGAAGTGGTCCTGACAGGCATGTCACCTCAACATTTCTGAAACCTGTGATGAATGTATAGTTTTGGATTACACCTGTGTTGGGGCAGTTCTTACATACACTTCTCACTGAAACCTGTGGCTCTGATAGGTTAGATAGCTGAGCCATATGTTGCACTGGAAATCAGAAGCTACTTCAAACTGGGTTACACTAACGAACAACAGTCCGTTCTGGACTGTTGTGCAGGTTCACTGAGGGTGAATAAATGGTAGAGAAACCATTCGGGCTAACCAGGTTCACCAGAGACTGGTTTACCAACCAGAAGTGAGAAATACATGTTACTTAGAACCATCAGACACAACCAGTTTTATCCAAGGCCCAGCACATCTTATTCTGCCAAAAAGTGAGGAAACGCTCAAAGAATCATGGGAGCTTATCAAATTTCACAGGCGCCAGATTGAAGGTGCTCCCATTGGCCAAATCTGGGACAATCTGAACATCAAAATAAATGATAGTAATGGGTTATAACTCATTGAATAAAATACAAATCCATATGTCCATGCTGATATAAATAGGGGAAGAAAGAAAAGCTCTTTCTTATAGTAAAATACCAAATAAAAAGTAGAGAAAAAAATGAGAAAAACATCAATGGGGTTAAAACTAGTTGAATTTTTTATGAGAGGCAGGATATTTGCTTAGTCTCAAAGTACAAAATGGCTTATTAATTTCAGAGAGGAAAATAACTTTATAGTGGATAAACTTGGCAACCTTAGCTGAGTGATCAAGTTTGTCACCAATAATAAGAAAAAGCAACATCATGCACTTTCTGATATGATGCAAGGAGAAGGCCACAATATTTCTGAGGTATTGCCTGAGTCTAATCTTGAAACATGCAGCTCATTGGTCCCATTTATGCTTTTTGTTTCCTTCTCTATCCTGATCTCATATCTCTTCATTTTTATAAAAAATGCATAAAAATATAGTCCTATCTCCAAAATATTTTATAAAATAAACTCTTTTAGGAGAGATTTTAAAAGAATTTGTGTCAGATCTTCTGTCCTGAAAAACTAAAAAGTCCCTGCAGAAGAGTTGTAAATCAAAGTCACAGAAACACAGGACTGGATGGTAACTTAATTAGCTGTTCCATTTCTGTTGGTTAGCAGTGTCTTCAATCTGAAAGCGTACTCACGTTACCCCACACATACTAGAGGACCCTTTCCAGGAGAGGTTCATTCCCCCTGTACCTGCTGGGTGGCTCATTACCCTCCAGCCCAGCCAGCTTCTATGTCAGTGCCATAGCATGCAAGAGAGCCCTTTGAACCTCACTGCAGGACTGTAGGACTTGGGGAGAAAAAGCACATCTATATCCTGCCTGGTGTTCATATCCAAGTCTGCTATTACAGGGAGATTTGGGTTGGTTTGTTGTATTTTGTTTCAAAATATGCCAACTTTTCAGGTTGTTCTATAGAAAATTGTATTCAGCAAAATTTGGGGAAGATAGCGAAATGGTTGATGAGAAGAAAAAGAACCTTTTTCTTATTTTATATGAAAAACCCAGTGTGACTGGACCTCTTAGCAAAAGTCTAGTAATCATGATTTTGGGGTGGTCTTATTAACCAAAATCCTCTTTAGAAAGATGGAATATATGCTTATATCTCCAGGATTTTGCTTTATAGGAAAAAAGGCACAGCTTCTCATTAAGAGAAAAGACATTATTGATACTTTACATTGTATAATACCTAGTGGCCTTGTTTCCAAGGTTCACTCTCAAATTGTTGAAAGTGAATCTAGTAAATAAATCTAGATAACTCACTTACATTTTTAAGTAACTTTTGTCTTTTTCTCCATGCCCCCTTTCTTGACCTCACTTTCAAAAGATAATCTTGTGGTGTGGAAGATCCAGGTGGCAGTTTAGCACCAGGAGGCTGCTGCAGGGAAACCCCAGGCCCTGGTAGCCCTTCTCTGGGGTGAGCCCATCTTCACCTTTGCTGGCCATGTGGATGAGGGCCGAGACTCAGCTAGTCCCTTGTGTTCCAGAACTGCTAACCTGCTTCTCTGGCTGCTTCTGCTTTAAGAGCTCAAAGGTAGCAGTGGAGTGCTGGAGCCAAGTGGTACTGGCCCACAAGAACCAGTGTGTACATCTCCTCCCAACTGCCCAACCTGTGACATCATATTGGTTGCTTGGAATTGGCCAGGGTGAAAGTACTTATGCTCTAGAAATTGTTAAATGCTGCAAGTTAGGGCTTTGCTTTGCCTTTTCCTGAGAGCTGATTATTAAACATTTACTGGCACACCGCTGCTTAGGCAAGACACGTTTGCTGAGATTCAGGTTAGCTAATGAGGAAATGAAAAATAATAGCAATGCTGAGAGTTGTAAAATGTTATCTGTGATAAAGGGGCTATCTGAAATAGCCTCTTAACAGGTCTCTCTGTCTCCAATATTGCTCTCCTACCCTACCACAAATTTATCTATACACAGGGCTGCAGAATGATCCTAATAAAATGCAACTGAGGCTGGGCACGGTGGCTCATGCCTGTAATCCTAGCACTTTGGGAGGCTGAGTGAGGCAGGTGGATCACCTGAGGTCAGGAGTTCGAGACCAACCTGGCCAACGTGGCAAAACCCCGTCTCTACTAAAAATACAAAAATTAACCGGGTGTGATGGCATGTGCCTGTAGTCCCAGCTACTCAGGAGGCAGAGGACAGGAGAATCATCTGAACCCGGGAGTCAGAGGTTGCAGTGAGCCGAGATCGTGCCACTGCACTCCAGCCTGAGTGACAGAGCGAGACTCCATCTCAAAAAACAAAGAAAAAATGCAACTGATACCTAGTTTCTCCCATACTTAAAATAAAATTTGGCAGCTACATCTTAGAACAGTCTAAGCACAAAGACATGAGTTGTCTAGAAGAATTTTTTCACTGTGCCCAGAGATGATAAGACTGTTGGTGATTATTGACACAATATCTCACAAGATGAATGTGTAAAAAAAAGTGAATTTAATAATAAATAACGGGGAATATTCCTTTTCTGTGACTGACTGGTCACAGTCCTTATTCAAGGAATATCTGTTTCCTCTATTACTCATTATTATAGAAAAAGTGGCATGATGAATGTGGTAGCTAGCCTCCAAGATGGACCCAGTGATCTTGCTTCCTGATATTCATACCCTGTGTATTTTCTTCTCCCATTGAGCAGGCTGTGTTACCAGTAGGATTTTGCAGAAATTATGATGTGTGACTTCTGAGGTTATAGGTCATAAAAGACATAGCTTCTGTTTTGTTCTGTCTTGGATCACTTACTCTGGGGTAAGCCGGCCACAATGTTGTGAGGACACATACAGCTGTAGGATTAACACAGGAAGAGCTGAGGCCTTCTGCCAACAATCTGTACCAATTTGCCACCCATGTAAGAGAGCCATTTTGGAAGTGAATCCCCCTAACCCCAACCAAACCTTTAGATGACTGCAACCCTGGCCAGTGTCTTGAATGCAACCAGAGTGGGAAACTGAAAACCAGCATCACTCAGCTAAGCCCTACCACCTTCTTGACCCACACAAATTGGATGAAACAATGCTTATTGTTGTTTTAAGCTGCTAAATTTTGGGGGGGTTGTTTTGCAGCAGTAGATAACTAATGCAAAGAGCAGTTGCAGGGGATCAATCCTGAGGAGTATTTGTGCTATAAGTATTGTGAGCTTTCCTTGCTCCATATCAGAAAAGCTCTTTCTCATGATCTCAGATTCCCTTGGAAGGTGCTGACTATCGCTATAATGTGGTGAAACAACTTAATCTGAAGGTAGGGAGAAGGAAGATCTGAGCTTAGATTGGGAGCAGAGTTCTTCCTAATTTTGGTTAGGTATGAATAGCTGCTGTTGTTACCAAAGCAATAAATTGAACACTGGTCATACATGAGGTTTGGAATAGAAGATAAACACATTTGCAATCAAATAAATCTGATACACATAGTAGTTATGTTGTCATATGGTTAGCAGGAGCAAATAAACCAATCCTATAAAAAATACATCATCTGTTAGTTTTTATCCAACTAGCCAATTGTATCTAGGGCCAACCCTTTTAAGAAGATACAACTGATAGTTTCTCAGGTGGGAAAGGAAATAGCTGATTCCAAGACATTAGGCAGTTGAACTGAAGTGATGCCTCCCTCTAGTAGCAGTAGAACACTACAGCTTATTCCTCCCACTATAGCACTGCAGGGTAACCAGAGTTAACAATAATTTTATTGTATATTTTCAAATAGTGAAGAGAGGATTTTGAATCTTCCCAACCCAAAGAAATGATAAATGAGGTGATGTGTATGCTAATTGCCCTTATTTGATCATGACACATTGTACACATGTTCAAAATATCACACTGTACCCCATAAATATGTAAAATTATATGTCAATTAAAAATAATAATAAATAGACAAAAGCCTGTAGCAGTGGTTGTGAGATAAGGGTTGGGAGAAGGAAGCTGAATTGTACTGACATTTCAGTATAGTGAATTTAATCTGTTTTCCCAACATTGGCTGAATCTGATGGCTTTAGACTTTTCAAGGGAAGCAGCCTAAGGACATTGAGCTCCTTGGTTGGGAATAAAAGAGGTTCATTGAAGAAAATGTGACCGAAGTGAAGGAATGGAAGGCTCTTGCCCTTCTACTGTTTTCAGACTTCTTCTCTCCCCTCTCAGCCTGTACAACTTGTCAGGCACTAAGGTTGAGAAAGCCATAAAATGCTAGTGAAATAAGGAGAGACTGTTAAGATTCCCCCCACAATGCCAATGGACTTAAGCTAGCTTTGGCAGGGAACAGAGCAGGAATTAAGGAAGTCCCAACACCTTGTGGCAAATGAGAATTACCTAGTTCAGCTCCAAATGAAATTCTGTGCCCTTAGGAGCGATATTGTGAAAGAATGATGAACAAAAAATCAATTTATTCACAGAACAAAAGCATATCAGTGTTAAAGAAATAAAGGAATTAAAATTTTAAAGATGTTTCAGAAAGAAAAAATGGCAAAAAAGAAAATTGTCTTATCCTGATTTTTTACTTAAAATCCCTGTCATTGTCAGTCACGTATCAAGAGACTGGCAGCCTGTCTTTCTATGTTTATTAATTTGTTTTGTTTCCACGGATGCTTCTGAAATCTTTGTTAGAGGCAAAGGCACTCAGACTGCCAAGAGAAATTAGCAGTGTTTCCACTGTGGCATAGACACAGATCACACCAAGAACAAATAGAAGCATTCCGCTGCATACTGCCCCAACTCCTGCAGGATCTGTGCTTTTGGCTGGTATGGTGACATGAGGGCAGGGTCGGCTTCATGGGCATGAGGCCTGTGCAGTCACAGAGAACCGGGCACTCAGAAGGGCCCTGCTCTTGTTTTAATATTCTGTGGTGGGTGTCTTGAAATTCGTAATTTTTGAACAAGGGATCCTGCATTTTCATTTTTCAGTGGGCTCCACAAATTACGTAGCTCATCCTGTGTGAGGGTGCTCTGGGGAAGGCAACACACCAGCTTTGGAGGTAGGCAGGCTTGGAATTCCATCTAAGCTGCCTCTTACTACACAATGGGAAAATTATCCTCTGAACTTCAGATTTTCATCTGCAATGAGGACAATGCCTTCTACCTCTTGGTGTTATTGTGAGGATTAGACACTGTTGTGAAGGAATGCAGGTAAAGTGTCTAGAACAGCACACCTGGCTTCACCGTGATTATTCATAAAAGGCAAGTCTCTATATTGGATCCCAGTTGATGTTAGTGCTGGTCATAAAAACAAGAAAAATATGTTTTCTTTAGAAAAGCAGCTCTCTCTTTCACATCTTACAGGAAGCTGTGGACTTACATTGCCACGGCTATCGCTTTTGCCAGGATTCTCATGGCTTCTTATTGCAGTTGCAGCCAAAATAGAGACTACGAAAATTAACAATCCTCTTAAATATTAGCTGCTTCTTGTAAGGTAGTTGTTTTTCATGATTCCACACCAGAAACAAGGAAGTCAATGAATTTTCCCAATTCTTTTAAGAAGATATTAATGTGAGTAAAATACACAATTTAAAATACCTGATGCCCTTTCTGATAGCCTGGAGCAAAGGATGTTTCCACTGTTCCCACTGTCAAAGCAGCAGGTCTATTCCAGCCCCCAAATAGCTGTGGTCAGAGAAACTTACTTCCTTGTTTATTACTTCTAAAGGTAGAGTGATATTGGAGCACCAATTTACCAAACCCAAACCAAACTGTAAGTACTACCTTGATGGGCTGAAGTAGTCCCTATTGTGGGGAGAGGATATGGAGCTGAGACAGGCCCTGACATTACACAGGGTTGAGATGATGTACCTCAAAACCAATGCCCATGACACTGTCTAAATACAGCCTATTCTTGTTATTCATTGTACTTATTTTCTGTAAAGTAGCCACGCATACTGAATAAGTGAGCACTGAACCATTGTTCTTAGAGGAGATACAGGGTTAAGTCACAATCTTTGGTCACATTTTCGTCAGTTGGCCAGTACATAATCTTGTTTTATGAGTGTTTCTGTTTAAAGACACTTTATTTAATGTATATTCTTGAGTCATTATTGTTGAACTCATAACCAATAGCACTATAACTCATGCCTAAAGGAAGCTTATGTAATGCACACATTTTCCCTATGATGCACATCACAGTCTTCTCCTGCTTGGGAACGCTAAGACAGCACTTCCAAACTGCACTTGGGGGCCATTTTAAACAAAATCACCAATAAAAATTACAAAAACATGAAAAATGTGGCACTTGTTTTTGGTATGAGAGCTTGTGGGAAGTCAGGAACCCCCGAATGGAGAGACCAGCTGAAGCCATGGCAGAAGAACATAAATTGTGAAGATTTCGTGGACATTTATTAGTTCCCCAAATTAATACTTTTATAATTTCTTATGCCTGTCTTTACTGCAATCTCTGAACATCAATTGTGAAGATTTCATGGACACTTATCACTTCCCCAATCAATACCCTTGTGATTTCCTATGCCTGTCTTTACTTTAATCTCTTAATCCCATCATCTTCATAAGCTGAGGAGGATGTATGTCCCCTCAGGACCCTGTGATGATTGCGTTAACTGCACAAATTGTTTGTAGAGCATGTGTGTTTGAACAATATGAAATCTGGGTACCTTGAAAAAAGAACAGGATAACAGCAATGTTCAGGGAACAAGAGAGATAACCTTAAACTCTGACTGCTGGTGAACCAGGTGGAACAGAGCCATATTTCTCTTCTTTCAAAACAAATGGGAGAAATATCACTGAATTCTTTTTCTCGACAAGGAACATCCCTGAGAAAGAGAATGCGTCCCTGAGGGTAGGCCTCTAAAATGGCCACTTCAGGGGTGGCCGTCTTTTATGGTCGAAGCTTAGGGATGAAATAAGCCCCAGTCTCCCGTAGCGCTCCCAGGCTTATTAGGACCAGGAAATTCCCACCTAATAAATTTTGGTCAGACTGGTTGTCTGCTCTCAAACCCTGTCTCCTGATAAGATGTTATCAATGACAATGCATGCCCAAAACTTCATTAGCAATTTTAATTTCGCCCCGGTCCTGTGGTCCTGTGATCTCACCCTGCCTCCATTTGCCTTGTGATATTCTATTACCTTGTGAAGCACGTGATCTCTGTGACCCACACCCTATTCTTACACTCCCTCCCCTTTTGAAAATCACTAATAAAAACTTGCTGGTTTTGCCGCTTGTGGGGCATCACGAAACCTGCCAACATGTGATGTCTCCCATGGACACTCAGCTTTAAAATTTCTCTCTTTTTTATTCTATCCCTTTATTTCTCAAACCAGCTGACACATAGGGAAAATAGAAAAGAACGTACGTGAAATATCAGGGGTGAATTTCGCCTGATATCTGGCTGAATTTCCCCCGATAAGACCTGAAATGAAGACAGAGTATTGCCATCTTAGACCTCAACTGGGAACATGCACATCAGGCCATTCAAGTTTCTATGGCTCTGTGCATGTCCAAGAGTGGCCATGAAAGTACAGTGAGTATTGATTTGGGAGCTACGAATACATTTTAGTGAGTAGGCAAATTTGCACATGTGGAATCCACAAATAGTGAAGATCAATTGTACATAGAAGTGTACATGGTACATGTACTTGTACATGTACAAGTGTACGTGGTAGAGGAAGTGATTCCACTACCTTAGTGGACTTGAAGAGAAAACACATCCAGATTGTTGGTTGAGAGATGCACGTACATGTGACATTGGGCAGTATCTCTCACATCATTTACAAGTAGGATGCAGCAGAGATACCATGAAGTCAGAAGAATTGAGATTTCTGTGGTTTCAGGTCTTTGTCTTACTAGCTGGGCAACTTTGAGTAGGTGTCTGAAAACTTCGTTTCTCAGTTTCCACATGTGTTAGTTGAGAACAATAATCATCTTTCAAAGTGAGATTGTGAGGGTGCAGTGGGTTTTTCTTTAAGTTCTGGCTTACTGTTACTTAATTTAGGGGCTAGGATTGAAGACGGTGAATCAGGTGTCATATTGTGTTTTAGAATATTCCTTTGTATATGGTTTGTCTCCCCAGAAAGAAAAGCAGATGCCAAGTCCATACTAATATTTGGATTAGGGTAATGAGTATGTTTTCATTCAAAATGCATTATGAATCCAAGGGAATAGAATATAACCATAAGCATTTTCTGGTTAAACTGGCCATCCTAATTAAGATAAAGTAATTGAATCAATAGTTTTAAGGCCTACACTAACTTATACCAGGATTTTAAGAGCAAAATAGGAACGAGAAATAACAACTTCTGATATGTTAGCCTCAAAGGAAGAGCCCAACAAAAAGTTGGCTCCACTGTGTTGGACAGCAGTTGGGGTAGGTGGAGGAGACACATTAAAAAGACCCAACCCTCAGCCCAGACTGGAACTACTGCGCTGTTCTTCTATCATGTTGAAGACACACCCTAACCTTTCAATTCTGGGACAGGAAATATGAAATGTACACATGTGAGTCATGGGCCAGGAAGAACCTTTTATATTTCATCAGTTAGCCTCCATGTCCACCCTTTGGAGATGTATGCCAGAGCTGTAAGTGTTCTGCTCCCAGGCTAGGGATGGGGGAGAGGGTACTGGGCATTTATGCCATTCTATCTTTTTAGATAAAAATTTGTTCAAAACTCAATACTCAGACTTACTTTCCTCATCTTGAAATGCCTAAGGCTAAAGAATATGTAATTTAGTTCATTTAGATAGACTAGAAAAAAATTGTATATCAAAACAAAAAATAATTCTTCATGAAAAAATAAAATAACATGTAAACCTGCTTTTAAAAATTGTAGAATGCTCCGTGGACAGAAAATATTAGGAATTGATTGGTGTCTATAAATAACATACATATATACATAATGGAATACTATTCCACCATAAAAAGGATGAAGTGTCTTTTGCAGCAATGTGGATGGAACTGGAGGTCATTATCTTAAGTGAAACAAGTCAGACACAGAAAGTCAAATCCCACATGTTCTCACTTATAAGTGGGAGCTAAATAATGTGTACACATGGATATATAGTGTGGAATAGTAGACAATAGAGACTCAGGAAGGTGAGGGAGTGGAAGGGGGTTGAATGGTGAGAAATTACTTAATGGGTACAATATACATCATTTGGGTGGTGGATACCCTAAAAGCCCTGACTTTACCACTGCAACATCTATCTGTGTAACGAAATTACACTTGTACCTCATAAATACATACAAGTAAAAAAAACCACTCTTATACATGTTACTCTGTTCATACAATTTCTTTCAAATGGAAGATATCTAAAAAACAGCTGTGTCTTCAAGTTTGGTATTCCACATCTTCATTTGCCAAGATGAGGCCTTTTCTACTCTGTTCATTGTCATTATTTTATTTTATCTCGATATAAAACTAAGTTAAGGCGCGACTATTGCTAAATGTTATCACCTAACACTATTGATTCACTTTCCTGTTTAATCTCTATCACCTACTCTTTTCTTTAAAAAAATTATTTTAGGTCAGGCGCGGTGGCTCACGCCTGTAATCCCAGCACTTTGGGAGGCCGAGGCGGGTGGATCACGAGCTCAGGAGATGGAGACCATCCCGGCTAACACGGTGAAACCCTGTCTCTACTAAAAATACAAAAAAAAATTAGCCGGGCGTGGTGGCGGGCGCCTGTAGTCCCAGCTACTCAGGAGGCTGAGGCAGGAGAATGACGTGAACCTGGGAGGCGGAGCTTGCAGTGAGCGAGATCGCGCCACTGCACTCCAGCCTGGGTGACAGAGCAAGACTCCATCTCAAAAAAAAAAAAAAAAAAAAAGATTATTATTTTATGGCCAAATACTTATTTAGCCCTACGTCTACATGCAATTCTTATATTTGGAACTTCTTAATCAGAAACTAAATGTGGATTTGGTTTGAATGCTTGTTTTAATGATTAGTTTATTATGAGTACAGGAACAAATAAGTGATATCTGTTTCCTCATCTGTTTGTGATGATTTATTTTACATTAGCATAAAGTATGCAGCTCTATGTGAGAGCATCAGGAAGCATCTGTGATGATATGGATTTTGATAAGCTAAATGTTATCTAGGGCCTTAGGTTTTCTCATGTTTTCACATTTCTCAGTAGTAAGGTCACACTGAGTTGTGTCATATTTAGCTTAAGGGACACCAGAGTGAACATAAGAGCCCAGGCTAAAGCCACCTCTTCCTAGTGCACTGTCACCCACCCTGTCCCTTTTCCTGGGCATCTGTCTTATATTTTATTCACCGTGGGCCTCGTTCTTGTTTAAAACCCAAAGAATCTTTAAAACGATTCAGCAATAGTACTTGAGGGGGTCACTCCACGCAGAGATATTTTACAGTTTAAAATGCCACTCCTATAGGGTTGGCTGAAGCCAAAGGTTTTTTAAAACTATATAGAAAAATAAAAAATAAATGCCACTTCTAAAGATTGGAAACTTTAACCTCCCCACAATGAATCTTCAGTGGTGAGATTTCAGGTGACAAACATGTTAGAGGTGAGATTCTCTGAAGCCTGAGTTCCCCCGAAAGCCCCCAGATCACACCATATGAACCTACCCAATTTTAGCGTTTTTAAGAGACTAAAGCCTCATGAAAGCATATGAAAACTCACTGAGATTTCTTTAGATATCTAAAAGGCATTTTGAAGATCATTTTGTTATGTGGCAAACTGTCCTTGTTTTAGAGTTGTGCTGGGTGGCATGTATAAGAACTACTTATTTTAAAGTGAAGGACTACATAACAAAAGTATTCCCAATTTGATTTATACACCTGGCTATAGCTTTATTTCTGTGGAACAATCATGACATCTAGTGGCTAACCTAAGTAATGCCAAGAAATGGTTTCATACGCTATTTTCCTTAGCTAAATCCACTTAAATGAGAACTTGCTATTCAAATACTGTAATAAATATCCTTGTACATTTTATATACTTAACTATATGAGATAAAGATGGAGAAGTAGAATTTCTGAGTGAAAGGATATGTGTACTTAGAATGCTGATGTTGCCAATTCACCCTCCCAAGAAGTTTGTACCAATTCGAACTTCCATATTTCTTCTCATCATCCCAACAATGAGTATTATCAAATATGTTAATTTTTGTTTTAGTCTTTATTTTTTATTTTTTATTTTTTTTGGAGACGGAGTCTCGCTCTGTCACCCAGGCTGGAGTGCAATGGTGCGATCTCGGCTCACTGCAAGCTCCGCTTCCCGGGTTCACGCCATTCTCCTGCCTTAGCCTCCCAAGTAGCTGGGACTACAGGCACCCGCCACCATGCCCAGCTAATTTTTTTGTATTTTTAGTAGAAACGGGGTTTCACCGTGTTCGGCAGGATGGTCTCGAACTCCTGACCTTGTGATTCGCCCGTCTCGGCCTCCCAAAGTGCTGGGATTACAGGCGTGAGCCACCGCGCTTGGCCAGTCTTTATTTCTTAATGAATGAGAGAGCTTATCTTTTTATGGCTCCCCCACCCCCCGCCTCTGCCCCACCATTTTTCTCCTTTCTTTCTTTGTTTTTTATTTTCTTTGGCCAT
This sequence comes from Homo sapiens, assembly GCF_000001405.40. Classification (NCBI taxonomy): domain Eukaryota; kingdom Metazoa; phylum Chordata; class Mammalia; order Primates; family Hominidae; genus Homo; species Homo sapiens. The sequence goes on from NC_000007.14 coordinate 90,428,681, forward strand.
TGGTATTTATTTATCAGTGAAGCGCCAACATACATATTCATCCCATTTTTTAAAGATTTACTGGTTCATAAGCATCTTGTTTGTAAAAGGTTTTTGCATATTGAAGAAATGTACTGTCATTTGCATTGAAAATATTTTTCTTAGTTTGCTTTGTGACTATTTTTTGCTTTGTAAAGTTTTTAATGTTTATATAGTCAGGTATATCAGGATTTTCCTTTTTTGTTGTTGTTGAGACAGAGCCTCACTCAGCTGTCCAGGCTGGAGTACAGTGGCATGATAATAGCTTACTGCAGCCTCAATCTCCCAGGCTTAATCAAACCTCCCACCCCAGCCTCCCAAGTAGCTGGGACTACAGGCGTGTGCCACCACACCCTGCTATTTTTTTTCTATTTTTAGTAGAGATAAGATCTCACTATGATATCCAGGCTGGTCTCGAATTCCTGGGTGCAAGTAATCCTCCTGCCTCCAAATTGCTGGAATTACAGGTGTGAGCTACTGTGTCCACTACTAGTATTTTCCTTTATAGTTTTAGTTTCATGTCATATTTAAAATGTCCATCTCCTCTGATATGGTTTGACTGTGTCCTCACCCAAAACTCACCTTGAATTGTCATCTCCACATGTCTGGGACAGAACCAGATGGAGATAACTGAATCATGGGGGTGGTTTCTCCCATACTGTTCTCATGGTAGTGAATAAGTCTCATGAAATCTGATGGTTTTATAAATGGAAGTTCCCCTGCACAAGCTGTCTTGCCTGCTGCCATGTAAGACGTGACTTTGCTCTTCCTTCACCTTCTGCCATGATTGTGAGGCCTCCCCAGCCATGTGAACTGTGAGTCCATTAAACTTCTTTCCTTTATAAATTACCCAGTCTTGAGTATGTCTTTATTAGTAGCATGAGAAGGGACTAATACATCCTCTCCCAGAGGACAAAAATTAAAAATATTGTATGTTTATTTATGTAACATAATCATGTATGTTATTTAGTTTTAGTTTTTACATTTAAGTCTTTCATCTATCTATTAATAGCATTTTAGTGAAACAGGGTAGGCAGGGATTTGACTTTATTCTTACCCTAGCAATGTAGAGGAGATTGGTAAATTTAAGTATAGCTATTAAAAACATTGAGTGTAGGTATCTGTACTAATGAGAAAAGATGTCAAAAATATGCAAAGGATAAGAAGACATTAGGAAAATGGCAGATAAGAGACAGAACTAACATGCAGCTACCACTTGGATGGACAAAACAGTGCGTGGAGACTCATATTGTGAACTTTTGCTCCAAGACCCACTGCAGGAACATACCAGGAAAACAAATAATTCACAGACCCTTTGAAAGAAGCGGCTTTGGCCGGGCGCGGTGGCTCACACCTGTAATCCCAGCACTTTGGGAGGCTGAGGTGAGCGGATCACGAGGTCAGGAGTTTGAGACCAGCCTGGCCAACATAGTGAAACCCTGTCTCTACTAAAGATATAAAAAATTAGCCGAGTGTGGTGGTGCATGCCTGTAATCCCAGCTACTAGGGATGCTGAGGCAGGAGAATCGCTTGAACCTGGGAGGAAGAGGTAGCACTGAGCTGAGATCGCGTCATTGCACTCCAGCCTGGATGACAGGGCGAGACTCTGTCTCAAAAAAACAAAAAAGAAAGAAAGAAGAGGCTTGCCACTGCAAACTCTGTAAGATAACTGAACAAATGGTGAATTCCCAAAATGTGAGAGGGGAAAACTCTGCCTCTGAATATATATCCCTACTGGGGAACCTGAATATCCAGATCATGGGTGAAGGATTTAACCTTACCTAGAGCTGAAACAGCTTTAGGGAGCTGAGTGAAATATAAAAGTAGAAGAAGCAACGAGAAGAGCCCTGTAGGTACTCCTGGTCCCCAGCTTTATCTCACAGGGGTCCTTGGGGAAGGCAGCTAGCAGAATTGGGAAGGGGTCACAGGGTGAAGGAAGCTTCTAGCTGAACTTTGTAATAATTTCGAATGAGCACAAATTTTCCTGAGCAGAATCCAGGGGTATGAACAGGAAGTGCAGATACAAGCACAGGAGGCACAACCAAAGGAATAGGCAGGCAGGGAGGGCAAGGCCTAAGAGCCCTACTTGCTTTCTCAGCAGGGAGGCTTGTAGCCTGGGGCAAGATCTCAGCCCTGCTTGCTAACTGCCTGGATATAAATTCAGTGCTGTTGGCCGGGCACGATGGGAGTGGGACTGGCCTTGCTGGTTGTGTGGAAGTTGGGTGAGGTCTGTCACTACCGGCTTTTTCCCACTTCCTTGGCTACCTGTATGACACAGCAGAGGCAACCATAATCTCTATGAGAACATAACTCCATTGGCCTGAGAACCACCCTTCCATCCCCTACAGTGGCCATAGCAAGTCTCGCCCAAGAAGAGCCGGAGCTCAGACCTGGCTAACTCTGCCCCAACCTGATGGTATTTCTTTACTGACCCTGCTAGCTGAAGACAAAAGACATAAACTGTTGGGAGCTCTATGGCCTTGCTCATGGCCTGAGAAACCTGAGAACTTATCCTGGGCAATGTAGGGGAAGCTTGTATCCCCCTCCTACTACTGCAGCTGGTGCTGTCTTGAAAGAGGCATCTCCTGGCTGGAAGCCAACCAACTCAAGCCATTACAGCAACTCATAACAGAGCAACCCCACTCCAAAGAAGGAGAAAACAACAGCTAATTCCACCACCTGCAACACCTTGGCTAACCAGAAGTCCTGAGTCTGTCCACATGACAACTTCACTGCTAGCATAACCAGCATTTGAGAAAGCCAGCACACTACACATATCTACAACCAAGGACTCTCACAGAATCTACTTTACTCCCCTGCCACCTCCACTGGAGCAGGTATCCATGGCTGGGAGACCTGAAGACAGATCACATCACAGGACTCTTTGCTGACAACCCTAGCACAAACCTGGAGCCTGGTAGCTCTGCTGGGGGTTAGACCCAGAAGAGCAATAACAATCACTGCAGTCCGCTCTTCAGAAGCCCCATTCCTAGGGGACTGGGGAGAGCTTCATATCAAGGGATCACCCTCTAGGACAAAAGAATCTGAACAGAAGCCCTTGAGCTCTAGATCTTTCTACTGAAACTGTCTACCCAAATAAGAAGGAATCAGAAAAGTAATTCTGGTAGTATGACAAAACAAGTTCTATCACACCCCCAAAAGATCACACTAGCTCTCCAGCAATGGATTCAAGGCAAGAAGAAATCTCTGAATTACCAGATAAGGAATTCAGAAGGTTTATTATTAAGCTACTCAAGGAGGTACCAGAGAAAGGTGAAAAACAACTTAAAGAAATTTAAAAAATAATACAGAATATGCATGAGAAAGTCTCCAGAGAAATAGATATCATAAAGAAAAGACAATCACAACTTTTAGAAATGAAAGACACACTTAGAGAAATTCAAAATACCCTGGAAAGTTTCAACAATAGCATCAAACAAGTACAAGAAAGAACTTCAGCACTTAAAGACAAGGCATTTGAATTAACCCAATCTGACAAAGACAAAGAACAAATTTAAAAAATGAACAAAGCCTCCAAGAAATTTGGGATTATGTTAAATGACCTAACCTAAGAATAATTGGTGTTCCTGAGGAAGAAGAGAAATCTAAAAGTTTGGAAAACATATTTAAGGGAATAATTGAGAATAATAGAAATCTAGACATCCATATACAAGAAGCTCAAAGAACACCTGGGAAATTATCATGAAAAGATCATCACTTAGGCACAGAGTCACCAGGTTATCTAAAGTCAAGACAAAGGAAAGAATCTTAAGAGTTATAAGGCAAAAATATCAGGTAAACTATAAAGGAAAACCTATCAGATAAACGGCAGATTTCTCAGCAGAAACCCTACAATTCAGAAGGAATTGGGGTCCTATCTTTAGCCTCCTTAAACAAAATAATTGTCAGCCAAGAATTTTGTATTGAGTAAAAGTAAGCTTCATAAATGAAGGAGAGATAAGTCTTTTTCAGACAAATGCTGGGGGAATTCACCACTACCAAGCCAGCATTAAAGGAAATGCTAAAAGGAGTTCTAAATCTTGAAACAAAACCTCAAAATACACCATAATAGAACGGTCACAGGATCCTTAGGGGTGTCACTTCACCAGCCAGAAACCTCTGTGGCTGGTGGTGTTTCTGCTTGAGTTTTGTTCATGCCTCCTGGGCTCAGCAGGCTGCACTCAGCTCAAGCTACTGGCTCGGATCCCATGCCTGCCAAGGGCGAGCCAGGCATGCGGCAGGGAGGAGTGTGTGAGTGAATGAGCACAGGTTCCCGCCACTGCACACAGCCAGGTGCACTGGCTGCTGTGGCGGGGCGGGCAGCTTCAGGTGCCGGCACAGTCACTGGCTCCATGCGAGGCTGTGGCTGGACCAGATGTACTGCAAGTGGCCTCTGCTCTGGGCACCAGTGTCTAGACAAGGGGAATGCAGTGGGACCTGAAAGCTCGGAGACACCAAAAACCACAGAGCTCCAAAGAGGGTGTTACAGCATGTCACAGCCCTGGCTTGAGGAGCCCTGAGGTCTGGGTTCCCAGAAGGGCTGCATTTCTTCTCTCCTTCTTGTTACTCACAGCACAGTGAGCAGGGAGATGTGTTTTGTGGGGGCATGTTTCAGCCTGTTTGTGTTACAGCTCTTTCAGTCCTGCCATCTCACTCCAGCCCATGACTCCTGGGCTGGCCTAGCCCCACCACTGCTTCCCATTGTGTGGGGCGCCACCTGGCATTGGCAGAGAGCAGGAGAGCTATAGTGTTACAGCAGCTCTGGCTCAGGGAATCCAGAAGGGTTGCCACTCTTCACTCCATAATTCAGGAGCATGTCACCACCTGCAGCTCATTGAGCCAGGCAGGAACGTGTTACAGCTCCTTTCACTTCCACTGTTCGGCAGGTCCTGAGTTCTTGTCTCATGTCCAGGAAGAATGAGGTTACATGGACAACTGGAAGGTGAGCAACACAGAGAGGAGCTTTATTGAGCAACACAACAGCTTTTAGGAGACCCAAAGTTGGTAGCTCCTATTCACAGGCAGGTTGTCTCAACCAGTGTTTGAGTCTGGCTGAGTCTGGGGTTTTTATGTGCTCAGAATGGAGGAAGTGCATGCTGATTGGTCCATGTGCAGCCATGGGCAGGCCATCTTATTGGCCGAAGGGCATCAATGAAGTTCTCACTCTGGGTCATGAACTCCACCCAGAACTGGCAGCCCAACCCCCAGGCTTCAGGCTGTCCCTAACTTAAGGGTGGGGTTTCACCAGGGACCTGCCCCTTCTCACCTAGGAAACTGTCTACCTCTTGCCACCATCAACATACCATCCACAGCACCCAGGCTGTCTATGCCCGGGGTGCCTGCAGGCCTGCACCAAGGTGCCCTCAGCCCCCTGACCTTCCTCCTGTGCTCATTAGCACCCAAAGTCTGGACAGGGCCAAGGTAGCAGGAGGCTGGCATGTCAGCACTACCGAGTGCACACACACGTGGCGGGGTTGCAACAGCACCCAGGTTTGTCTGCAACTTTGCTCCACACCAGGGTTGGCACCAGCAATGGGGAGAGGCTAGGGAGTGGGATCAGGCACTTCTGAGCCTGCAGAGGCAGGGGCTTCCCAGGCCCCTGGGAATGCAGGGATGCCTAGGTCTGGAGCCATGGCTGGATGGATACAGCTGCACCCAGGAGCATGGGCTCCCACCTTGCCAACTTGGTAGGGTGCAGGGCTCCCGCTGGGATCACCTGTTCCTGATCCCCACCAGCTCTGCAGAGTGCGCAACCCTGACCATACCTCCCCCATTGCAGCTGTTGTCCTCACAGTAGCCACTCCAGATGGGCTGCCACCACCATCAGAACTCCCTTAAAGCATAAATCTCACAAGGCCTATAAAACAATAACACAATGATAAAAAACAAACAAACAAGGCATTCAGGCAACAGCTAGCATGATGAATAGAATGTTACCTCACATCTTAATACTAACATTTAAGGTAAATGGCCTAAATGCTCCACTTAAAAGATTCAGAATGGCAGAATGGATAAAAATTCACCAACCAAGCATCTGGCTTCTTCAAGAGACCTGCCTAACAGATGAGGACTCACATAAACTTAAGGTAAAAAAGGTAGAAAAAGATATTCCATGCAAATGGTAGCCAATAGTGATCAGGAGAAGCTATTTTTATATCAGACAAAACAGACTTTAAAGCAACAACAATTAAAAAAGACAAAGAGGGACATTATATAAAGATAAAAGGATCAGTCCCACAGGAAAATATCACAATCCTAAATATATATGCACGTAACACTGGAGCCCCCAAATTTATAAAACAATTACCATTAGACTTAAGAAATAAGATAGACAGCAACATAATAATAGTGGGGGTCTTCAATACTCCACTGACCACACTAGACAGTCATCAAGACAGAAAGCCAACAAAGAAACAATGAACTTAAACTACGAATGGACTTAACAGATATTTACAGAACATTCTACCCAACAACTGCAGAATATACATTCTTTTCATCAGCACATGGAACATTCTCCAAGATTGTCCATGTGATAGGCCACAAAACAAGTCTCATTAAATTTAAGAAAATCAAAATTATGTCAACTACTCTCTGAGACCACAGTGGAATAAAATAAATTAACTCCAAAAGGGACCCTCAAAACTATGTAAATACATGGAAATTAAATAATATGCTCCTGAATAATCTTTGGGTCAACAATGAAATCAAAAGGGAAATTTAAAAATTCTTTGAACTGAACGATAATAGTGACACAACTTATCAATACCCCTGGGATATGGCAAAAGTGGTGCTAAGAGGAAAGTTCATAGCATTAAATGCCTCCATCAAAAAGTCTGAAAGAGTACAAATATACAATCTAAGCTCACACCTCAAGGAACTAGAGAAACACAAACAAACCAAACCCAAACCCAGCAGAAGAAAGGAAATAATAAGATCAGAGCAGAACTAAATGAATTTGATACAAACAAACAAAAAACAAAAGATAAATGAAACAAAAAGCTAGTTCTTTGAAAAGATAAACAAAATAGGGCCGGGCGTGGTGGCTCACACCTGTAATCCCAGCGCTTTGGGAGGCAGAGGCAGACGGATCATGAGGTCAGGAGATTGAGACCATCCTGGCTAACACGGTGAAACCCCGTCTCTACTAAAAATGCAAAGAATTAGCCGGGCGTGGTGGCAGGCACCTGTAGTCCCAGCTACTCGGGAGGCTGAGGCAGGAGAATGGCATGAATCCGGGCGGTGGAGCTTGCAGTGAGCCAAGATCGAGCCACTGCAACTCCAGCCCGGCTGACAGAGCAAGACTCCTCAAAACAAACAAACAAACAAACAAAAAAAGATAAACAAAATAAATCAACCATTAGCAAGATTAGCCAAGAAAAGAATAGACAAGATAAACATAAGCTCAATTAGAAATGAAATGGGGGATATTACTACCAATACCACAGAAATACAAAAGATCATTCAAAGCTATGAACACCTTTATGTGCACAAACTGGAAAACCCAGAGAAGATGGATAAATTTCTGGAAATATACAGCCTTTCTAGATGAAATGAGGAAGAAATAGAAAGTCTGAATAGACTATAACATTTAGCAAGACTGAAACAGTAATAAAAAATTGCCAACAAAAAAAGTTTGGGACTTGATGGATTCACAGCTGAATTCTATTAGACGTTCAAAGAAGAATTGGTACCAATTTTACTGAAAGTATTGGAAAAGATAGAGAAACAGAGAATCCTCCCTAAATCGTTCTATGAAGCCAATATCTCCCTAATACCAAAACCAGGAAAGAACTTGATGAACATGATGCAAAATCCTCAATAAAATACTAGCTAACTGAATCCACAGAATATCAAAAAGATAATACACCATGATCAAGTGGGTTTCATACAAGGGAAGCAGGGTTGGTTTAACATATGCAAGTCAATAAATGTGATACACCACATTAACAGAATTAACAACAAAAATCGTATAATCATCTCAATAGATGCAGAAAAAGCATTTGACAAAATCCAGCATCGCTTTATGATTAAAATTCAGCAAAATTGGCATAGAAGAGACATACATTAAGGTAATAAGGGCCATCTATGACAAACCCACAGCTAACCTTATGCTGAATAAGGAAAGGTTGAAAGCATTCCCCCTGAAAACTGGAACAAGACAAGGATGCCCACCTTCACACTTCTATTCAACATAGTACTGGAAGTCCTAGCCAGAGCAATCAGAAAAGAGAAAGAAGGGCATCCAGATCAGTAGGGAGGAAGTCATACTCTTGCTGTTTGCCAATGATATGATCATATTACTAGAAAACCCTAAAGACTCATCCAAAAAGCTCCTAAATATGATAAATTAATTCAGGAAAGTTTCAGGATACAAAATCAATGTACACAAATCAGTAGCACTGCTATACACCAATAGCAACCAAGCTGAGGATCAATCAAGAACACAATCCCTTTTATAACCGCTGAGAAAAAAATGTAAAATACTTAGGAATCTACCTAACCAAGGAGTTGAAAGCCCTCTACAAGGAAAACTACAAAACACTGCTGAAAGAAGTCATTGACAAAACAAACAAATAGAAACACACACCATGCTCATGGATGGATAGAATCAATACTGCCAAAAGCAATCCATAAATTCAATGCAATTCCCATCAAAATACAATCATCATTCTTCACAGAACTAGAAAAAAATCCTAAAATTTAGATGCAACCAACAAAAGAGCCCACATAGCCAAAGCAAGAATAAGCAAAAATAAAAAATCTGGAGGGATCCCATTACCCAATTTCAAACTATACTACAAGGCTATAATCACCAAACCAGCATGGTACTGGTATAAAAATAAGCATGTAGACCAATAGAACAGAGTAAAGAACTCAGAAGTAAAGCTGAATACTTACAGCCAACTGATCTTTGACAAAGCAAACAAAACCATAAAGTGGGAAAAGGACACCCTATTCAACAAATGGTGCTGGGATAATTGGCAAGCCACATGTAGAAGAATGAAATGATCCTCATTTCTCACCTTATACAAAAATCAACTCAAGATGGATCAAAGACTTAAATCTAAGACCCAAAACTGTAAAAATTCTAGAAGATAACATTGGAAAAACTCTTCTAGACATTGGCTAACACTTCTGCACAGCAAAAGAAATAATCAGCCAAGCAAACAGACAACCCACAGAGTGGAAAACAACCTTCACGAACTTTGCATTTCACCAAGGGCTAATATCCAGAATCTATAAGGAACTCAAACAAATCGGCAAGAAAAAAACAAATAATCCCAACAAAAAGTGGGCTAAGGACATAAATATACAATTCTCAAAAGAAGATACACAAATGGCCAACAAACATGAAAAAATGCTCAACATCACTAATCATCAGGGAAATGCAAATCAAAACCACAATGCAATACCCCCTTATTCCTGCAAGAATGGCCATAATTAAAAAATCAAAAAATAATAGATGTTGGCGTGGATGCGGTGAAAAGGGAAAATTTTTACACTGCTGGTGGGAATGTAAACTAATACAACTGCTATGGAAAACAGCATGAAGATTCCTAAAAGAACTAAAAGTAGAACGACCATTTGATCCAGCAATCCCCCTGCTGGGTATCTACCCAGAGGAAAAGAAGTCATTATAAGAAAAAGACTCTTGTACTCACATTTATAGCAGCACAACTCACAACTGCAAAAATACGGAACCAGCCTAAATGCCCATCAATCAATGAGTGGATAAAGAAAATGTGGTATGTATATACCATGGAATACTACTCGGCCATAAAAAAGAATGAAATAATGGCATTCACAGCAACCTTGATGGAGTTGGAGACCATTATTCTAAGTAAATTCAGGAATGGAAAACTAAACATCATATGTTCTCCCTTATAAGTGGGAGCTAAGCTGTGAAGACACAAAGCCATAAGAATGATATAATGGACTCTGGGGACTTGAGGGAAAGGGTGAAATTGGGGTGAGGGATAAAAGAATACACACTGGGTACAGTATACACTGCTTGGGTAATGGGTGCATCAAAATCTCAGAAATCACCACTAATGAACTTATCCATGTAACCAAACACCACCTGTTCCCAAAAACTATTGAAATGGTTTTAAAAAATAGAAAAATAAGCTTAGATGAAAAAATATTCAAAAAGTAGAACAATATTGACAATATAATTACATGTATGTAGAAAAACTATTTCCCTGCAAAGGCACAGAAAATATCTGAAAGGACACACACACACACGCTTGTGCACATACAATTATTAACAGTGGATACTTTCAGGGAATTCATATAGGATATTGGCAAGATAAGCAGAATTTTACTTTTACCTCTATACAGATACAGTTCTCTACTACTTGAATGTATTATCATGAACACACATTTCTTCTGTTATAAAAATTATTTTTAAAATAATATTTAATATCATGGGAAGATATTTAATATCTATAGTAAACTGAAAGAGCAAGTTATAAAATGGTAAGTAAAATATGATCTTCCTTTGGAAAATAATATTTTTTTTTGAGATGGAGTTTCACTCTTGTCACCCAGGCTGGAGTGCAGTGGCATGATCTTGGCTCACTGCAACCTCTGCCTCCCGGGTTCAAGCGATTCTCCTGCCTCAGCCTCCCGAGTAGCTGGAATTATGGATGCCCGCCACCACATCTGACTAATTTTTTGTATTTTTAGTAGAGATGGGGTTTTGCCATGTTAAAGCAGGCTGGTCTTGAACTCCTAACCTCAGATGATCTGCCCACCTTTGCCTCCCAAAGTGCTAGGATTACAGGCGTGAGCCACCACGCTTGGCATAGAAAATAATATTTATGCAAAGAAGAAAGATTGGATGGGTATACACCAAGATGTGAACAATGATCTCAGAGTGTGTATTAGTCTGTTCTCATGCTGCTAATAGAGATATACTCAAGACTGGGTAATTTATAAAGGAAAGAGGTTTAATGGACTCACAGCTCTACATGGCTGGGGAGGCCTCACAATCATGGCAGAAGATGAAGGAAGAGCAGAGGGACATCTTACGTGACAGCAGGCAAGAGAGCTTGTGCAGGGGAACTCCCATTTATAAAACCGTCAGATCTCGTGAGACTTATTCACTACCATGAGAACAGTATGGGGGAACCACCCCCATGATTAAATTATCTCCACCTGGGCCCACCCTTGACACATGGGGATTATTACAATTCAAGGTGAGATATGGGTGAGGACACAGCCAAACCATATCAAAGTGGATGAATTTGGATGATTTTTATTGTTTTCTTTTGCACGAATCTTGATTTTCTAAACACTTTTTATCCTTTAAGAGTTTGATTCATCAGGCATTTCTTAAAAAATGATATACTTCATTAGTACTCTTAAAAAGATAGATCTCTGATTCATGGAGCCAGAAGATAACTGGATACAAAACTATCTGATGTGAAAGTTATTTCTTCCACCAAATTTCAGTCATGTAAGAGCTCTTAATTTTTGGATTTATCTTCTATACATGGCTGACTTCATCTATATTTTATGTGGAATAAGTAGCAAATACTTCTGAGCTTCTTCAAAATGAAGTGGAAAGTAAAATATAAAATGAGTGAAGAAATCAGAACAAAGAAAATATGACAGAAGGAGAGAGAAAATGAAATCACAAGATGAACTCTACCCCGTAAGGGCCAGCACTTTTTTTGAGGGTGATCTAGTCATGCATCACTTAATGGCAGGGATATGTTCTGAGAAATGCATCCTTAAGCAATTTTGTCATTGTGCGAACATCATGGAGTGTACCTACGCAAACCTAGCTGGTATAGCCTACTACACACCTAGGCTAGATGGTATAGCCTATTGCTCCTAGACTAGAAACCTGTACAGCATGTTACAATACTGAATGCCACAGGCAATTGTAATATGACAGTAAGTATTTGTGTATCTAAATATATCTAAACATAGAAAAGGTACAGAAAAAATATAAAAGATAAAAAATGGTACACCTTTATAGGACACTTATGAATGGAGCCTGCAGGACTGGAAGTTGCTCTGGGTGAGTCAGTGAGTGAGTGGTGATTGTGAGGGCCTCACACATTATCATACACTACCGTAGACTTTATAAATGCTGTACACTTAAGCTACACTAAATTCATAAGAATAAATTTTATTTCTTCAATAATAAATTAATCTTAGCTTACTGTAACTTTTTTACTTTTAACACTTTAAATTTTTCTTTTTGACTCTTTTGTAATAACACCTAGCACATTGTACACAATATTTTCTGTCCTTTTCTGTAAGCGTTTTTCTTTTTTAATAATTTTTTTAACTTTGTAAAAGTTTTTGTAAAAAATAGGACACAAACACATACATTAGCCCAGGCATACACAGGGTCGAAATCATCAGCATCACTGCCTCCAACTTCTACATCTTGTCCCGCTGGAAGTTCTTCAGGGGCAATAACAGGCATGGAGTGATCATGTCCTATGATAACAATGACTTCTTCTGGAATACCCCCTCAAGACCCTGCCTAAGGCCGGTTTATAGTTAACTTTTTAATATACATAATTAGAAGGACTACACTCTAAAATAGCAATAAAAATCAGAGTACAGTAAATACATAAATCAGTAACATGGTTGTTTATTATCGTTATCAAGTATTACATTGTATTTAGTCTGTTTTCACACTGGTACAAAGAACTACCTGAGGCTGGGCGCAGTGGCTCACGCCTGTAATCCCAGCACTTTGGGAGGCCAAGGCAGGCAGATCACGAGGTCAAGAGATAGAGACCATCCTGGCCAACATGGTGAAACCCTGTCTCTATTAAAAATACAAAATTAGCCGGGCGTGGTGGTGTGTGCCTGTAGTCCCAGCTACTCAGGAGGCTGAGGCAAGAGAATTGCTTGAACCCGGGAGGTGGTGGTTGCCGTGAGCTGAGATCGTGCCACTGCACTCCAGCCTGGCGACAAAGCGAGACTCCGTCTAAGAAAAAAAAAAAAAAAAAAAAGAACTACCTGAGACTGGGTAATTTATGAAGAAAAGAGGTTTAATTGACTCACAGCTCTGCAGAAAGCAGGCTGGGAGGCCTCAGGAAACTTACAGTCTGGTGGAAGGAGAAGGGAAAGCAAGCACATCTTAGCATGGGAAAGCAGGAGAGAGAACAAGAGAGCAAAGGGGGAAGTGCTACACACTTTCAAACCATCAGATTTTGTGAGAACTCACTCACCATCATGAGAACAGCAAGGGGGAAATCTGCCTCTGTGATTCAATCACATCCCACCAGGCCTCTCCCTGAGATGTGGGATTACAATTTGACATGAGATTTGAGTAGGGACACAGAGCCAAACTATATCATACATAGTATACAGAATTGTATGTGTGTTAGTTTTATATGACTGGCAGCCAATAGTTTTGGGTACACCAGCATTACCACAAACATAAGTAATATGTTGTGCTACAATATTACAAAGTCCAGGACATCACCAGGCTATAGGAATTTTTCAGTGTCATTATAATCTTATGGGCCCACTGTTGTACACGTGGTCTGTTATTGACTGAAACGTTATGTATTGCATTACTGTACTAACTCTTCTAAACAACCCCCTAACTCTTACCCACCCCAAAAAGAGACCAGAGCTGGGGAGGGTCAAACTGTCCCGAGATGGAGGCCAGACAGAAATTACTCAAGTGCACGAGCTACATGCAGACAATAACAACAATGACAGCAACAGCTCCTGAGGTTTCATATGGGTCAAGTTCTATGCTAAATCATGATTTTATTCAGATAAACAGTTTTATTTAATCTTCACAAGAACCCCATTCTTAGTAGGGAACATTTATTCCTCCTACCCATGTTTCCCCTTGACTCGCTAGGAGGGAAGCATTTGGGAGGAGCTCTTTGAGCTTCTCAGTTCTGTCCCCTTACTTCCTCCTCAGGAGGAGTTGGGAGAGTTGGTGAGTTTGAGAGAAGGGATGAGCAGCTGCAGCTCCTTTGCGGGGACGTCTGTTCTCCAACCCAGGAAGATCTCTGCCCTCCATACACTAAGCTTGCTCTGGAGAACTCTGCTTCTGTACTTCTGGAGCCCTGGTGTGTTCCTCAATTCAACTTTATCAGTAATAAGCCTGACACCATCTACAATTCATTATCTGAAACTCCCTGGGTGAGGTGGGTTTCAAAATTCAGAATTTTTCAGATTTTAGACAGGTCATGTGGTTCACATAGAGGTTCTAGGTCAACTCCCTATCATCAAACACATTAATATTTTTGCAATAAAAGATATGAATACTCACACTAAATGGGATGAATTAAGACTACATCACATCAATTCAGATCACATTTTGTGGTCAAATGAGTTCAGATGTGCTTCATGGATGTACCATGAAGGTAATGAAGCTGAAGTTTCAGCCCCCAGCCCAGCTGCACAGGCCACTTCTTTGGCCAGATAACTTATTTTGTATTTATACTCATATATATGAATATATATATGAGTATAAATATGTATGTATGTATGACTGTGTGTGTGTGTATGTGTGTGTGTGTGTGTGTGTGTGTAACCCTCAAAAATATAAGCTTCAGGTTCCAGAAAACCTAGATTCTCCCATGGAGAAAGATATTATTTCCTCCCCTAAAATCCTGATACCCAAAAACGTAGGTACCACTATTATTCCCATGTTACCTAGGAAGAGACTGAGGGAAGAGGGGGTAAGTACCTTGACACCCAGTTCTAAGTGGCAGAGTTTTGTTTTAAACTCAGATGATGTAAGGCCTGAGTTTGTGCTTTTAACCACTGCCTTTCTACATTTGTGAACAAAAGTAAGAAAATTGTTGATATTCTCTTTTCAGCTAAAATAAATCCTAGAGGATATCCTTTATCCCAATAAATATAACCTAAGGAATCCAATTTCTGTCAAACCTCTCAGTCTAATAGGAGAAGAATGAAACTCTCCTAATAACGTTCCCTAGAAATTTAGGAAAAGAGCACTACAGTAAAATTTCTGTATACTTCCTTCTAAAGAGAACCCCCAGAATTAGATCCTATTCACACATTACCATTCTCCTGATATTGAGCCTTCAATATTAGGTGAATGCTACTCTTTTCCCACAAAATGTAATTGTATTTGCATTCCTCAATATCCTATGTTTGGCTTTTCATGAAATTCAATCTGGAAATCAGTAAAAACCATGTACATAGGATCCTGTAACATTGCTATAATAGTAAACAATCTCACATTTCTCTGCACAAAAAACCCAAGAGAAAGGGAAGAGTGAATACCCATATTTTACAAATGAAGAAACTAAGGACAAGAGAAAGTAACTTCTCCAATGCTGCCAAGTTTTGCCAAAATTGGTAACAAAGCTCTGGACATTTTTCTTCTAGGCCAAGGCTGTTTATCTAAGGAGCATCAACTCTGGACATGTAGGTTATAATTCATTAATATTTCAGGAATAACTTTATCTGCTGAATAAATTGCTGATGAAGCTTCCCCAAAACAACAAAACCATTCATAAATTCTGACTGATTCTTATTTCTTTCTCAGATTCTCCACTTGGACTAAGAAAACAGTAAGGAAAAATTTTGTTCTACTCCTCACAATTATAATAGTATTTTAAAATATACTATTATGAAATATAAATACATGCATAGAGAAAATGATGATCTCTTGAAGATGATAATAATGATATTCACCACCCATCTATAACACACCTGAACAGTTTGCCATGTATTTGTTTTGGATTTATTCTTAACTAATAAAGTCCCTCTGAGTGTTTCTCCAATACCATTCTTTTCTTGCATTATCCAGGGGTAACCAGCAACCCAAATTTTGTATATTAATCCATGATAATTTATATAGTACATTTATATTTAAAACTATTTAAATATAAGATTTTTTGTATTTACATAAAATAACTATCATACGATAACATCATCATATACATACATAATATGTATATGTATATATACATATATATATATAGTCTTAGATCTATCATTCCACAACTCGTTTTTATGCTTTATGGTGTTTTGAGATTCATGTTGATATTTAAAGCTAGTAGTTTTATGTCTTTAGCTTTTGTGATATTGTGAATGGGACTTTTGTTCCAATTATGTTTTCTAACTGGTTATGGCTGTTATGTGAGGACTTTATCGATTTGGATTCAAGAAAACTTTCCGAATTCATTTATGACTTCTAATAGTTTGTAGATTCTCTTGGATTTTCTATGTGGGCAAGAACAGCACTTTCAAATAATCATCTTTCTGAGGGTGACCGGCTACTTTGCAGAATAAAAAGCTCATAGGTTATCTGATTTCTAACATAAAATCACTCTCCGGTTTCCACAAGCATACATTGCAATAGAGATATCCTATCCCCATCCTGAATGTTTTTCAAGAGGTAGAATTATAACCACGCTGTTTTCTTACTCTGTCGCCCAAAGATTTTATTCCGTGGTGATTACTTGGTATGACTTCAAATGGAGCACCATAAAGCCACAGGACTGGAAGTGAATGGGTGTCTTTTATTTCAAGAAGAGAATATTACCTCACTTAGGAATACCTGTAATTTCATGTAACAATGGACTTTTTGGAGAAATTGTCTTTAGATTTAGGAAGCTCCTAATCAGATTTCTATGTAAATAGATTGAAACAATGGTGTTCTCTTTTTGTTTATCAATAAAACAAGTTAGGGAAGAACTGTGAGTTCGACATCATCTGTTACCATTGGGAAGAAAAGTAGGGTCACATAATGAAAATCAAGCTCAAAGATCCATTACCTTTGTGGTTATTTATTCTGACCACCTATCAGTGCTGGGGGAAATGACCGGTAGTCTCAATAAAGCAAGAGTCTCCTGGGAGAGCATAGTCTGATTTCCATGTGAACTGGGAGGCAGAGCTTTAACTATATGTCCTTTCTCATTATTTTGAACTGACATAGTTAAAGGACATTTCCCCCAAATGCTGCTGAATAGAAAACACGATCAAATAAACTATATGTGTCAGTTAGGGTTCTTTGGATGCAAACAATAGAAACTGACTAATTTAAGCAAAAAGTTATTAGAAATATTCTAGGTAGCTCAGGGAGTCAAAGGAAATGTTGAACAATTAGGCCTCAGGAAGGAAAGGCATGAGGCAGCTCTGGGAATCTGGGTAACAGGAAAGCATGGATAGTCTCTTCAGAGAACTGCCACATGCTAGCTCTACACATACTCCTGCCTGTGTCACTCCACTCAAGGTCCAGACTCCTGGAAGGTAAAGACTAATTTTCCTGATTTGTGCCACGTGGCCCCTTCTTGATTGTGTTGGTGTCAGAAGGAGGGGGGCAGGGAGGGCACCTTCATTTTCATGTCATTCTGAGACTATAATTGATGATGAAAGAGACGTTACTAAGTAATCAGGGCTTGCTTACTCAAGAAGGGAGAGAATTGAAGTACAGGGGGACACAACAAGCATTCATTTCACCCATCTTTACCAAGGCTTAGCACAGCAGCCTCCTGGCATAGCCTAATGGCATTAGCACCAAAGAGGTCTAGGACCCCAAAAGGAAATGACTCCAATGAAATGACCTGAGAAAGCCAGGGAGAAATCCTGCATCAAATCTGCAGAGAACATCAAGCTGCCAGCATAGACCTCAGCCTTCTCGGAAAAAGTAGCCTTATCACACACGTGACTAATGAGACTGAGCCTCTGAAATCTGAGAAGATCTGTTCAGTGGGCATTTATGGGTAAGGTGACCTAGAAAGCTTCCAGGAAACAGAAAGACTTAAAGGGATTTCCTCTCTTTCTTCCCTTTCCTTTTCTTTTCCCTTTCCTTTCCTTTTCCCTTTCCTTTTCTTTTCCCTTTCCTTTCCTTTTCCCTTCCCTTCCCTTTTCCCTTCTCTTCCCTTCGCTTCCCTTCCTTTCCCTCCCCTTCCCTCCCCTCCCCTTCTTTTCCTTTCCTTTCCTTTCCTTTCCTTTTGTTTCCTTTCCTTTCCTCTTTCTCTCTCTCTCTTTCTTTCTTTCTCTCTCTTTCTTTCTTTCTTTTCATTCGTTCTCTTTCTCTCTCTTTCTCTCTTCTTCCTTCCTTCCTTCCTTCCTTCCTTCCTCCCTCCCTCCCTTCCTTCTTTCTTTCCTTCCTTCCTTCTTAACTTTAGACTATTGTTTGAGCAGGTAGCACCCCCAGAAGACTTCTTTGGTGCCAATCTCCTACTGTGAATCCTTAGCTTGACTACATAGCTGAGGTTTCTTCCTAAGACATCTCTCCCATCATCTTTGTTTAGCTCTGCTGCTGCTCCTGATTGCCCTTGCCTGTAGGGCAGGTAAATGTGCAAACTCAGGGCAGGCTGCCTGGGTTCAGGTCCTAGCTCTTCTACCTACTTGCGATGTGACTTTATCTGTCTGTATCCTGGCTAATAGGAGTTACTGCTGCTGCTTTACCACTTACAGCTTTAGACTTTCCCTAATCTTCCCTCCATCTAGATAAGATTTACTAAGATGATACCCAATCATAGAATTACCACCACTTCCTGATAGCATCCAATCCAGAGAAAAGCCTGTGTTCCTTAAGACCTTTTCCAAATCACCTAGCATATAACCAAATTCTAGGATAAGTTCTTTCAAACACTGTCTTACTGAGACACCCCAGATTTCCCCATGACATGCATTCTTCCTCTCTGTAACAAGGAATAAACCCAACTTGTTCAACTACAGGTGTGTTCCTGATGGCCTTTAGCTGGAGCGTACTGACACAATAACAGGCTTTGAAATTCAAGTGATTCAGTTTGGCATCTTAGCTCCACCACTTATCAGCTATATGACCAGTATCTTACCCATTACTTCTATGAGTTCAAATTCTTTAGATTCCACATATGAGTGAGATCATGCAGATATGTGTCTTTCTGTGACTAGCTTATTTCACTTAGTACAATGTCCTTCAGGTCCATCCGTACTGTCACAAATGATAGGATTTCCTTCTTTATTAAAGCTGAATAATATTTCATTGTTATTATACCACATTTTCATTTTCCATTCATTTGCTGATGAGCACTTAGGTTGATTCCATATCTCCACTATTGTGAATAATGCTGCAGTGAACATGAAAGTGCAGATATTTGTTTGACATACTGATTTTATATCCTTTGGGTATATACCCAATAGTGGGATTGCTGACATACTGCAGTTCTATTATTAATTTTTTTAGGAAATTCCATACTGTTTTCCATAGTGGCTATGCTAATTTGCATTCTCACCAAGAGTGTGCAAAAATTCCCTTTTCTCCACATTCTCCTCAACACTTATTTTTCGTCTTTTTTTTTTTTAGGAGATGGGGTGTCAAAAAGTGGGCAAAGGATATGAACAGACAGTTTTCAAAAGAGGACATTTATGCAGCCAACAGACACATGAGAAAATGCTCACCATCACTGGTCATCAGAGAAATACAAATCAAAACCACAATGAGATACCATCTCACACCAGTTAGAATGGCAATCATTAAAAAGTCAGGATACAACAGGTGTTGGAGAGGATGTGGAGAAATACGAACACTTTTACACTGTTGGTGGGACTGTAAACTAGTTCAACCATTGTGGAAGACAATGTGACAATTCCTCAAGGATCTAGAACTAGAAATACCATTTGGCCCAGGGATCCCATTACTGGGTATATACCCAAAGGATTATAAACCATGCTACTATAAAGACACATGCACACGTATGTTTATTGTGGCACTATTCACAACAGCAAAGACTTGGAACCAACCCAAATGTCCATCAATGATAGACTGGATTAAGAATATGTGGCACATATACACCATGGAATACTATGCAGCCATAAAAAATGATGAGTTCATGTCCTTTGTAGGGACATGGATGAAGCTAGAAACCATCATTTTCAGCAAACTATCGCAAGGACAGTAAACCAAACACCGCATGTTCTCACTCATAGGTGGGAATTGAATAATGAGAACACGTGGACACAAGGTGGGGAACATCACACACTGGGGCCTGTTGTGGGGTGGGGGATGGGGGAGGGATAGCATTAGGAGAAATACCTAACATAAATGACTAGTTAATGGGTGCAGCAAACCAACATGGAACATGTGTACATATGTAACAAACCTGCACATTGTGTCCATGTACCCCAGAACTTAAAGTATAATAAATAATAAATAAATAAATAAATAAATAAATAAATAAATAAATAAAAAGAGATGGGGTCTTGCTATGTTGCCTAGGCTGGTCTCCAACTCCTGAACTCAAGTGATCCTCCCACCTCAGTCTCCCGAGTAGCTGGGGACTATAGATGCAAGCCACCAGGCCACCTTCATGTGGTATAACAAGTGTAAGATAATATCCCATTGTAGCTTTAATTTGCATTTCTCTTATGATTAGTGATGTTGAGCATTATTTTCATATAGTTGTTGGCCATTTGTATGCCTTCTTTTGAGAGCTGTCTATTTAGGTTCTTTGCTCATTTTTTTAATAGGGTTGTTTCCTTGCTATTGAGTTCCTTATATATTCTGGATATTTACTCCTCATTAGATGTATGGTTTGCAAATATTTTCTCCCATTTTGTAGTTTGTGTCTTCATTCTGTCAATTGTTTCCTTTGCTGTGCAAAAGTTTTTAGTTTGATAAAATCCCATTTGTCTATTTTTGCTTTTGTTGTCTGTGCTTTGGGGTCATATAAAAAAAATCATGGCCCAGACCAATGTCGTGAAACTTTCCTCCATCTTTTCTTCTAGTTTTACAGTTTCAGGCCTTATGTTTAAGTCTTCAATCTATTTCAAACTGATTTTTACACATGGTGTAATGTGAGAGTCTAATTTCATATTTATGCATGTGGATATCCAGTTTTTTTCATTATCATCTATTGAAGGAACTTTCCTTTCTCCATTGTGTGTTCTTGGCACCTTTGTTGAAAATCAGCTAACTGTAAATGCCTGGGTTTATTTCTGGGCTTTCTATATTGTTCCCTTGGTCTGTGTGTCTGTTTTATGCCAGTTAAAATTGTTTTGGTTAGTATAACTTTGTAGTATATTTTGAAGTCAGGTAGTGTGATGCCTTAAACTTTGTTCTTTTTGTTTAAGATGGCTTTGTTTATTCAGGGTCTTCAAGAGTTCCATACAAATTTTAGGATTATTTTTTCTATTTCTGTGAAAAATGTCATTGAAATTTTGATAGGTATGCATTTAATCTGTAGATTGCTTTGAGTAGTATGGACAGGTTAACAATATTAATTCTTCCAATCTGTGAACGTGGAATATCTTACCATTTATTTGTGTCTTTTTTTTCATCAATGTTTATAGTTTCAGTGTACAAGTCTTTCAGTTCTTGGTTAAATTTATTTTTAACTTTTTAAATGTTTTGTAGCTATTGTGAATGGCATTTTAAAAATTTCTTTTTCAGATAGTTCATTGTTAGTATATGGAAATGCTACTAATTTTTGTATGTTATTTTTGTTTCCTACAACTTTATTGAATTTCTATATTAGTTTTAACAGTTTTTTGGTAGAGTCTTTAATTTTTTAAAATATATTGTAATACTATGTTTTCTTCAAACAGAGAGACATATTTTCACTACTTCCTTTCTAATTTGAATGCCCTTTATTTCTTGCTCTTTTCTAATTGCTCTGGCTAAAACTTCCAGTACTATGTTGAACAGATGTGGCAAGAATGGGCATCTTTGTCTTGTTCCTGATCTTGGAGAAAGTGCTTTCAACTTTTCATTGTTGAGTTTGATGTTAGCTGTGGTTTTGTCATATATGGCCTTTGTTGTGTTGAGGCACATTCCTTCTATACTTAATTTGTTGAGAATTTTTATTATGAAAGAATTTTGAATTTTGTCAAATGCCTTATCTCCATCTATTGAGATGATCATATGGTTTTGTCTTTCATTCTGTTAATGTTGTGTATCATATTTATAGATTTGCATATGTTGAGCCATCCTTGCACCCCACGAATAACTCCCACTTGATCATGGTGAATGATTCTTCTAATGTGCTGCTGAATTTGGCTTGCTAGTATTTTGATGAGGGTTTTTGCATCTATGTTCATCAGGAATATTGGCCTATAATTTTCTTTTTTTTTTTTTAATAGTGTCCTTGTCTGACTTTGGTTTCAGGATAACTCTGGGCTCATAAAATGAGTTTGGAATTATTCACTCTTTTTCAATTTTTTGTAAGAATTTGAGAAAGATTGCTATTACCTCTTCTTTAAATGTTTGGTAGACTATGAAGTCAAGCCATCAGGTCCTGAGCTTTTCTTTGATGGGAGATTTTTGACTACTGATTCAGTCACCTTACGCATTATTGATCTGTTCAGATTTTCTGTTTCTTCATAATTCAACCATGGTAGGTTTTATGTTTCTGGGAATATATCCATTTATTCTACATTGTTCTATTTGTGGCATACAATTGTTCATAGCAGTCTTTTATAATCATTGTATTTCTGTGATATCAGTTGTAATGTCTCCTCTCTCATTTCTGAGTCCTTTTTCCAAAGTCTAGCTAAAGGTTTGTTGATTTTGGCTATTTTTTCAAAAGTTTTCTTGATCTTTTCTATTGATTTTCTAGTGTCTATTTTGTTTTTTCTGCTCCAATCTTTATTATTTCCTTCTTTCTACTTAATTTCTTTTTTTTCTAGTTCCTTGAGGTATAATATTAAGCTGTTTATTTGAGATCTTTTTTTGATGTAGGCATTTATTACTACAGACTTTCCTCTTAGAACTGTTTTTGCTTCATGACGTAAGTTTTGGTATGTTGTGTGTCCTTTTTCATTTGTCTCAAGTATATTTTGGTTTCCCTTTTAATTTCATCTTTAACCCATTAGTTGTTCAGGAGCATGTTGTTTAATCTCTGTTTTTGTGAAAGTTTCAAATTCCTCCTGCAATTCATTTCTAGTTTCATACTATTTGGGTTGGAAAAGATACTTGATATGGTTTCAGTCTTCTTACATTTGTTAAGTCTTGTTTTGTGACCTAACATATGATCTATCCTGGATTATGTTCCATGTGCACGTGAGAAGAATGTGTATTTTGCTGCTGTTTGAATGGAATGTTCTGTTTATGTCTATTAGGTCCATTTGGTCTAAAGTGTTGTTTAAGTCATGTTTCCATATTTTTTTCCATCTGGATGATCTGCCCATTGTCAAAAGTGGGTTATTGAAGTCCACTACTATTATTGTATTATTGCCTATGTCTCCCTTTACAACTATCAATATTTGCTTTCTATATTTAGGTGCTTGTATGTCTCTTGCTGTCTTACTTTGTGATTAGGTGATTTTTCTCTATGGCATACTTTGATTCCTTTGTTGTTGTTGTTTTTGAGACACGGTTTCGCTTTGTCGCCCAGGTTGGAGTGCGGTGGCATGATCTCGGCTCACTGAAACCTCTGCCTCCCAGGTTCAACCAATTCTCCTGCCTCGGCCTCCTGAGTAGCTGGGATTACAGGTGTGCACTACCATGTCTGGATAACTTTTGTATTTTTAGTAGAGATGGGGTTTTACCATGTTGGCCAGGCTTGTCTTGCACTCCTGACCTCAAGTGATCTGCCTGCCTCGGCCTCCCAAAGTGCTGGGATTACAGGCACGAGCCACCATGCCCAGCCTGATTCCTTGCTTTTTGTCTTTTATGTATCTACTGTAGGGTTTTGCTTTATTGTTACCATGAGGCTTACATAAAATATTTTATAGTTATAACAGTCTATTTTAAGCTGATAATTTAACTTTGATTGCATACAGAAACTCTATACTTTTACCCCACATCATCCACATTTTGTTTTTAGTGTCACAATGTACATCTTTTTATATTTGTATCCCTTAAGAAATAATTATAGCTATTATTATTTTTTAGTAGTTTTGTCTGTTAACCTTCATCTCCTGTGAAGGTATTTTTGTGCATGGGTAGCTATTCTAATTGATGTTTCTATGGAGGGACAAGCACTAGAAAGTCCTATTCTGCCATGTTGCTGATGTCACTTGCTCAATATTTTTTATTATTATTAGCTCAGTTATATTATTTTCTTCATCTAAAAAATATGAATTCAAAACTTTGTATTGGATTTTGATTTTAAAGAATGGTTGAGCTATCCTTGATTTCATTCCACTTGTTCTTGCAAAATCACATAAACATGAATTCCAGTGTTTGCACGTGAATGCATGCATGCATGCATGCATTTGGTGAAGGGAGGAGAGGAGGGCCTAACATTTATTGAACATTACATACCAGACACCTTGCTAGTGTTGTTTATTTTTAATAGTGGAAAAAGCTATAGAGACTATTTCTGAAAATATTTTTGAGGCTAGATATGAAATTTTCAACAGAACTACAAACAATTCTGCTGAAAGAAAGGGCCATCCTCCTGAGGAATTCAAGACTGACTTCAGTCTGGATTTAGATTTAACTTTAAATTCTCTGCTAAAGACATGACCTTCAACTTTTTTTTTCCAAGAAATGTTTTCGACAGCCTGTAAAACAAATTCAACTCACGTGAGAATGTAAATCAAGTTAGGATATGAAATCACATATGTTACTTTCTGGCTCCCTAGAAGTTTGACAGCAGAGTTTAGGTTGCAACAAGCTTCGAGATACCCGAGAAGACCTTTCATTTCAAGGTCTGAAATGATTAAATGATTAAAATTGCTCTTTAATAATTAAACATGCCATCTGTATAAGGCAGAGGGTGACCTTTCACCCATGGTCTCTCAGGCTGTTCTAGAATTTCTGCAGTTGGCACATATGGTATCAGAAATCCATTGCTATTCTTCCTTTGAAATATTAGAAGAGCAGACTTAGAGCAGCTGTTTTTGTGCTGCCAGATTTCATTGAAATGTGGGTTTTAAAAGCCCTTGGCTTGTCATTTTGAGTTAGCTTACCTTAATCACAAATCTCACCATAATATAATTCAAGTGATGCCTGAAACTCAATACAGCAGAACATTTGCTGAACAATGCACTTAGCAATAATAACCAAGCAAAATGTACATTTTTCACTGAAATATCATTTTCATGTTATTTGTGCCCTCAAAAATGTCTAATAGATTATAAATGCTCCTTTTTCCATAACAACAAAATACCAAGGAAACAATCTTGAGTCATCATGCTCTCTTTCCCCAAGTTGGAAATATACAAGAGAATATGACATTTGGAGATCTGCTAGACTAT
Organism: Homo sapiens; assembly: GCF_000001405.40. Lineage (NCBI taxonomy): Eukaryota > Metazoa > Chordata > Mammalia > Primates > Hominidae > Homo > Homo sapiens. Next base: position 90,453,806 of record NC_000007.14, read on the forward strand.
CTGCTTTAGGATTTCAAGACTGATAGTACTACTAAAAAATTGATGCAACCCTGTCATTAAGCCAACTGTAGTAATTAGACTGCAGTTGATGAGTATACTTGTATGTTTGTCTTAAATGTCATATCAGACAACTTCCACAGTTTAGTGATTGACAGTTATAATGGTCAGAACAAAGGAACACCAGTCATCATAAACATAATTTCTCTGTGTCTGGGGGAAGGAGGTATAGACCCTGGCTGTAACAGTACTTGCTAATTAAACTGTAGTATACTGGAGACTTTTAATCTGCCTGCCTTCAACAGGCTGTTTGTTTATTAAAGTTCAACTGTTGGACTACATTCAAGGGCTTTCAGTGTTGACTTTAGTACTACTTTTGAAGATAAACATAACTCTTCACTTTCATTTAAAGCCTTTGTAAGAACTTTTAACGCTGAAAGAAAAGATAAGTGAGCTATTATTATTCTTAAAATATACTTCAAATTTTATTTTTAAAAGGCAAACTGTGGGGATTTTTCTCTTATTATTTAAATTTGTTTCTCATATAAACATATAGCCAGGAATCAGGAAAAATGATCTTGTTTGCTTTATTGTTGTATTTATTGTATTCAGGATTGGAATTTAATGTATTGAATTTCGATGGAATTCATTGGGCATAAGGCATAACATAAAATAGAGTACAGTTGCCATTTTTTCCTCCAGCAAAATTTTAAGTCATGGAGATAAATAATGAGTATTCATTTATTTATTCAAAAATATGTATTTATTAGTTCCTCTTAAGTACATTTTTTTGTGTTGGAATACTTACAACCATGGATGAGACATTTAAGAACTCAATCTGTACATAAAATAGAAGAGAGGACAATTCATTTTGTGAAGGGAAGTTATGCTAACTATTCACTAGCTGCTATGATTTCGTCATGTCCCCCAAAGTTATGTGTTGGAAATTTAATTCCCAATGCAACAATGTTGAGAGGTGGGACCTTTAAGAGGTGATTAGGTCATGAGGGGTCTGCCCTTATGAATGGATTAATGCCATTATCTAGGGAGTCGGTTAGTTATCATGGGAGTAGGTTCCTAATAAAAAGGAGTTTGGCTCCCTTTCTTCTCTCACATGTGTGCTTTCTTCCCCTTCTGCCTTCTACCACGGGACGATGCAGCAAGAAGGCCCTTAACCTTGGACTTTCTAGCCCCCAGAACTGTGAGCCAAATAAATTTCTGTTCATTATAAATTACCTAGCCTCAGGTATTTCACTATAGCAGTACAAAACAGATCAAGACACTGGCTAACCCTCCAAATTCATTCTCCATCCTTCTCTGCCCTACGTCGACCTACAGATTGCATTATCTGAGTTTCTTTGCTCCTCTGACTTTGGGAGAATAGATAGTAGGAGAAGAGAAAGATTTGGGTATTTATTCCCCCTACTCGCTCAGCCAAACTATGTTTCCTTTACCTTATGACCACAGCTTCTTTTGGGCAATCCTTCAGTTCTCTCTGATTTCAGCCCTTCCATTCCCTGCTCTGTCTCTTCAGTTGCAGGGATGGTAATAGCTTCTCTTCGTTGTTAGTCACTGGGTGCTTCACCGTCCTTGGTTATTGTTACTCTTGACACACCTCTGTATTTAGTCCCTTCATTGAATTCTCTTCAATTAACCTTCCTGCTGGGCTGCTTACTGTCACAGACAGGAATATGGAAGGTAAAGGAAGAGAATACAGGGATTTCTTTACCTTCAAATTTTCAGCACGTAGATCGTGATAGATCTGAACAAAGCTACTATCCAGATAAAAAACATGCAATTTCTGTTGCTGCCAACAGATGGCATTAGTAGTCATAGTTGGTTATTTGGGGCCATGAAGTGTTCCGTTCTTGACTCTGTTAGCTGCTTTTCTCTATTTTTAGAAAATGTTTTACAAATATTAACTCCATCCACACCTGATAAATGCAAAACAGTAAGAGTATTGGGAAAAGCTATTTTAGCAGGCATACATTTGTTTATGATAAAGCCAAGAATAGAGATTATTCAAAACAGATGGAAAATAGAAAGAAAAGAACAAAGTTTGCATATGCACAAAGAATGAACTTTTGAAAACAGGAATAATTTTAAAGGGACAGAAAAGCATTGTGTCTAATTGTTATGGACTGAATTTTGTCCTCTCAAAATTCATTTATTGATGGACTAATCCCTAATGTGGCTATATTTGGAGATAGGGCTTTGAGGAGTTAATTAAGGTTAAATGAAGTCACAAGAATGGGGCCCTAACCCAATAGAACTGGTGTCCTTATGGGAAGAGGAAAAGACAACGGGAGTATATGTGCACAGAAGAAAGACCACGTGAGGACACAGCAAAAAGGTGGCCCTCTGTGAGCCAAGGAGAGAAACCTCAGGAGAAACCAACCCTGCCAGCAATTTGATCTTGGACTTTTAGCCTCCAGAGAAGTAAATTTGTGAAAAATAAATTTCTGTTGTTAAAGCCACCCAATCTGTGGGATTTTGTTATAGCACCCCTAGCAGACCAATACACAAACCCGTGGACAGTAATCCCCAAGAGACTAAGTGACTAAAGCAATGAAAAACATAGTATTTGCATGTGTGGCTAAAGGCTCAGTATTAATATCAAATGCTTATTAGCATTAGGAGAGGGCTAGGAACTTGTTCCAAAACTGAAAATGCGGAATGACCCTGGTGGCGTCTCCCATAGCTGACTGGATGGTTATCGATGCTATGAATCCAATTAGGAAAACAGGGGAAAGAACGAATTTGATGGGGAAAATGAGTCTGACTTGGGGCATACTGAGTTTGAGTTGTCTTAAGGACATTCAAGTAGAGACTTCTGAAAGAACTTGGAATATTAGACCAGAATTAAGGTGATAAATGATTTGGGGATAAAAATTCAATTGACACATATGGTTGGGTTTTAGTTTTAGTTTTTCTGAGACAGGGTCCCACTCTGTCACCCAGGCTGGAGTGCAGCATTGTGATCTCGGCTCACTGCAACCTCGGCCTCCCGGGCTCAAGCAATCCTCCCTCCTCAGCCCCCCAAGCAGTTGGGACTATGGGTACCCACCACCACGCCTGGCTAATTTTTATGTATTTTTTGTAGAGACAGGGTTTTGCCATGTTGCCCAGGCTGGTCTCGAACTCCTGGACTCAAGCGACCCGCCTGCCTCAGTCTCCCAAAGTGCTGGGATTACAGGCATGAGCCACAGTGCCTGACCTAAAACATATGTATTGAGCACCTACTGTGTGCTAGGCACTGTCTAATGCTTAGGTTACCTCAGTGAACAAAAGAGGCAAAAACCCCTATCTCATGGAGCTGAAATTCTACTGGACAGGAGAAAGAAAAAAACAAAAAGCAATAACATAATGAGTATGTTATACAGTATTTTAGGAGACAATTCAATGCCTTAGGGCAACAGAGCATGCCAAGGGAATTGGAGATGCTGGTGTGAGGAGGTACAGGTTGCAATATTCTCTAACGTCATTCAGATTAGGTCTCATTGAGAAGATGGCATTTGAACAAAGACTTGAAGGTAAAAGAGGTAGCCGAGGGGCTGTCTGAAAAAAGTGTGGTCCAGGAGAGGGAATAAACACTGTAAAGGCCCTAGGGTGACAGCATGCCTGGTGTATCAGAGAGACAGCAAAGATTCCAGCAAGGCTGTAGCCTAATGAAAGAAGAGGAGAGTAATAGTAGATGATGACAGAGGCACAAGGTGGAGGAGGTGTCAGGTCACTCAGGCTAAGTCTTTTGTAAGGAGTTTGGGTATTACTCTGAGTGAAATGGAAGCTTCCAAATAGAGGTGTTACCAGGTCTTTCATTTTAAAATAATTACTGGCTGCTGTATTACCAATAAGCAGTGAGAAGAAGGAAGGGCAAGGGTGGGAGCAAGGAGACCAGTTGGGGCACAATTGCAGTAACAGAAGAGGAGGTAGAAGTTTGCTAATTCGAAGGTAGAGGTGATTTACTAATGAACTATATGTGGAGTTTCAGAGAATTAAAGGAATCAAGGATGACTTCAAGAGTTTTAAACTGGGAAACAAGAAGGATAAGAAAATGGATTAAAGAAAAGATCATAACTTTCAAAAGTATTGAGATGTTTGTTGCCATCTATTTGCATATGTTGAATAGGCATTCTGATATGTTTGACTGGATATTAGGAGTGAGGTTCAAGCTAAAAATATAAATTTGGGAGTGAGCAGCACGTGGATGGTATTTACAGCCATGCTATTAATTGAGATTACCAAGATAATGAATGTACTTAGAAAAGAAAATCAAGGATTCAGTCGGGGTCACGCCAATAGTAACAGTTCTTGGAGAAAAGGAGCATCCAAAAAACAAGACTGAGTAGGAGCAACCAGAGAAGTAGGAGGAAATTTAAGAGAGCATGGTGAACTGGAAGCCAAGTGAAAAAGATATCAAGGAAGATGGTATGATAAATTGCACCAGATGGTGTTAATAAGTCAAGGAAGATGATGGCTGAGATTTGATCTCCATGTGCTACACTGAGGTTAGCACATGGAGGTCATTAATGTCCTTGACAAGAGCAATTTTGTTTTTTGTGTATCCATTGTATGCTTTTTGGTTTGAGGTTACCACGAGGCTTGCAAATTCTATCTTATAACCCTTTGTTTTAATCTGATAACAACTTTACACTGTTTGCGTAAATAAACAAGCAAAAAGAACACTGATAAAATCTCTACACCTTAACTTTATCCCCCTGCTTTTTAACTTTTTGTTGTTTCTATTTATATCTTATTGTATTGACTATATCTTGAAGTGTTGCAGTTTTTTTTTTTTTTTATTGGTTCATCATTTAGTCTTCCTACTTGGGATAAGAGTAGTTTACACACCACAGTTACAGTGTTATGATATTCTGTGTTTTTCTGTGTTCTTATTTTACCAGTGAGTTTTGTATCTTCAGGTGATTATGTGTTGCTTATTAATGTCCTTTCTTTCTGATTGAAGTACTACTCCCTTTAGCATTTCTTGTAGGACAGGTCTGGTATTGATGAAATCCCTCAGCTTTTGTTTGTCTTAGAAAGTCTTTATTTCTCCTTCATGTTTGAAGGATATTTTCACTGTATATACTATTCTAGGATAAAAGGTTATTTTCCTTTAGTACGTTAAATATGTCAGCCGGGCGTGGTGGCTCACGCCTGTAATCCCAGCATTTTGGGAGGCAGAGGCCGGCGGATCACGAGGTCAGGAAATCGAGACCATCCTGACTAACACGGTGAAACCCCGTCTCTACTAAAAAAAAAAAAAAAAATACAGAAAAAAATTAGCCCGGCGTGGTGGCCGGCGCCTGTAGTCCCAGCTACTTGGGAGGCTAAGGCAGGAGAATGGCGTGAACCCAGGAGGCGGAGTTTGCAGTGAGCAGAGTTCGCACCACTGCACTCTGGTCTGGGCGACAGAGCAAGACTCCGTCTCAACTAACTAACTAACTAACTAACTAACTAACTAACTAACTAACTAACTAAATATGTCATGCCAATCTCTCCTGGCCTGTAAGGTTTCCACTGAGAAAGTTTCGACTTAGAAAAGTCTGTTGTCAAGCGTATTGGAGCTCCATTGTAGGTCATTTGTTTCTTTTCTCTTGCTACTTTTAGGATCCTTTGTTTATCCAAGAGCCATTTTGGTGGAGTGTGGGGGAAAAGTCTGATTGGAGAGGGTTTAAGAGACAGTTGGGGCCAGGTGTGGTGGCTCATGCCTGTAATTCCAGAACTCTGAGAAGCCGAGGTGGGTGGATCACCTGAGGTCAGGAGTTCGAGACCAGCCTGGCCAACATGGTAAAACCCCATCTCCATTAAATACAAAAATTAGCTGGGCGTGGTGGCACACACCTGTAGTTCCAGCTACTCAGGAGGCTGAGGCAGGAGAATCACTTGAACTTGGAAGGTGGAGGTTGCAGTGAGCCGAGATCCACCACTGCACTCCAGCCTGGGTGAGAGAGCGGGACTCTGTCTCAAAAAAACTAAAAAAAAAAAAAAAAAAAGAGAGAGAGAGAGAGAGAGAAAGAGACAATTGGATGAGCATTGAAGTAAATAATCAAGAATTCTCTTGAAAAATTTTCTGCCAAGGGGAACAATGAAGTGATTGCTAGTTAAGGAAGTGGCATTAGGACAAGGTATATAAGTGTTTTTAAAGACAGGATCAACAACAGCATGTTGATATATTGTGGGGAATGATCCTATAGAGACTGAAAAATGAGGGATGCAGAAGAGCAAGAAGAAAGTTGCTGGAGCAGTATTGTTGGGAAGATGAGTAGGGTGAGATCTAGTGCCCTCAGGCGGTGTATAGGGAAAATTTTCTCTGTGTTTTTTCCTCTACTCACAACACTAATCAACGATCATCAACACAGAAGATTTTGTGACCAAATATGTGGGGCTTTATTCTCCACACTCCAAGCAGCGGACATCAGCTCAGTGTCCTCTAATTCAATTCGGACACTGTCTACCCAGAGACAATGTCAGATCCTACAGGTTGAGGGCTCAGTCCCCAACACTACCCTCCCTCCTCCACCACATACCAGTTGCAAGTCCGGGCCTTTGGAACTTCTGACCAACCAGTTTCAAGGTTTTTTGTTTTTTGTTGAGACTGAGTCTTGCTCTGTTGCCCAGGCTGGAGAGCAGTGGCATGCTCTCGGCTCTGCGACCTCCACCTCCTGGGTTCAAGCAATTCTGCCTCAGCCTCCCGAGTAGCTGGGACTACAGGCAGGCACCACCACGCCCCTCTAATTTTTTTTTTTTTTGTATTTTTAGTAGAGATGGGGTTTCACCATGTTGGCCAGGCTGGTCTCACACTCCTGACCTCAAGTGATCCACTCGCCTCAGCCTCCCAAAGTGCTAGGATTTTAGGCATGTGCCACTACGCCTGACCTCAAGTTGGAGTACTCATAACCCCCTCTTTGGGTTCAATTAATTTGCTAGAGTGGCTCACAGAACTCCGGGAAACACTTACTTACATTTACTGGTTCATTATAAAGGATATTACGAGGGAAACAGATGAAAAGACGCGTACATAGGGCAAGGTGTGGGGGAAGGGGCATGGAGATTTCATGTCCTCCCTGGTGCACCACCCTCCAGGAACCTCCACATGTTCAGCTATCTGGAAGCTCACTGAACCCTTTCCTCTTGAGTTTTGATGGAAGCTTCATGATGTCAGCATTCCTTCTCCCAGGGTATAGGGTCAGACCCTCTCATGGGAGGGTCTTAAGATCCACAATCAGAAAGGCAGGGAAGCATTAGAGTCCTGCCTTGAAGCAGAAGGTCAGAGTCCCGCCCATGAGGCCTCACACACCTAACATTATCACAAAAGACTGTAACAAGGGCCATGGGAGTTAGGAACCAGGAACTGTGGATGAAAACCAATATATAACATAACACCACAGGCAGGTTTGGCTTTGAAACGGAGCATGAAGGAAAGCAGAAATGTGAGTGCAAACACAGGTAAATATTGAGTTGGAGGCTGGGGAAAGTTCCTTCTGGCTGGTTTCATTTTTTCTGAGGCAGTATAAACAAGGTCATCAGCTAAGAGTGGTTTGGAAGTGTGACAAGTGGCAGTTGTTATGTTGGGGGTGTGTGAGATTGCTGATTCCAAGTTGGCCAGAGTTGGGACTACCTTCCTTCTCTGGGCAGGATGGTACTTTTGATGAGGCAATGAAGCCTCAGTCATAAGGCACTGAGACACTGAGGCCAGCTCAAGGGTTTCAGGCATCATGGGTTGTGATGTCACTTTCTCAACCCTCTGCCTAATGTGGGATGTTGCAACTCCCTGAATAGATTCAGGGACCCAGAGCTGGTGAGGTACACATTTGGGCCAGGGGAGGAAGCAGTAGGCATACCAAGGTGATGCTCTGAGGGAGGAGATGTCCTGATCTTTTCTACTATTCTACTCCAAAAATTAAGGATCTCTGGTAGCAGACAACAATCACAATCTTCTGTTCTTAATTTAGGACAATGTCAAAAAACTTTCCATGTGTATATACATATATATGTGTATATATATATTCATATATATATGTGTGTATATATGTATATATATGTATATGTATATATATGCATATATACGCGTATATATATACATATATATGCATATATATGTATATATACGCGTATATATATACATATATATGCATATATATATGTATATATACGCGTATATATATATAATTTTTTTATTTTATTTTTTGAGACAGAGTTTCGCTCTTGTTGCCCAGGCAACAAGATTGTGCAATGGCACAATCTCGGCTCACCGCAACCTCCACCTCCCGGGTTCAAATGATTCTCCTGCCTCAGCCTCCCGAGTAGCTGGGATTACAGGCATGTGCTACCATGCCTGGCTAATTTTGTATTTTTAGTAGAGACAGGGTTTCTCTGTGTTGGTCAGGCTGGTCTCGAACTCCCAACCTCAGATGATCCACTTGCCTCGGCCTCCCAAAGTGCTGGGATTACAGGCGTGAGCCACCATGCCTGGCTCCCTTATATTTTAGATAGATAGATAGATAGATAGATAGATAGATAGATAGATAGATAGATAGATAGATAGATGATAGACAGATAATGTTTGTATATTTTGCAAATGTGGATATGTGTTTGTATATATAAATACAAAACATATATATGTGGAAATGTACTTGTAGATAGGAGAAGCAAGAGAGCAAACATGATTTATGAAAAAAAGGAGCTTTATACACGGGATTTGTAGACTCACATTGTCCCCTTCCTCATTGCGGATATTGAGATCAACTCCAGGAAAGGGCATGAGAACCTTCCTTAAGAACAATAATTGCAAATCTGTTACCATCATCTTTCCTGCCTATCAGGAGTCTTAATATGTTACTGTCAAGGGATGCTCAAGAGACAGAAACCATAACTCAAACTGGCTTAAACCAATGGTGAATTTATTGACTTGGATAGTGATAATGGAACAACCTGACTCCAGGCATGATCTGATCCAGTGTCCAGATGGATCACCAGAACCTGTTTCTTTTTCTGAAACAACTCCATTTTCATGCTGGCTCTCTCCTTATGAGGTGGGGTTTTCTGAGAAGCAGATGCCAAGACAGGATTAGATATGGTTATGGTTTGGATCTCCATGTATCAATGCAACTCAGGCCCTGTGTCCAGTAATTTTTAAAATGTCAAGTATTCCACTTTTCCTGGTGTACAGACCCCCTAGTAAGTGGTGGTAAGGACTGGGAGAATTATAGCATATATTTGTAGCAATATTGCAGAGTCCCTTCTAGGAACCTGGCCACCTCTTCATTCAATGGGTCTGGATCTGAAAATTAAATAAAGTTTGGGAAGTGAGTGATATGGTTTGGCTGTATCCCCACTTAAATCTTATCTTGACTTGTAGTTCCCATAATCCCCACGTGTTGTGGGAGGGACCCAGTGGGAGGTAATTAAATCATGTGGTGGTTATCCCAAGTGCTGCTGTTCTCATGATAGTGAGTAAGTTATTACAAGATCTGATGGTTTTATAAAGGGTTATTCCTTCTTTGCTCAGCACTTCTTCCTGCTGCCATGTGAAGAAGAACATATTTGCTTCCCCTTCTGCCATAACTGTAAGTTGAGGCTTCCCCAGCCATGTGGAACTGTGAGTCAATTAAACCACTTTCCTTTATAAATTACCCAGTCTCAGATATGTCCTTACAGCAGCGTGAGAATGGACTAATATAGTAAATTGGTACCGGGTAGTGAGGTACTGCTCACTAGCCGGTGAAAGTGAAATGTGAAAGTGAAAGTGAAAATGTGAAAGTGACTTTGGAACTAGGTAACAGGCAGAGGTTGGAAAAGTTTGGAGGCTCAGAAGAAGAGAGGAAGATGTGGGAAAGTTTGGAACTTCCTAGAGACTTGTTGAATGACTTTGACCAAAATGCTGATAGTCATAGGGACAGTGAAGTCCAGGCTGAAAATGGAGATTAGGAACTTGTTGGTAACTGGCATAAAGGTGACTCTTTCTATGTTTTAGCAAAGAGACGTGGCATTTTGCCCCTGCCCTAGAGATCTGTGGAATTTTAACTTGAGAGAAATAATTTAGAGTATCCAGTGGAAGAAATTTCTAAGCAACAAAGCATTCAAGAGGTGTCTTGGGTGCTGTTAAAAGCATTCAGTTTTACGTATTCACAAAGATTGGTTTGGAATTGAAACTTATGTATAAAAGGGAAGCAGATCATGAAAATTCAGAATATTTGCAGCCTGACAATGTGATAGAAAAGAAAAACCCATGTTCTTTCGGAGGAGAAATTCAAGCTGGCTTCAGAAATTTGCATAAGTAATGAGGAGCCAAATGTTGATCACCAAGATAATGGGGGAAAATGTCTCCAGCACATATCAGAGGTCTTCATGGCAGCCCCTCCCATCACAGGCCCAGAGGCCTAGGAGGAAAAAGTGGTTTTGTTGACTAGGCCCAGGGCCTTGCTGCTTTGTGCAGTCTAGAGACATGGTGCCCTGCATCCCAGCTGTGGCTAAAAGGGGCCAATGTAGAGCTCAGGCTGGTTGCTTCAGGGGGTGCAAGCCCCAAGCCTTGGCTGCTTACACGTGATGTTGGGCCTGTAGGTGCACAGAAATCAAGGATTGAGGGTTTGGAACCTCAGCCTAGATTTCAGAGGATGTATGGAAATCCCTAGATGTCCAGGCAGAAGTTTGCTGCAGGGATGGAACCCTCATGGAGAACCTCTGCTAGGCCAGTGCAGAAGGGAAATGTGTGGTCAGAGCCCCCACACAGAGTCCCCACTAGGGCACTGCCTAGTGGAGCTGCAAGAAGAGGGTGACCATCTTCCAGACCCCAGAATGGTAGCTCCACCAACAGCTTGCATCATGCACCTGGAATAGCTGCAGACACTCAATGCCAGCCCATGAAGGCAGCCAAGAAGGGGGCTGTACCCTGCAAAGCCACAGGGGTGGAACTGTCCAATGCTGTGGGAGCCCACCTCTTGCATCAGCATGACCTGGTTGTGAGACATAGGGTCAAAGGAGATCATTTTGGAGCTTTAAGATTTGACTGCCCTGCTGGATTTCAGACTTGCATGGGCCCTGTAGCCCCTTTGTTTTGGCTAATTTCTCCCATTTGGAACAGGTGTATTTACCCAATGCCTGTATTCCCATTGTATCTAGGAAGTAACTAACTTGCTTTTGATTTTTACAGGCTCATAGGCAGAATTGACTTGGCTTGTCTCAGATGAGACTTTGGACTTGGACTTTTGAGTTAATGCTGAAATGAGTTAAGACTTTGAGTGACTGTTGGGAAAGCATAATTGTGTTTTGAAATGTGAGGACATGAGATTTGGAAGGGTTCAGGGGCAGAATGATATGCTTTGGCTGTGTCCCACCCAAATCTCATCTTGAATTGTAGTTCCCATAATCCCCACATGTCATGGGAAGGACCTGGTGGGAGGTGACTGAATCATGGGGCTGGTTACCCCTATGCTGCTGTTCTTGTGATAGTGAATGAATTCTCACGAGATCTGATGGTTTTATAAGGGGCTTTTCCCTCTTTGTTTGGCACTTCTCCTTCCTGCTGCCATGCGAAGCAGGACGTGTTTGCTTTCCCTTCTGCCATGACTCTAAGTTTTCCTGAGGCCTCCCCATCCATGCTGAACTGTAAGTCAATTAAACCTCTTTCCTTTATAAATTACCCAGTCTTAGATATGTCTTTATAGTGGTGTGAGAATGGACGAATACAGTGATCAAGGGATCGTGACTGTTTATTGGGGTCATTGTCCTCAGCTTCCTACTCCTCCATCCTTGCCCTTTTCTGGTTGTGGATGTTAAACATCACCCTTGCTGGCTACTCCCCTGTTTTGCTCCTAGAAATGCCATGTTCTATTAACCATCTCCCTTCCCTGCTGTGGGTCAGGCTTCCATTGACTGCCCCTCTGATCTTGGTGGTTGTGAGGTTCTGGCTTCTTTCATTTAAGTGCCATGATCTGATCGCTATTACTTTGGAGGCCCCAGTATTCCCATTGGATATTAACGATTGCAGCTCTGTGACTGCTTCTATTGTCAGTCTTGGCCTGAAGAAGAGAGCTACTGAACTTCTCAGTGATGCATGTGCCCTTCTTACCAGCACATTCCTGATTTCCTTGGTGAATGGTGTTTCCTCTGGACTCTCCCCTGGAACATAGTTATCTTGTAGTTTTTCTGACCTCACATAATGTAGCCACTCCAGCAAGCCAACTTCTCCTTCTCAGCCTTTTTATTCCTTCCTCTTCCTCCTGCCTAGGCAACTCAGGCATTTCCACTTTGCTCAGTGTTGGATCACTTTCTTAGGCTTCTAAGAGCCATTCTAACAATGAGTTCACACTGTCCCCTGGGTCTTACCAGGCCATTAAATTTCATGTCCTACAAAAGTACTTCCAAGTCAAAGAAACCTTGCTTGTTCAGTTTCATATTCTAGCCCCTTGTGCAAACACCCTCAAAATTCAGTATTGGTGGCCCTCATTGGCTAGTTATATCTTGTAATATAATTTCTTTCCTCCTTTCTCAGGCCCAGCATGTCCCCAGCTGGATTTAACCCTAGTTATTGGCCTAGCAGCCAAGAGAAGAGGTCGGGGTTCTCCTGAGAGGACACCTATTAAGATACCCTTATTGTGTTTTCCAGCGGAAAGGTCAGCCCCCCGCTGCAAGTTCTTAGATTCCTGGAGGATCTGCAGAGTCAACATTAGGAGTATCCATCCATTCACCAAGGCCATCAGGAATGTGCTGGTAAGAAGGGCACCAACATCACTAAAAAATTCAGCAGCTCCCCTCTGCAAGCCAAAACTGACAGTAGAGGCAGTCACAGAGCTGAACTCATTAACATCTATGGGGATAGTGGGGTTCTCAAAGTAATAGAGTAATAATGTTTCACCACAGAAGCTGTTTCAGGATTCCAAATTTTCCCAACCCAAGCTCTTACCTTTAGCATACAGACCTGCCTGGCTGGTATCATCAAAATGTCTCTGGAGCTCTGTCCATCGGATAGTGAGTAAACAAATCTCAAAATTTTATCTTACCACTGGTTCTGTCAGAACACTCAGTAGCATTTGTATTAGCTCAGGTCCTTCAAGATCTGCTAAGATGGGATTAGAAGTCCAAGAGTTTTACTGGGGAAACACAAAAAATAAAGCAGAGGCCAGGCACAGTAGCTCATACCTGTAATCCCAGCACTTTGGGAGGCTGAGGTGGGCGGACCACCTGAGGTAAGGAATTTGAGACCAGCCTGACCAACATGGAGAAACCCCGTCTCTACTAAAAAAAAAATACAGAATTAGCCAGGCATGGTGGCACATGCCTGTAATCCCAGCTACTTGGGAGGCTGAGAGAGGAGAATTGCTTGAACCCAGGAGGTGGAGGTTGTGGTGAGCTGAGATCGCGCCATTGCACTCCAGCCTGGGCAACAAGAGAGAGCAAAACTCTGTCTCAAAAAAAAAAAAAAAAAGAAAAGAAAAGAAAAGAAAAGAAAAGAAAAAATAAAGGGGAAGGAGCTAGTGCAGGTGAGAACCTTCAGACAGCAATGCAGGTCTGACATCAGTGAAGAGAGAGGAAAGGAGGAAGGAGAATTTGGTTGGTAGAGTTTCAGAGTGCAGCACAATTCTAAGAAAGTTTCAACCACTTTGATGGGGAATTTTCAAGCCAAAATCTTCCACTAAAAGTATCCCATATTAGTACTCCTTCCCATGTTTAGTCTTGCCTGAGAGTAGCTTGTAGGAAGCATGGCCTTGAGATGAATATGGTGGATACATCTGAGGGACAGCAGCTGAGTCCATCAGTCAATTTTAATTTGATATGGGCATTTTAATGGCCATATTCAACATAGTCTTTTTTTCTTTTATTATTATTATTTTGAGACAGGGTCTTGTTCTGTCACCCAGGCTGGGGTGTAGTGGTGCAATCTCCGTTCACTGCAACTTCTGCCTCCTGGGCTCAAGTGATCCTTGCACCTCAGCCTCCTGAGTAGCTGGTGCACACTACCATGCTGGTTAATTTTTTGTGTTTTGTTTTGTTTTGTTTTGTTTTTTGTAGAGACAGGGTTTCACAATGTTGCCCAGGCTGGTCTTGAACTCCTGGAGTCAAGCAATCTGCCTGCCTCAGCTTCCCAAAGTACTAGGATTATAGGCATGAGCCAACGTGCCCATCTCCCACATAGACTTATGATGGCTTTTAGCAGCTACAGAGACTAAGTCCTTCCAAATTTGAATCCAGAGGAAGACAAGCATCTTTATCCTAGCATTCCTAGCAAAAGCTCTGAGATTGACTTGGATTAGACCAACCTAGGTCATGTGCCCCACTCCTGAGCCAGGCATGGTGGCCAGGGAAGTTTTATGACCTGCTTTGCTCAGGTGTAGTTTTCATGTCCTACTTCCAAAGTAGGAGTTGGAACTCCACCCATACCATGAGAACTGAGAGGCAATGAGGGGCAGGTCTCCAAGAAACAATATGAACATAGAATATATGTATTTTTCATTTTAATGGCTGCTTTAGAAAGCAACAAGTTTGCTTTCTAAAGACACTGTAACAATTTACAGTTCCTCCAAAAAGTATAATAGTACCTTTTCCCCCACAACTTCACCAATGATATCTTAGTTTTCTTTTTAAATGCTTGCCTACCTGATGTTTACATTATTAGTTTTAATTTATAATTTCCTAGTTCCTAGTACTAGTGTTTCTAAACTATTTTTTTCATATATTCATTGGCTACTTGGATTTGCTTTTCTGTCCATGGATTCTCCACATCTCTTGTCCGTTTTCCTATTGTTTATCTTTTGTCCTTTTTTTTGTCAATTTATAAAAGCACTTTTTATATTATAGCTAATAACCCTCTGTCTGTCCTCTGCATTGCAAATGGGTGAAGAAAAATTAGCCTGGAACTCTGCACATCTTCTCCTCCTCCATCTTTATTGTCCATACTAGACCCATAGTCCTCAGGATGCAGTCTAGATCAATATGCCAGGAATACTATGGGAAAACTGCAACATTTGTTTTTTAAATTTTTTTAAATAATTTTTTTAGAGAAAAGGTCTTGCTTTGTTGCCCAGACTGGAGTGCACTGATGCGATCATAGCTCACTGCAGCCTCGAACTTCTTGGCTCAAGCGATCTTCCCACCTGATCGTTTTTGAAAAACAAAACAAGATAATTCCTGGTCAAGGACAAGTTTTCATCACCCACCTCTACCCCTCCCCAACCACACATACTGGGGCAAGATTGCTCAAATTTCAGTCATTCTGGAACCACCTCCCCAATTTTTGCCATATCCTTTAAGTTGTGTACTATTTATATTTCTGAAAATTGTCCTTTTTGCACAGATTTATTTTAAAAGCATATATCGTTGCTATTACATCATTGTAACTACTGGTTATATTTTTCCAATACGCATTAAAATAAATTCATAACTATGAAAATAAAAGACATTTATGTACTACCCAAAACATACCTACCTTTAGGAAACTGCATTAGAGCACGTCAATAGGATCACCAGGCTAGTCAAGGACAAGACCAAGGGTTTACAGAGCTGTGAGTTTCACGGCCTTACCACTCATTGATCGCACAACCACTCCCATGGAGTGCAGTGGGTGGTAGGTTCATTTACATCAGAGAAAAGGCAGCATGGAAGAGTGCAACTTCTGTACACATATTCAAGTAGTGAGAATTAGAATCCAGGTCTTTCTCCAAAAAACAACAATGTAGTAGGGAAAAGTGTTGATTTGGGAGAAATAGACCTCAGTCAAGTCCAGTGGACCAACTGTACATGGTATTCAGGGCCCAGGAAGCTGGACCCAGTGCCGACGAGGATTGCACTATGAACATTCTACATTCTGGCTAGAACATTAGGGATTCTAAGGTTCTGCTGATTATGCTGGCATCCAGGGCTTGCAAGTGGCAGCTTCAGCACCCAGGGCTGTGGTAGGTCACAGTCTCTGGGCGGGTCTCAGTGTCCAACACTGTAGCTGGTGCCTGCCAGGTTCCCAGTGGCTGGGGTCACCAGGTCTGAAGAGAGATGTGCTGGCTGCGGGCATGGGGCCAGATCCTCCTGCCAGTTTTCCTCTCCCTCTTTCTCATCCAATTGCTTATCAGCTTCTCAGAGAATGGTTTTATCCACAGCCCCAGGAACAATCAGAAACCAAGAGATGGGAATGAAGAGGGTGAGTGATCTGGAGTCCTGAGGTGGGTGCCCCACATGCTCCAGCGTTTTTTTTCCTTTTAATGGTGCCATCCTGGTGCACTGGAATTTTCATCTCAAAAGTTGTCATTTGGTGTTGGTGGGAAGACATTTTAAAGGTTCTAGATGGTTTTGGTGAAACTCAGTTAAATTGGACTCAGATTAATTTGGTTTATCTGAAATATGAAAGGTAGATTCAAAGTTTTAAATTTGAGGAAAAGCATGGTTTCTCCCCCATCACTTTCTGCATGACCTATGACATATAAGCTTTTTGTTGTGAATAAGCCATTGGGTTTTGTTCTAATCAGACCCACTCAATGGTCATAGTTCCTCTTTCTTAAGTTTTTTAAGGTCTTAGTTAATAAAATGCTTTATTTGTTCTTTTTCATAAAAAAATTACTTCAGTTTGGAGGCCTCTCTCGATTTCCTTCCAAATTGAAAAAATTTTGAAATGTTAAAAGTCATGCTGAGTTAAATTCATGAACCTGGAAATAAGGTTTTAAGTATCCTAAATTGGAACCGTATAGACAAAATAAGAGACAGAATTTGAATTACTTGGAAAGTGCCCTGTAAAGCCAAGATTGCCATTTTTACAAAGACAATGAGACAGAATAATTACTGCTGTCTGGTTTCCAGAGTAGAAAAGAATGTTAGTATCTGTAAGCAAATCAGTCTTCCTTACTAAAACCAAATCCACAGTTCTCAGCGTTGCACTGAAATAAGAATCTCCTTCGAGGGGGTAGGGTTGGGGCGACGCTGAATTAAAAGAGCTAGCTTGTTTTCTTTGGTTTCATCTTTCCCACAGATTTCTCTTTTTTAACCTCTTGGTCACCTCTATACATACTCTAAGAGAAATAGTGTTCCAGTGCCATCCTGGCCCCTTCTCCCAACAAACAGCACCTGAAAGCATAGGCCCAAACATAAAAACAAATTCTTCCTTTTGTTCCCTAGCAAACTGGACTCATACCGGAAATTTTTCACGTCTTAAGACTTTATCAAAATGCTGATGAAGAACAAAAAAAAAAAAAAAAAGAAAAAAGAAAGAAAACAAATAAAATAAATCAAAAATCACATCTAAGATAATCTCCAAAGATGGAAGTTTCTGTTGCTAGCTAGCTCACTTCTAGGGCTGGCCAACTGGAGCCCATGTTTCTAAGGAAACACCTTGCCTGCCAAGGGCCTCTCCTGAATGCTTGCATCTTAGTCTCAGGCCAGTTCCCCTTAGTGCTTGCATTTAATCTTCCCATCTAACAAGGATATGGTTTCTTAGACATCATGATACTTTTCACTTCCAAAACTGAAAAGGGGCTTCTAAGCCTTCACGAGATCCTCATCTATGTCCCAGATTGTGCCCTAAGTGACAGGCAACAGACAGGACTTTGTGAAGGATTGCACATCAAGTGAGACCTCCCCCTAAGCAGGTTGTTTTGATCCCCAGGACTTCTATCTCTGATGTTCATTTACATTTGAGAGCTTAGTAATCAATATCTCAAGAAATTATAGAAAGCACTTGATGCAACTTTGGGTTAATCTTCTAGAATCTAATGACTGGATTAAAAAATATACTGAAACCTAGAGAATTTTCTTCACTAAAAGTAACCAGACAACAAAGGGGCATAGTGCAAAAAATAAGTGGCAACTAAGGAAAGAACTGGAAGATTCTAGATCAGAACAGAATAGCACAGCATGGCAAGACTCCAAATGTTGCCACTCTCCCTTAGAGGTAACTAGTGAGTTACTATAATCCAATAATTTTTATTAATTCTCCCAAATCTGGAGAGAAACAAGTTGAGGGGGTATCCATTCTTTTTCTTATTCCGAAGATGAGAAGAGGAAATGGCTACTGCAGAGAAATAGGTGGAATGAGGACCTGAAGAGAGAGGGCCTGACTCTCTGAAGGAAACTCAGGTTCCTGCGTTACAAGCTGGATTTGAGGGTGGATCTAGAGTCCAAAGATACCCCTTCATGGAAATGGGAAACACCTCTGATAAGCTCTAGCAAACCTTGGCACTGGAAAATGACAAACCTCAAAAGAGAGAGCAGAGTCAGATATTCTAACAAAGCCTGGCACAGCCTCATTTGAGTTCTCCCCCTTGTCTAATGCTGAAAACAATGGAGTGAATAGAACATAAAATGCCATAAAACTGTAGCTTCTTGAAAAAAATCTCAAGGATCATGGTAAGGTGGTTAGGATCTCACCTACACTATATCAGAACAAATGGAAGGTCTGAACAGAGCTGTGCAAGCATTAGTAGAATGAAAACAATAGAGCAACTATGTAAACCCTGCACAGCAAAATAAAGAAATAAAGGAGTATACGATAGCATGCAAACACACACACACACACACACACACACACACACACACACACACCCCAAATAATCTACCCTAGAAGAGAACACAACTCAAGAAACATGAAAATTTCCCACAAGTGCTTTGAGCTAGAGAACAATCAAACGAGAAATATTCAGTGAAACAAGCCTCGAAGTCGATAGCAAGATATCAGAATGAAATTAAAAGGCAGATAGCTCCAAGGAAATAAATTGAAGGCCAAATAATTTGAATATAAGGCAAGGCTTCCGAGTTTTCTCTCTTCATTTGTTTATTTCTGCTAATGGTGAACACACCAAGAATATTTGTCACATACTCTAAGCTTACTTATTGTGGTGGGCTCTGGTAGCTGCCTCATTCCTCTGTCCTCTAGCCTAGGGGGTACTGTTATCTGGGAGGAGGTTGGACTTCGCTTTCTTTCCCCTGGTAAACTTCTCAGCCTCTTTCATCACCTGCATACCCAATCTCGGTACTAAGTTCCCAGTGTTATATATACACAGAGTGATTTCTATTTTCCTGGTTGGATCCTAACTTCATATAGCCATCTTTAAGACAAAAAGTGCTTTAAGATTTTGACCAGCAGGCAGGTATTAGGAGGATTACAGCATTGACACTAAGGTTTAAATGCTGATGGGGAACCAGGAGAGAAACCTGGTATACCACTTCTGGCTGAGGTAAAGGAAGGGTGAGATAATATAAATCTCAGATGGGTTGAAGGGGAATCTGAAAATATTAGGAACTTGTGACTCACTTTCTAGAGTTTACTCTGAATCCACTGGTCTCATAGATAACATGAAGCTAACATGGCTCCCAAACAGTAGGTAATAGTAGCAGGAAGAAGTATCTTAGCAAATGGACTCAAGGACTGCATGTCATAATCCCTTGGACATAAGAATTTTGTAGGGAAAAGATTAGAGAGCCCTAAAATTCCCAATATAGTGGGTGGGGTACAGACAAGGCAGCTCTTGTGACAGCTGGCAGAATTGAAGAGGGAAAGGTCTTTCACAGAGAATACTGGACCTCACGTCTAGAAACCACAGCAGGACCACAGATGCTAGACATGACACTCCCTAAGAAGGGGACAGGTGAGATTCACACAGTGAGGCTAGCAAGGAAGGAGGAGGGGACTCAGTCCAGTCACACCCTAGTGCCAGGGCAACACATAGGCTTTGCTCCCAGAAAAGTATAGCATCCCCAAGGTAAATGGGGAAGGAGCAAACCCTACATTTAGCTAAATGTTTATTCAAAGGAGGATGAATTAATTGACTGAACTTAGATTGCAAGTTTATGGTTTTCTGCCACTAGCAGAAATGGGGGATTTGACATTATACTGAATTGTGATGTAAAACTGAATTCTGATATTGAGAGGCCTAGATCAGATTCCACCTCTTCTATGATGCCTTCCTTTAGTCCACCAAATCTGAGTGAATAGTTGCTCCTGTACTTAGCTGCGCCTCTCTGACAGTACTTGTTTCACCAGAGAGGCAGAAGAACACAGTTATTACAGGCAGCAGCTCACACTGCCTGGACTCACCTCCCAGCTCTGTTGCTTACTAGGCCCATGCTTTCTGTGTCACAATTTCCTTATCAGTAAAATAAGAATAAAATAGTATCTTCTGTAAATGGTTGTTGTGAGGATCAAATGAGTTAATCTGTGTTATGCACTCAGAACATTTTCTAGTACATGGTAAGTTTTCAGTAAACATTATGCAGTCATGTGTTGCTTAATGACAGAGGTGTATCCTGAGAAATGCATAGTTAGGCAATTTCATCATTGTGTGAATGTCATAGAGTGTACTTACACAAACCTAGATAGTATAGCCTATTATACACCTAGGCTAGATTAGCCTATTGCTCCTAGGCTACAAACCTATGCAGCATGTTACTATGCTGAATACTGCAGGCAATTGTAACACAATGGTAAGTATTTGTGTATCTAAACTTACCTAAACATAGAAATGGAATAGTAAAAATATACAGTATTATAATCTGAAGGGATGGCTGTCCTATATGCAGTCTGTTGACCAAGATATAGTTATGCAGCACATGACTAGTTATAGAGATATATATTATGACAGTGCTGGAAAACAACATGAGAGCCAGAAAATGTTAAGAATCCCTGAGAAACAGAAAGCAATTCAGATCAGACCAATGGAGAAAGCCACAGCCTAAAACACACATAAGAGAAGACTAATGTAAGAGTGGTTTCTGGGGTTGCTCCAAGCTCAGCAGCACTGAATACAAAGAGCAGGAGGGAGTTGTGGAGCAGCTTCCTGGGTGCTGATCTTAGAGCACTATAGCTGGTTGCCTCTCCACCTTCTCAAATTATCTCAAGAAGCAGGCAGCAGAGGCAACTGCCCCAGGTTAACAGTGAGTGTGAATTATTGGCCTGGAAGGGCAGGAAAAGATATACTACCAACACACTGAATCTGGCAGCATGTCCCAGTCCTCACCCACACCACAGAGGTGGAAATAGCCTATATACATACACCTAAATCTTAACTTGATTGTGCTAACACAATCAAGAATCATGAAATCCAATAAAGAAAAGAACCAATTTATTAAAACACATTTAAGAGAGGGGAAAAACACCTCAAAATTAGAAATTTCTCTTATAGAAAATGGCAAGGACTAACAAGATTCCAAAGGAAATGACTAAGCTGGCAAGTAGATTGGCTTGCCACAACTCCAAAGGTGCTAAAAGTAGACAGTGAGACTCAATGGATCAGTGCCAGACGGTTTATTACTCATAGCACAGCCAACAGCAGGAACGTCAGTATGGCAGCACCAAATCTCCTGCCCCCAAGTCCCATGGAGCAATGCAATGTATCCAGATTGTGCTTATGAATGCAGCCAGATGAACTGGAGCTAAGGAACCCAGGACTAAGAGCTTATGAACTTTTATGGCAAGCAGTAAAAAATCTAGTCCCTGGGGAGTAATTGTGACTATAGTCACACTGTGGTTGCCTTGACCTATTTAATTGACTATGTTACCAGATACAGAATAAGTGCAGGGTCAGAGGATAATTACGCCAAGAAGTTTGGCACATTGAGCAAGGAAATCCAGAGATGCTCAGGGTCTAGGATGTATGTCTCTCTCAACACTATAATTAGTATTCTCATGGAGATAGCCATGAAACAAGAACAGACTATTCTGGAAAAGATGATGAATCTTGGAAATTAAAAATATAATCAACACAAACATAGCTAAAGAGTGAATTAGCAAACTCAATAATTGAGCCATGGAATTCTTACAGAATGCAGTACAAAAGAACAAGAGATAGCCTGTAGAAAAAAGAGACAAGAGTTCATGCCAACATTAATGTAATAGGAGTTTCAGGAGGAGAGAAATGGAAGAGAGGAACTAATTAAAGAAAAATACACAGAAAAATATCTTTGGGCCAGGCGTGGTGGCTCACGCCTGTAATCCCAGCACTTTGGGAGGCCAATGTGGGTGGATCACGAGGTCAGGAGATAGAGACCATCCTGGCCAACATGACAAAATCCCATCTCTACTAAAAATATAAAAATTAGCCAGGCGTGGTGGTGCACACCTGTAGTCCCAGCTACTTGGGAGGCTGAGGCAGGAGGGTGGAGTTTGCAGTGAGCTGAGATCGCGCCACTGCACTCCAGCTTGGTGACAGAATGAGACTCTGTCTCAAAAAAAAAAAAAAGAAAAAGAAAAATATCTTTAAAGTTTTGAAGAAAAGAAAATGGTGTCGAAACTAGAACATATTAACAGACTAAGCCAGCTGTGCTCTAGAAGGTATACAAAATAAAAACATTTGGACACTTGAAGAGTCAAAGAGTTTATCATTCACAGACATCTGAAAAAAATACTCAATAATATCCAGCAAAATGAAAAATGAATCCAAGGGGAAAATGTGGGATTCAAGAAAGAGTAGTAAGCAAAGAAACTAGTAAAATGAAGAGTTAATTCTAAATAATTTATTATAATTCAACAGCAATTTAAATATGTCAAATAATCATTAATAACTTTAATAGTAATTAAAATTCCATCTGATTTCTGAAATCCATATGACACAGAAATCATATGGAAGTTTAACTGCTATTAAATAGTTAAAGTTAAAATTATTTAACTGGGAAGTGGCATGGGGAGAAAGAGAAGAGTAAAAACATATTAGGATCTTTGTCTAGGTTGAGAATGTAGATCCTGATTAAATGATGATAGAAAGATGCATATAAAATATCTCCCCAAATTTTTAAAATAACAGCTCAAGAATAGAAATAGAATGTGTATTTTGAGGTCACTAGAGGAAATAAAGGAATAAAGAATAAATTGATGGAATAGGATATACCTTACAAATGCTACTGAAAAAGAAAGCAAGTGTAGCAATATTATATAAAACAGAATTCAAGTAAAAGAAATCATTAAGTCAAAGAAAAAGTGATATTCCATATTGACATGTAGTACAGTACACCAAGATGACATATGACAAACCTTTATTCACCTAACAACATAGTTTTAAAATAGATGTAACAGGTAAATAAAATATAAGAAGAATTTTAATATATAAAATCTTGTTATTTTACATATACTCCCCATTGTTTTTTTCTCTTAGCTGTTCTTGAAAAATTTTCCCTTGCGGATAAACTATATTTTTATATTATTAATTTATTGCAATGCCAATAAAAAAATTTTGTTTTGATATTTTGCATAATATATTTTATGCCAGGAATGTCTAGGCATTTGAAATTGTGATTCTTCATGGGAGAAGAGGATCACGGATGGAACTTTATGGAATAACAACATTTCAGACATTGGTAGGAGTGGAACCAGTTGAAGAAACTGAAAAAGAAAGACCAGCGATGTTCTAAGAGAGCTAGGAGAAATGATACAGAAGTCACGAAAAATGTAATCAAGAGCAAAGAAGTAACCAGATAGAAAACATATATGCAAACATCAGGCCTTGAGGGTGAAAGAATCTGGTACCTGGTAATGCCATGGAAATAGCTAGAACCTCGTTCTTTAGGAATAGAAGAGAAGAAAGAACCTACTGATTCATGTAACACATAGGTCAGCTGTACCCTCATTAGTTTTCCAATAAGGGCAAAAATGAGTATTAAAGAGATGGCTTGTTAGTTATACAAATGCTCAATCTAAACCTCAACCATGGAACCAGAGCAGGCTATTTACTGACATAATGTGTTGAGGAAGGAACTTCCTCTCTTCGCTCTTAGCCAAAACTCTTTTTCCATCTAATCAGGAGAAAAGCATCAGACAAATCCTAGTTGAGGGGCATTCTGCAAAATATCTGAAAGTACTGAGGATAGTAGTCCTCAAAACTGTCAAGGTCATGAAAGCAAGGCAAGAGTGAGACATTGTCGCAGACCAGAGGAGACATGATGACTAAAGGCAATGTGGTATGGATGGGATCTTGCAAAGGAGAAGGACGTTAGTGTAGAGACTGGTGAAATCCTGATAAAATCTGGAGTTTAGTTAAAAGTCACGTGCCAGTGTTAGTTTCTTGGTTTCGATTAATGTACCATGGTAGTGTAAGGTATTAACAATAGGAGGGCCAGTGCAGTGGCTCACACCTGTAATCCCAGCATTTGGGAGGCTGAGGCGGGCGGATCACGAGGTCAGGAGATCGAGACCATCCTGGCTAACATGGTGAAACCCCATCTCTACTGAAAATACAAAAAATTAGCCGGGCGTGGTGGCAGGTGCCTGTAGTCCCAGCTACTCGGGAGGCTGAAGCAGGAGAATGGCGTGAACCTGGGAGGCGGAGGTTGTAGTGAGCCGAGATCGTGCCACTGCATTCCAGCCTGGGTGACAGAGTGAGACTCCGTCTCAAAAAAAAAAAAAAAAAAAAGAAAAAGAAAAAATTGGAAAACTGGGTGAGGGGGTATACAGGAACTCCCTGTAGAATCTTCACAATTTTTCTGTAAATCTGAAATTATACAAAAATAAAAACTTTAGTTTACAAAAAAGCTGTGGGAAGCATGTAGAGCTCTGAGAACAGTGGCCAAGTCATGTGTCCTCTGTTTCCCTGTTTCTGCCTTCCGAAAGGAGCCTGAGGCCAGCTGTCCTTCACATAGCTGAGGCAGCAGAATCTTTACCATTCACCTTGCCTTTTCTTTCACTCAACTTTCCCATGGGTATTTCAAGGATACTTTCGGCTAGGAGGAAGTAACATTCAATAGGACTTAATTTGAAAACTGAACTGTAAAATTTTTTCCCCAGCCACATCAGATCTGCATCCAATCAAACAATTTGAAATTAAATAGAAAGATTTGACCTTTCCCACAGAGCCTGTGAACTCTGTCCCCAAAATAATAGAGAGAGCAACTTTATTGTTGCTGTATCACAAAACAACTAGGACATTAATTCCAGACCCTTTCTTTAAGGAGATGTTGCAGTAATAAAATGAGGCATTGAAATGCTTTTTTCCAAATTCATAGTTTTTATTCTAGAACTTTCAAATATAAATCATACTGTTTGTTTTTCCATAAAACTAGAGGAATGAAAATCCTCATTTGGGAAAAGTTTTTAAAGCTTTGTGGCAAAAAAAGATAGGGAATTAATTTTTTTTTTTTTTTTACTATTTAAAGGGTTAATTAGTTAAGTAAGAATATCTTGGCAATACCATCCTGAATAACAGCACATGATATTTTAAAATACAATGGAGTTGCCAATTTGTTTTTCCTTACTATGTTTTGGGGGTTGTTTTTTAGAACTTGGCTCATCAAAGTTGGATGATGCTATTTCATGTTTTTCCAAGAAATAGGAGAAAAGACTTAAAACTAAGAGGATTTATACAGTACTGGTAGGGATCTAGATACATGAAAATAATGAAGTAAAATGCTGGGGTATGGATGACTATGGCTTAAAACAGGAATTACTAAATGAAATGCACTTTTATGTAAAATTGAGCAATAAAAAGGATTTGGATTAATTTTGGACTTAATTTTTTTTAATTGTAGAATGTGCTGTAAAGAAGAGTTGTCAATTGTGCACAGAAGATAAGAAAGTAAGTTAACTTTCTTATGAGGAAGTTGTTCTGGGAATGTTATAAAGTCACAATTTACAGTTGTCATTTAAAAGATATGCTAAACTTTGTTTTACACATTTTTTATAACAAGAATGACTCATAACAGTTATTAAGATCTATTTATGCATTTCAAACCATTCTTTGAGGATCTAGAAATAAACAATGGAGATAATTAAGTACAAACATGTACTTCCTCTGGAAAATTATGCTTCAAAAAGAAAAGAATTATTTGCTTGAAAAAAATTATACTGAAATTTTGGAATAATTTTTGTAAGTAAAGGAAAAGATATATCTTTTGAGATGTGGTGACAATTTCCTTCCCACTTCTATTTCCTAAAGACTAGAAAGAATGACATACCATTCCTTAACCACAGTGTAGATGGAGTCCTCTTCTTTGATGATTAAATGTCTGAAATCATTGCTCTTCAGTTCAGATTTGGAAGAAAGCAGAAATGCTATAAGTTATGAGGGAAATGGCCACTTTGTGTCACAGACAGGTTTGCAGCAAGCCACATAAAAACCACTGTAGTCTAACTTGTATTGGATAACAGACGATACTAAAAACAGAAGCTTGAAGTCACTACTTAGAAAAGGGCACACTCTGGTAGTTGGTGTCTCTCATAGTGATCTAGATATACACCCTCTGCCCTGTCTTATCTTCCTCTAAAAAGACAAATGTCTATCACTCGTCTACTTTAATGAGGACCTGGGCTTCTGGCTCATGGCATTCTCCAGCCAGTTCATACTACCATTGCCTTACATGCTTTCCACAGCCAGCGATGACCCAGACATACTCTTTATACAGTACTGGTGGGGGTCTAGATACGTGACCTGCCTTCCTCAACCCTGCCTTCCTCAACCCTGTGTAGTAAGACATCACTTCTGTGGCATCTCTGAACCCTGCACAATCTACATTGGCTCTTACATTCTCACTCCCTTATACTGTACCTACTCTTTAGCCTCAACAAGACAAGAACATCCTCCAGTCCTTTAACACTCTTCTTTTCCCTTCAGTTTATTGGCCCTCTTCCATAGACTTCCTTCTCTTCTATGAATTCTCATGGTTGTTCACCTGAATACAATATTCTTCCAGTTTTTGTTGTCGTTAAATGTTTTATAAAGGAAATTTTCAAATACACCAATAAAGAAAGCAATATAATAAAACTTTATACCCCGAAGAGCCATCTTGGTCAATTTTTTTAATGTATGCTCTTCCCCTCTAAATGTATTATTTTGAAGCAAATGATGATATGGATACCATATCATTTTATTTAAAAATATTTAAGCATATATTTCTAATTGATATTTTACTTTAAATATTACAAGTTCATCCATGATCATATCTAAAAGTTAACAATATCATCTTAATCTCACCAGGCACCCAGAAAATAATAAATTTGTCTTGTTGAGTCATTTTTGTTTGTTTGTTTGAATCACATTCATACATTGCAATTGGCTGATATGTGCCTTAAGTATCTTTTAATCTATATGTCCCTTCTCCCTTTTTATTTTGTTTTTTGCAACTTACTTGTTGGAGAAACTAGATTGTCCTATTTGGTTTCTCATAGTCTGGATTTTGCTGGTCACATCCTAAAAGGATTTGGATTAATTTTAGACTTAATCCCAAAAGGATTTGGATTAATTTTGGACTTTTATCATGTTCCTCTTTTCCCTGTTCTTTTGTTCTTATAAACTGATAATTAGATATAAAGGCTTTATCAGATTCTGTTTAATTTTTTGGTAGGAATGCTTCATGCTGAGAGGCCCTTCATTAGGAGGTAGATAAGATTTTTTGTCTAGCATTTGATGATATTAGCAATGATCCTTGCCTAGATCTATTGTTTCCCTGGGAGTTGTAAAAACCACTACTTTAATGGCTTTGATCTCTTTTTTTAAATTTGAAATTTTATTTTTTGTGGGTACATAGTAGGTGTACATATTTATGGGGAACATGAGATGTTTTGATACAGGCATGCAATGCATACACCCTCTTATTTTTAACGGCACTGGACCCACATTCCGCAACTCTGATTGGTCCTTTGGTTTATATTTTCGTTTGCTGTGCATTACTAGCTGATTGCTGCTTGAGCATATTTCATCAACATCTGCATGAATACAGCTACAAAGTCACAATTTCTGGTCTCACCTGAGCCCAAATACTACCTATCACTTGCTTTTGGTTAGCAATATTGCCTAAAATTTCCCACAGCAGCAATTTCCCCATCCCATCAATATCAACAGATGTATTCATCTCCAATTTTATGGAAAAAATTGAGGCCTTAGGTATAAACTTCATTCCCCAACTGATAACATTGCTGTCATTTTTACCCATCATTACCTATTCTTATCCCTCCTTTTAGAGGAAGAATACCCCCTGCACTTCCCCTATATTTCTCTTTTGGACTTGAACATGTACATTTTTGAATTGTAACTCGTATCATTTAAATTGTTTTTATGTTCACCTTCCCCTTGTTCTCAGCTCCTTAAGGACAGAGTCCATGTTTTTTTATTCATCTTTGTATCTCTAACACCTCACACATTTCCCACACATGGCAAGCATTCAATAACTATTGAATTAACTCTTGAGCCATTCAAAGAAGGGTAAATTAATTCAGTATACTCTATAATGTAACATGATAGATACTTTTTTAAAATTTTCTAAATATCATTTATAATGGAAATACTGGGAATATGTGTATTTGAGTGTAATTTTTAAAATATTTCCAGTACCTCATAGAAATGAACTAAAAGATAATTCCACATGGTCAACATAGAATTAGGGTATTATCCTTTGGAGAAAGATCCCCTGCCCTCCCAGAAGTTGGAAGGATGCAAAGCTTTCAGTGGTAGTTTCTGCCACCTCCTATACTCCCAGAGAAAGTGCCAGAGTTTATAAGATGGTAACTCATGAAGCAACCGAGAATATTTGAGCTCTTTTTGGACTAAAAGGAGGATAAACAGATGTCTTGGTATATTGTGCTACTTTATGTCCACTTCTCCGTGGACTTGGAGAGAATATATATACCAACTCCTTTTCATTTCCCAGAATATTCCAATTTGTATGATAAATGATATTCTTCTTAACTGTAAGGGAATCTTCCTTAGATTCTATCTGAAACATTTCCTTGTGATTTCATAGTGTAGGACTAGCCTTCCTAGAGTTAGAAAACATTCTTACCAAAAGCTCATTCATAAAAATCACATTTACAACCCCCCCCCCACACAACTCATAAACATAGCGTATGAAAAACATATTATATTTTCTTGATATTTTATATTAGAAATAAAATTTCAAAAATCAGGCTAACTAAAAAAGGAGAAGCATCTTGTAATCTGTGCTTTTATTGCTATTCAGTCGTTATGCATCCCTGTTGAATCCTTGGAACGAAAGTTCTCAATCATGGTGTCACAATGATAAGACTTGTCATAAGTACATTTTTTTGCTTTTTGCTAATGAGCATCATAAGACTGTTGCAACTGACTTAAAATCAGAGTAGATACTAGGTTTTCTCCATAATCACATCTTTCTCACTAACTGTGACCTGATATGGATGGTTGGTTGAGACAAAAAGGCGTCAAGTTACAGCAAGCCCAGTGGGATTTTTGAATCTCCTGCAGCCTACTTTATCTATTGCACAGTTCATAGGAAATGACCATTACTCAGATGCTTGTAAAATGCATTTATAAATGTCATACCTTACAACCCACAAAGAGATGCTCACTTTGATATTTATTTTTCTGAAAAATTGTGTGTGTGTGTGTGGTAGGGCATGGAGTCTGGGAGAATGGACAAGGTGATGGATCCGAATCTGGATATGGCAGTCAACATGTGGATATCACCTGTTGGGAGTCCTTCAGCTGGAATAAATATATGGACAACCAGTATCGTGGATTATTTCCCATGGCAACTATTCCCAGCACTTTACCACTGTTGGCATGATCCTCCTTTCAGGGTTTGACTTTCCTTGAGAATTTTAAGACCATCTGACAGGTTCAAGTTTCCTCATTTTTCACCTGAACCAATTCAATATCTTTTCTCTTTCATTGACTTTCCCCTTGAGAAGTCTGTTCTCATTTCTGAGGTGAATCCCTTAGTCCTTGCCTCTATCTATGTGTCATACTTGGAAACACATGCACATTCACAAACTCAAAGCCTTTCTCATTTCCTTGTTCCCTCTATGACAAATCCAGCCTATTTCTGTGCATTGGCTTCCTTCTGAGTTCAGACAAAATGGAAAACACAAACAAAACCAAATCTTCTCTTTGTTTCTTTCTAGAAGCTGAAGTACTTATTCTGTGCTTATTCTACCATTGCTTCCGTATCACACAGTGTGATTTAATCCTTAGCAACCTGATTTAGAGGTTACAAAAGACTCAATAACCAAATGCAAAAACCTTTCAAATTAATCACTCATTCCTTTTGGAAACTTGCTCCTTCCTTGGCAATCTTGGCTTTATACAGGCCCTATTTCTTCCCTCACCATTTTGTTTCCTTTACCAATTCCTCTTCTTCATTTTCCTGAATGAGCACATTCCTAATTCCTAAGGAGCGCATTCCTTCATTTCCTAAATGAGCACATTTCTTCACACTGTGTCCTCACTCTTGTGCCACATCTTTCACAGTCCTGGTCTCTACCACAACCTGCATATAAAGAAATCCCAAATTCACATCCTTAAATCTAGTGACACCCAATGGTGATGCTCACAGCTGCTTGATTGGCATTTCTTTCTGGATAGTTTTTTTTTTTTTAAATCACATCATGCTCAAAATTTCTTTAACTAAGTTTATAATTTTGCCTTCCCCAAAGAAGCTCATGTTCTTTACTTGTTTATTTCTGGTACCAATATCCCATAATTTTAGAAATCATTGGCTTTTTTTTTTCTTTTTTCCCCGAATCTGCTCTCCATTCTTTTCTTTCACCTGGAAAAATCCTGGATTTTCTGCACATCCCATCCCCCAACCACTGGCATAATATTAAGCCATTTGCTTTATACAATCTTAAACCACTAAAAATTATTATGTATCTTCCCACTTTCTGCATGTTTTGATTTTAATGATATTTTTATTAAAATAGCAATTGTGATGTCCATATAAGCTTAATAAAACAGCTCTACCCTAAAATGAGTACTATAATTTTCCCATGAAAACATAATAGCCATCACTCTAAAGCCTTTTAGCTGGCTTCTCAGTTGTCACACTCCAAAAAGGCTGATGGCTTCATATTTACATGGGTTATTTTCCTTAGTTACAAGAAAAAAATCATGTAATTTACCTTAAATTATACATTACCAATTTAGGAATGTTGAATATATTATACTGTTCTTGGGGGCAATGTGAAGTTCTGGTCTTTGATAACTTTTTAGATGTAGTTAAGGTATTAGTCACATATTTTTGTGGCAAGGGACAGAAACCAAACTCAAACTAATTTAATAAAAAGGGGAATTCATTGGCTTACAATATTGGGAAGACCAGGTGTGGCCTTGCCTTCTTGCACAACTGAACCAAAGGATGTCTTTCTCATTTTCCTCTTTTCTTTCATCTCTCAGCTCTGCCTCCCTCTGGGAATTGACTTTATTTTTCTCTTGTGGTAAATGGACATTCTGCATACAGCTGGGCAAGGGGCTGACTGCCAGCAGATCTAACCCAATGTCTGTAACTTAAATAGTTGTAACTCAAAGAAGATTCTGATTGGCCCTATTGGGGTTTTATGTCTGGTCCAGCATTTGTTACTAGGCTACTGCCTGGGTCAAAAGACTACTCCAGTAGTAGGAATAGGGTGAGGGAAAACTGATTGGCAGCCACAGGACCACACAGGGCTTGGGGAAGAGGTCCTCAGTAGAAAAGGGTGTGATTACCAGAAAAAGAAGAATGGGGACACAAAGTAGCAGACAGATTTTAAAAATAAACGACCTCAGTCTACTATTTTTCCCCCTTGACCTTTCAGGACAGGCATATTCTATTTTCTCCATCCATCCCCATATTTTCCTAAAAATGCTCCTGGCAAAATAATGCAACTAAATCTCAACTGCAATTGGACTTACCCAAGGTCACTATCAGCTACTGCCCCCAGCTCTAAGTCTGAAATCTCTGAGAGATGTGCATTACTCTTGATGGTGTTTGAATACAGCTCCACACACTCCTTCAAGTTAGCTATATAATCAGTTAAACTAACTCTCAAAGACCCACTATTCAATAGAAGAGAGAAAGCCGGATAACAACAGTAAACACTCCTATTTAGAAGGAGGATAGTGGCCAATAGTCCTATAATATATTCCAAGTCTGTAATACATTGTTGAGTTTCCCTGGCTGGGCAGTGAGTTGTTGGTCACCAGTCTAGCTGCTACCAAAGGAGTCTCTTTTCCATTATTCTCTGAGCCCCAACCAGAGAGAGGCATAGGGGAGATTGTCTCTTCTGGGGCCTGCACTTCTTTAGGAGCTCGCCTGTGGTGGACTTGGTTACTGGAACCTGGGAATCAGCTTAGCACTTAAGTGCGCATAGCTCTTAGCTGCAAGTTCAGGTTTTTTTCTGGCAATTCATTTCCCTTAAAACCCTGCTAGATCTTGGACTTGATTCCTAGACACTCTGAGTACTAACAACCAAGGCCAGAAGTCTCTGTGGGCTGTAATCTTTGAATCTAGACTTTATCTTTGCAGTTCCAGTCTTTCGGCAACCGTCCAGGAGGACAAGACTCATTCAGTGAAAGTGGCTTCAATTTTAGATTTGACTGAATGGCTTGATTTGACCGTTAATCTTGTCCAGTGTGAAACAAAAGCTGGCCTGTGATATACCCTTGGTACTTACGCAGTGTCTAAGGGGTGGTTCTTTACATTGGAGTGAATCATTACCTCTGCTGGTCCCAGGATGTACAGCAAGAAGTGATTGGGTGGGGTCTGGGTTCAATCTTACAGGATTGGTTACCAGCACAGAGCCATGCTACTTAGGTTAGAACCCAGGCTCCCCTATTTACTAGGTATGCAATCTTATGTAAGTCATTTAACTTCTCTGCACCTTCTTGTTCTCATCTATAAAGTGGACATAATAGTACCTAGATCACCGGGTTGTCATGAGTATGAAGTGAGTGGATATATATATATAAAGGACTTAGAATATAGTACCTGTCACATGGTAGGCCCTATGTAAGTGACAGCCATTTTTACTGCTTTGTCTTCCTTTTTTTTTTTTTTTTTTGCTTTTCCAAGTTCTTCTGGTTTTACCTCCCATAATGTTTTTCACCTTTATGCCTTGCTTAAGGGACTTAGAATTCCATTTTCCTATTTCTGCATGATTATCTGAGCACCAGTGAGCAGTGTGGGGAGAGGGGTGAGGTAAGGCTTGTTGACAGTACCACCAGGGCCATGTGTAACAGAGGAGCAATCCCAAAGGAAAGAGTCGGGGATGCAGGCAAGAGGAATGGAAAGAGTGATAGAGAGATTTTAAAAACCATTTACCTCAGTTCTTATTACTACTTTGTGAAATAATATCTTTGGTTTTGTTTCCTAAACCTAGAGTCTGAGAAAGGGGTTCAGGTGCATGTGATTTTTGAGTGACTGCTCTTCAGCAAAAATCCTATGGAGTGACAGACTCAGGGAAGATAAGCGGCAAGAGCCAAGAAAAGATGAGGTCTTAGCTAAATCTCACTCTTGGCCTGAATCATGGGCAGCCCTTGGGCAAAAAAAGTCACAAGGTAGAGTTGTTCCTCACTTGAGGCAAGGATGCCCACTGTTTGGAACCCCATGTCAGTCAGTCACTGGCCTGGAGAAATAGTAACCTTGTGGGCTAGGTGGTCCCTATCGTCGTCCAAGAAGAGGGGAAGCTGTGAGCCACTGGGAGCCAAAACTTTTTGCAGCTGAGGTTTGGATGCATGGGTCTGACAAAGGAGATCTCAATAAGTTACCAAAGGCATCTACTACAAATAATAATAATAATGGTTATTATTTATTGAATACTTATTGAGTTAATACTAAAAACTTCCTGGGATTGTGGTTATTATACTTGGACACCACTTTTATTTTTCTCTTTCCAAATATAGTGTGTTTGGTGTAGTGAAGAAAAAGCATGCAAAAAATACTGTTTTCCCTATTTCGGTTGTCGATTCAGTTCTATATATTGGTTAAACTGTAAAGGTGAGTTGTCCTTATTTAGATTTTTATGTTCTTTATTTCAATTGACTTGCAAATGCTAGTGATTTGCTACATTTGAAGGATTATAAATTATTACATTTGCCTTACATATTAAAATATAGCAAGTCCAAACCACCATGGCACATGTATACCTATGTAGCAAACCTGCATGTTCTGCATATGTATCCCAGAACTTTAAGTAAAATAAAAATAAAAATATAGCAAGTCCAGGGATGTTCATTGGTCTTTCCTCCTGATGTAGGCTTATTGGTTGTTTGCAGCAATTATTCATTCAAATTAAGTCAACATTCATTTTGATTGGTGGATGCTTTGGCATACCAGTAGCTAAATACTTTAAATTTCCATTTCTAAAATCTCTAGTGTATGATATCCATAACCCACTTAAAGAATGTTTGTATTCTTATGTCATTTTAGGAATTCCAGGATTTTTTTTATAAGCTAGTCCTGGTCTGAGGATATATTATATCTAGAAACATTGCTATAACTTATATTTTTTCAGCTAATGTATTCTACACTGAGAATTGCTATTCAGAATAATGATTCACTAGGACTGAACAAATATTAATCATCAAAGAATCTTTAAGTTATACTGAAATGTTGGACTTTTGGTACGTTATACAATACTTACCAAGGCAGGAAAACGTACCAGTACCATTTAAGAAGTTTCCTTAAAGAATTGAAACAAAATGCTTTCTAGGTAAATCCTAGCTATGTGAAAAAACCCAATCTAGAACAACCAGTTGTCTTCTTTTTTCCTTCACTGAAGTAAAAAGATATAAATTTTGCCCTCAAATCTCTGTTTCTTTCCGGTACTATCAGATATATTTAAATCATGCATGTTTTTGCCTTATAAAGAAGTTACACTTCTTGTAACTAGTATGAACTAGTCTCCTATTTCATGTTTGCCCTTCTAGTTTCATTTTACAACATACCAAGCTAATAAACTACATTGTGCTTACTGAGATAAGAAAAAAAAGTTTACAAGGGGTAGAAATCTGGTTTTGCAGCAAGCATTGGTTGTCTCTTTGGTAATGGACTGCTGAAATTCAAACAATAAATCATTTCCTGCTATCTAGATGTATCTTTAGAGATACAACAGCCTGAGGGATTTGTTGTTTTACCTATTAAGATAGTACCAGAAATGAGTTTAGAGGTAAAATAAAGAAAAATTAAGCCAGTAGCCTAATAGTTCACCAATTTAAAAATAAGTAAATCAAATGTTAACTCCTCTAGCAACCCAGATTATTTTTAAATGTTAGTGATTGTTGTGTTAATGGTAGTTTTATTGGAATATGTAATGTATGTTATTGTATCATTACTTTCAATAATCATTTGTTAAAGAATCACATTGCATGATATTAGAAAAGATGCAAATAGCAGAAATTACTGATGTTCTGTTAACTTAAAATATATTTCTTTTTATACATTTCAGTTGACATGTTTGGAATCATGATGCTTCTACTCATTGCAGTATTAATTACAGGATTCGTTTGGTACTGCTGCGCCTATCACTTTTACCTGCAGGAGTATGCTCATTTTATCCTTATTAAGAATGCACTTTGGGGTAATATCATTGAAGAGAATACTAAGCTAGTCATCAGGAAATGTTTTGCCTTTTTTATGTAATAAAAATAATATATCCACATGGTAAGGAAGAAAAGTCCAAAAAGTACGGAAATTGTAAAATGAAAAAAAAAAAAAGTTTAACTTTCTCATCCCCCACCCCACCTCTAACACTGTCTTCCCAGAAGTAATCCTTTTAGTATGGTTCTATTTGTTGTTCTTCTGTAGTTACCTCCATATATTTGATTTTGATGGTTATGTTTTCTTTTCATGATTAATTTTAGATGTTATCTATTGACCCCCAATCATTAAAGCAGAAAAATTTATCTTGCACTATACACATTTTTTTTGCTATTAGTAGGTATTATCATTGTGTTATTTTTGGGTTGTTACTATTTTTTTCATTATTTTTAGTTATTAGATCTTAAGATTACTAATATTTCTCCTGTTGACTTTGAGTAATCAATTTAATTCCTTGTTTCTATGTCTCAATCCTTCTCCTGTTACACATAAGAAAATTTGGATCCCTTCCATTTATCCTCTCTTTCCTCTATCTCCTAAATTCTATAAGCTTTCTCATTAATTTGACCTTGTCAAATGTGTAATATTTACATTCTGTTCTGTGGCCATAATTATATCTTGAAATGCTTACTCTATAATTTCACTCTAAAATTTGTTAACTACTAAAAAGGATAACATATTTATACATGATTGTATAAATGTTGTTTAATAAAGAACCAAAGTGGAGTAGGAAATATAATTCTATGCCACTAACCTATATTGCTTGAAAAAGAATTATCAAGTGCCAAGATCAAATAGATTCTCTTTTCTTACTCTTTATTTCACAAAATCATGCTACATTTCAGCTTACTTCATGTTACTTAATTGTAACTTTCCTATACAGCTTTTGCACTTTCTAGAGTTTTAAATTATCTTCATTATTTCTCATTAACAAAAACACATGTATCTTTATTCTCATCACTGTGATCATTCATCTTTGTATTTGCTAAAATACATTCATTTTCTTCTTATAAATATTCTTCTTAAAGTCTTCTGGCTTCCTGCTTTAACATGCAAAAATTAGTTTCTTTTTACTGCTCTACTGAATTAGGAGAATTTTGTGGTTCCTATACCTCTTTTTAGGGTTGATTTTTTCCTTTTGGTGGAGTACCTCCTCAAGTAAATTTTTCAAAGGGAGTTCACAGAAGGTTTGGAGAGTATTTGCATAGTCCATTACATATCAACAAATTAGTTTTTTCTCCTTCATCCCAGTATGATATTATTTTCTTTCTTCAGATTGTACACTTTTTATAAGAAGGAACTGTAAATAAGATAGACGTGACCCAAAAATAAGATAAATGCACATTTATAGGTCAACCTGTAAGTAAAATATGCTTATAAAAAGATAAGGTAAGTCACCATAGTGCTTGCAGAAAAAAAAAAAAAAAAAGATAAGGGTTGGCCAATGTTCCATTTGCTTGTTTAGGACCTCAACTTGGTCAGGAACTTTGTATTTTTCTGGCTTAGAGATGGTCTTTTCCTTATTAACATACAAAGACAAGTTAGGATAGGATGGAAGGTATTCCTTATTTTTCCCCTCTGAAACAAACATACACATATACACATACAAATCAGAAAGAAGAACCAATAGGGCACATTACATATGTGGCAAGGGGCTGTTTTGTAATTTTTTAAATATATATTTTCTTCTTAGGATCCTAGCTCCTTGTAAGTGTCATCACTTTTTTATATAGTATTTATGAGTAAAGTGGCAAATTCTGCCCATAAGAGTAGGGGCCTGAGCAAATATCCATCATTGAAGCTTCTTTTGTCCGCATTTTAAATGAAAAACCCTGAAGTCTCTCTGAAAATATCATCCAACAACTGTACTCAGTTCTGGTTTAACTCTGCTGTATATCCACCATCTCTTCTTTCTGAATTTCTTCAAGAGATCTTCTAGACCTTGTTAATTCAATGAGTGCTGTATTCTGTAGGGGTATTTATCTTCTTAAGGACTTACTGTACTTCATAAACCAAAGATCCTGGTTAGGTTTTAGAAACATGACTTTTTCTTTTAAAAAAATACCCTAGAATGACCAATGAAATATCAAAATACTTATTGGTACATTTGATCTAATA
This sequence comes from Homo sapiens, assembly GCF_000001405.40. Taxonomy (NCBI): domain Eukaryota; kingdom Metazoa; phylum Chordata; class Mammalia; order Primates; family Hominidae; genus Homo; species Homo sapiens. The sequence continues at coordinate 90,491,141 of NC_000007.14, forward strand.
TTATTGTTCAATAGTTATGCTTATAAAAATTAAAGCACTTTAAAAAGTTCCAAATGTTAGAGAAAACAAGTGTTTCATTGTCCATGTACTCAATGCCTCCTTGATTGTCATCTATTCTTTTAGCAAATATTTATTGAGTATTTATTATCCACTAAGCAATGTCATTGTCATAGGGATATAACAATAAGCAAGAAAGATCAGGCCGGGTGTGCTGGCTCACGCCCGTAATCCCAGCACTTTGAGAGACTGAGGTGGGTGGATCACCTGAGGTCAGGAGTTCGAGACCAGCCTGGCCAACATGGTGAAACCCCATCTCTACTAAAAATACAAAACTTAGCTGGGCGTGGTGGCACGCACCTATGGTTCCAGCTACTCAGGAGGCCAAGGCAGGAGAATCGCTTGAATTTTGGAGGCAGAGGTTGCAGTGAGCTGAGATCACACCACTGCACCCCAGCCCGGGTGACATAGCGAGACTCCATCTAAGAAAAAAAAAAAAAAGAAATATCAAACCCTTGCCTTCATGGAGCTTATAACTTACTAAGGGGACACAGACAAGTAAACAAGCAATTGTTAATTCTATTGCTAGCTTATTGATATTTTAAATTATATTCCATTTATTTTAATTGCTTTTCTTAATTAAATGTTTTAATTCTCCTGGTGGAGGGATAAAAGAAGAATTTGATAATGCAATGATAAAATATTGCATAAGACCAGGTGCAGTGGTTCACGCCTATAATCCTAACATTTTGGGAGGCCGAAGTGGGTGGATCACTTGAGGCCAGGAGTTCAAGACCAGCCTGGCCAACATGGTGAAACCCTGTCTCTACTAAAAATACAAAAATTAGCTGGGTATGGTGGTGAGTGCCTGTAATCCCAGCTACTTAGGTGGCTGAGGAACAAGAATTGCTTGAACCCAGGAGGTGGAGGTTGCAGTGAGCTGTGATCGTGCCACTGCACTCCAACGTGGGTGACAGAGCAAGACTCTGTCTCAAAAATAATAAAAAAATAAAAAAAGTAGTCTATCTAATGAAAAAATAATAGTTCCAACTATAACTTGTACTGTTCTGAAAATAAGCCTAATTCTAAATTCACCATCAGTTTGAACAGAAATCGTGTCTATTTTTATGGAAGACGAGAAACAGTTCCTATTCACGACCGCAGTGCTACTGGCAAGTGTTTTCGTTTATTTGATGGAATGTCCCAGACTCCTTCAGTAACAGCTTGCTCCCTTGTTCCAAACATCAAAATTAAAGCATGAGTAGGGGCCAGGTGCAGTGACTCACACCTGTAATCTCAATGTTTTGAAAGGCCAAGGTGGGAGGATTTGCTTGAGGCTAGAAATTTGAGGTTATGGTGAACACATTGCATTGCATACATATTGCGCCATTGCATTTCAGCCTGGGCCACAGAGGAAGACCCTGTCTCTGAAAACAACAACAAAAATCAAAGTATGGTAGGACTCATAACAACAGATTTCATTTTTCCCATTTCCATGATACATTTTGGTAACCTCAATAGCTATACCAGGATTGGTAAAATCACAATATTGATAAAGATGGGCTAAAATTTTCCAACCCAGTCGGAGATATTCATAGCTTCCCCTGCTACCCCAACTCGCACTCCACAAAAGCAACCCAACAAAAGATGACCGTTGTCTTCAGGAATTCTTGCAGGCTTTCCCAGATTAATTCACTTCATCTACCTAGTTCCTTGGCTAACCTCCTATCCGCTCTCCTCAACTCAATTCTAAACTTTCCCTTACTTACAAAGCTTTCCCTTATCCAGGACTCAAATCTTGGCTTCCTTTGGCTGATCACCCACAGTTCCTGGGCAGGCACTCCCAATCCTCTACCCAGGTCTGGATCCTGAAAACCCAACTGGAGTCAAAATCATGATCTCCCTGTTCACTTAATTGGACCACAAAAAAATTTTACATCATGATAATATGACTGAGGAAAGAGTACTGCATAGTCCTTTATAATTACTATTAATAAATAACTTTGCAGGGTGCGGGGGGGCTTCAGATTATTTTAGTGCTTTGGGCTGCAGGGGCATAATGATAGGGAATGTAGAAAAGCCCAGGACCCATACTTTGAGGTTGCAAAATCTGGATGAGAAACAGGGTAAACCTTTTAGGGTAAGGATGAAATGGTAAGCACATACACACTCTTTTGTCAACTCCTAGACCTTGTTATGTAGAAATTGTTTGGGTGATAATTGGATCATGAAATGTTTCAAAAAGCTATTTTAGGACAGGAGCCAAAGTGTAGGACAAATGCTGCTTCTTCCGAAGGTTGAAATCAAACCAGGGGGCTGCAGAGAATAATGCTGCATTTCAATTTTCCCCATCCATTTTAAATTCGACAACACATTGACCCAGGAAAAACACTGAAAAGAGCACAAGGTTAGGTATTTATTTAGTTTAGGTAGACACGGTTATCTTTACACAGATTGAGAATTGTCAGATTCATTGTAGGGAATAAAGTGTAGTCAAATTCACAAGGCAGGATGATTTTTCACCCATGAGAGAGCCCAATGGGAATGCCTACATTAAAGGCTTGAGTAAGTGAAACAGGGTTCTGCAAAAGAAATTGAGAAGAAGATGAAAAAGTGGGAGACTGCAGTGTCATAGACATCAAGAGAAAGGGGTCTGAAGACGGAGGGAGAGAGATTCATAAGTGTCCTCTGGACTTACACATTGGAAGATGATTGGTAAGATGTTTGCATATGGTAGTTTTCAGAGTATTTATGCAAGACATAGAATAAACAGGCTTCTGATTGTGGAATAGGAAAATATGGAGCCTATAAAATGTTCTGTACACTGCGATACTCCTCACCTGTGAAGACAGTTATTTTTCAGGATTGGTGGTAATAGTGCCCTTCTTGGTCCACACTTCTTTCCTAGAAAATGAATTCAGAAGATGGTTTGCTGGGATTAGGGATTCATTAAGCATTCATTAAGCATCCACAGCTTTTCTGTCACTGGAGACAACTAGTCTTGTGGTCACCATCAAATATCTGATCTTTTCCTTTTTGTCAATTACATGTTGATAGTACCTTAAGTCACTTGAGCCCTAAATATTAAAATAGCAACAGTATTAAAATCTCAGAAATCTTTTTATTATTCATGAATGTTTCATGTTTAACATTTTAAAAATTACGTAAGTTTTTATTGACTTTTCCTAGATAGAATTTGAAAAGATAAATTTATTTTCTCTTCTCATAGTATATGATGAATAGATAATTGAAAAGAGATCCTCCAGAAAGAGCAGAAGGAAGTTTCTTCAATGGTAAGGTTTCAAATTATATTGCGTGAATTTTCTGCATGCCATTTTCTCCGTTCTATTAAGCCACTTTTCAGGAATATAATTAGAATTATTAAGAAAGAAAATGGAAATCAAATCTGTAAAATGTAGGCAGATTTTCAATGCCCAAAACATGTAATAGAAGGCAGCAGAAGGCCAAGCACAGTAGCTGATCTCTGTAATCCCAGCACTCTGGAAGGCGGAAGAGGGAGGATCACCTGAGGCCAGGAGTTCGAGACTAGCCCGGACAATATAGCGAGATTCCATGTCTACAAAAAAATTTAAAAATTAGCCAGTGTGGTGCCTCACACCTGCAGTCCTAACAACTTGGTAGGCCAAGGTGAGATCACTTAAGCTCAGTTCAAGACCAGCCTGGGCAACATAGCAAGACCCCATCACTACAAACAATAAAAAATTAGCTGGGCATGGTTGCATGTGCCTGTAGTCCCAGCTCCTCAGGAGGCTGAGGTGGGAGGATTGCTTGAGCTCAAGAGTTGGAGGCTGTAGTGAGTTATGATTGCGCTACTGCATTTCAGCCTGGGTGACGACAAAGAGACCCCCATCAATCCTCCCCTCTGCCCAACCCCTACCATTAAAAGGGAAGGCAGCAGAAAGTGGAGATATAACAGTTCAGGCTGCCTTTGTTGAAATCTGGGCTATCCATTTACTAAGTATGCCACGTTAGACAACTAACTTAATCTGTTTGTGCCTTAGTTCCTAATTTGTTAATATTACCTAAAAACAGTGACTAAATTATTGTTTTGGTGACTTTGAGGACAAAATGAGATTTTACAGCTAAAATTTCTAGAACTACCCCGACACTCAGTAAGTTCTTAATAAGTGTCACTTGTTACTACTGTAATCACAGAATCTCAACACTGAAGGCACTTAAAGTTCATCCTACCCAACACCTCTTCCAGTGCTGGAATCCTCTTATCAACATCTATGGCATGTCAAATGATGGACAGCTAGGGACTATCCTTTGGATTACAACATAGTTACAAATTTGGCTTTGTGTGTGTATGTGTGTGTGTGCACATTTGCCTTTCAGCAAGGTTAAACATACAGGCATACTTTCACTGCCACCTCCTACATCCACCTGCACAGAAAGGAGGTCTCTAGCTAGAGGCACATTCCATAATTCTATGGCTTCTGAAGGAGTCAGTGCAGGTTAATAGGAGGGAGAGGGAGGAGAATGCAAGTCCTTCCAGAAGCCTACAGAGCCTCCTGGAGAATCTCTAGGGAAGAGACAATATGTATCAGTTTTAAAGTTTAGTAGAGTGACCATGTATCTTCCAAACTGGGCCCATTTTAAGAGTGAAAGGGCCACTATTAAGAATTATGCTAGGAGAGCAGGTGAAAACCAAGGGTGCCCTAGGCAAACAACAGCAAGAAATGATGGTTAACACCCAATGTTGCAAGGGAAATGTGCACATTTATTTGTTGTTGTTGGGATTTGGCATTTATAGAAACTTTTTAGAAGGCAATCTCTCAGTATCTATTAAAATTTGGGGTTGGGGGGGAGTACTCTTTGACCTGGTAATTCCATTATTCGAGATTTTCCCCACTGACATAAATGATCCTCTTAATGTGATGCTGAATTCAGTTTACTGGTATTTTGTGAAGAATTTTGCACCTATATTCATCAGGGATATTAGCCCGCAATTTTCTTTTCTCATAGTGTCTTTGTCTGGCTTGGGTTTCAGGATAGTACTGGCCTCATTAAATGCATTGAGAAGGATTCCCTTTTCAGTTTTTGAGAAGAGTTGAGAAGGATTGGTATTAGTTATTTAAATGGTAGAATTCAGCAGTGAAGCCATGAGATTTTGGGGTTTTCTTTTATGGGAGACCATTTATTACTGATTCAATCTTGTTACTCATTATTTGTCTGTTCAGATTTTCTATTTCTTAAGAATTCAATCTGGGTGTGTTGTATTTGTCTAGGAATGTATTCATTTCTTCTAGGCTATCCCATTTGTTGGTGTATAATTCTTCACAGTATCTCGTAATCTTTCATATTTCTGTGGTATCAGTTGTAATGTCTTCTCTTTCATTTCTGATTTTATTTAAGTCTCTCTCTTTTTTTGTAGTCTATCTAAAGGGCTGACCATTTTGTTTATCTTTTCAAAACACCAACCATTAGTTTTGTTAATTTTTTATTTTAATTTTAATTTTTTAACTCTTCTTACTATAATAGTATAACTTTCAGTTTTGTTGATTCTTTCTATTGTTTTTCTAGTGTCTATCTTATTTCTGCCCTGATCTTTATTATTTCCTTCCTTCTATTACCTTTGGGCATAGTTTGTTCTTTTTCTAGTCCTTTGATGTGTAACATAAGGTTATTAATTTGAGATCTTTCTTTTTTTATGTAGGCATGATTGTTATTAACTTCCCTCTAAGAATTACTTTTGCTGCATCCCATAAATTTTAGTATATTGTGTTTTAATTTTCATTTGTCTCAATATACTTTTTGCTTTCCATTTGTTTTCTTTTTTGACCCCGTGGTTGTTCAGAGAATGTCGTTTAATTTCCATGTTTTGGTGAATTTTCCAAATTTCTTCTTGTTATTGATTTCTAGTTTCATATCATCACGGTCAGAAAAGATACCTGATATGATTTAAATCTTCTTACATTTGTAAAAACTTGTTTTGTGGCCTAACATATGGTCTACGTTAGTGTTCCATGTGTGCTGAAGAAGAATGTCAGTCAGGTGCAGTGGCTCACATCTGTAATCCCAACACTTTGGGAGGTCAAGGCAGGAAGATTGCTTAAGGCCAGGAGTTTGAAACCAGCCTGGTCAACAGAGCAAGATCTCATCTCTACAAAAGAAAAGTTAAGGCCGGGCGCAGTGGCTCATGCCTGTAATCCCAACACTTTGGGAAGCCGAGGCAGGCGGATCACGAGGTCAGGAGATCGAGACCATCCTGGCTAACATGGTGAAACCCCGTCTCTACTAAAAGTACAAAAAATTAGCCGGGCGTGGCGGCGGGCGCCTGTAGTCCCAGCTACTCGGGAGGCTGAGGAGGGAGAATGGCGTGAACCCGGGAGGCGGAGCTTGCAGTGAACCGAGATCGCGCCACTGCACTCCAGCCTGGGCGACAGAGCGAGAATCCGTCTCAAAAAAAAAAAAAAAAAAAAAAGTTAAAAAGTTAGCCAGGCTACTAGGAAGGGTGGGGCAGGAGGAGCCCTTGAGCCCAGGAGGTTGAGGCTGCAGTGAGCCGTGATCATACCACTGTACTCCAGCCTGAGCGACAGAGAAAGACCCTGTATAAAAAAAAAAAAAAAAAAAAAAAAAAAAAGAAGAAGAAGAAGAAGAAGCCGAAGTATATGTATTCTGTTGCCATTGGATAGAACCCTGTGGATATGTCTGTTATGTCCATTTGTCCAAAGTGTAGTTCAAGTCTTATGTCTCCTTGTTGATCTTTTTGTCTGGATGTTATGTCCATTGTTGAGAGTGGGTTATTGAAGTCCCCTACTATTACTGCATTATTGCCTGTCTCTTCCTTCAGATCTATTAATATTCATATATTTTGTTGAGTGCATGTATATTTATAATTGTTATATCCTCTTGATGAATGAACCCCCCCTTTTTTTTTTTGAGATGGAGTCTCGCTCTGTTGCCCAGACTAGAGTGCAGTGGCACGATCTCGGCTCACTGCAAGCTTTGCCTCCCCGGCTCACGCCATTCTCCTGCCTCAGCCTCCCGAGTAGCTGGGACTACAGGCGCCCGCCACCACGCCTGGCTAATTTTTTGTATTTTTAGTAGAGACGGGGTTTCACTGTGTTAGCCAGGATGGTCTCGATCTCCTGACCTCATGAGAATCCCTTTATTACTATATTATAACCATAAAATGGTAGCAGTAGGTTCTTACCTGTCAATAATCACCTTGAATGTAAATAGGTTAAATTCTCCAATGAAATAAAGGGGCTGAATGGATTAAAAAATAAGATCCAACTATATGCTGCCTGTAGGAGACTCTCTTCACCATCTTTAAGGACACACATAAACTGAGAGTGAAGAGATGGAAGAAGATATTCAACACAAATTGAAACCAAAAGAGAGCAGGGGTAGCTATACTTATATCAAACAAAATAGACTTTAAGTCCAAAACTATAAAAAGAGACAAAGAACGTCATTATATAATGAAAACTACACCAACACAATTTATTGTGAAAGCCTTTTTTACACCAGTGATATAAGATGAAACTTTTTTCATAAATTTCCATTCACATTTGAGTATATTTTTGTGCATCTGTTCACTGCTATTGATCTATCTGGATAATAGTTTCCTAATACCATAATGTTTTAATTGTGGAGGATATATAAGCTATTTTAATATCTGGTAATGGTATTTAACTTCTCTCCACCTCTTATTACTCTTTCTGTTTCCTTTTAAAAATTTTTTTTTAATTTTCTTTTCTTTGAGACAGGGTCTCGCTCTGTCAGCCAGGCTGGGGTGCAGTGGCATGATCATGGCTCACTGCAGCCTCCACCTCCTGGGCTCAATTGATCCTCTGGCCTAAGCCTCTCAAGTATCCAAGCCTACAGATGCTCACTACCATGCCTGGCTAACTTTTGTGATTTTTGTAGAGATGGGATTTCACTATATTGCCCAGGCTGGTCTCGAACCCCTGGGCTCAAGCAATCCACCCACCTCAGCGTCCCAAAGTGCTGGAATTACAGGCATGAGCCACTGCACATGGCCCTTTTTAACAATTTTTAAGTTTAAGCAGAATAAAGATGAGTTATTTATTTTAACTTGTGCCAATGCTAGGAATTTCACAAAATTAAATATTTGGCTCTGGAAAAGATAATGAGTCTAGAGTTTGCAGAAGTACTGCATGCAACGGAAATTCACAAATCTATTATAGTTTTGTTTGATTTGTTTCATCTTAGTTTCCTTTCTCCTCTTTCTTTCTCTTTTAATTTGTTGTCTTCCTATGTGTCCTTGTTTTCCAACTTTTGTACCAGAACATTTCATTTTAAATCAAGATGCTATTGTAGGGGGACAATGTAACTGCAGAACAGCATTCACTCTACAGTTGGCCATATAATAATCATATAAAGACTTTTAAATGCATAATGTAAAAAGGTACAATTTTAAATGCTTTTTGATCAGTGTTCTTTATTTTTTTATTATTATTTTTATTTTTTTGAGACAGAGTCTTGCTCTGTTGCTGAGGCTGGAGTGCAATGGCCTGATCTTGGCTCACTGCAACTTCTGCCTCCCGGGTTCAAGCGATTCTCCTGCCTCAGGCTCCAGAGTAGCTGGAACTACAGGCGCATGCAAGCATGCCTGGCTAATTTTTGTGTTTTTAGTAGAAACGGGTTTCATCATGTTGGCCAGGCTGGTCTTGAACTCCTCACCTCAAGTGATCCGCATGCCTCAGCCTCCCAAAATGCTGGGATTATAGGCATGAGCCACTGCACCTGGCCAGTGTTCTTTTAAAAATAAAACTGTAAAACATTAAAAACAATTAGTCCTCACCGGGTGCAGTGGCTCAGGCCTATAATCCCAGCACTTTGGAAGGCCAAGGGGGGCAGATCACTTGAGATCAGGAGTTCAAGACTAGCCTGGGCAACATGGTGAAACCCCATCTCTATTAAAAGTCAAAAAATTAGCCGGACTTGGTGGTGTGCACCTGTAGTCCCAGCTACTTGGAGGCTGAGATGGGAGGATCACCTGAGCCTGGGGAGGTCGAGGCTGTGGTGAGCTAAGATTGTGCCGCTGCACTCCAGCCTGGGCAACAGAGGGAGACTCTGTCTCAGAAACAAACAAACAAAACAAACAATTCATCCTGATAATCCAAAACTACCTTCTATAAGGGAATATTTTGAAAGGTTAGAATAAGGCATTGAAACACACTAACACAAATTATAAATTTAAAGAATAGATGGTTAACTCTATCATGAGAAAAAGAATTGATTCAGGAATGTGAGGAAACAAGACAGTGAGGAGGAAGGAATAAAGAGCTAGAAAGACTGGGTTTGGGGGAGAATGGGATGAGAGAAAGAGTTTAAAGAGAACAGCTGTCTTAAGTTGGGATCCCCAAGAACTAGGCTCCAACGCAGAGACTTGCCTGCAGGAGTTAACTGGGGAATTCCCTCAGGAGTAACACATGTAAGGGTCAGAGAGAAGCAGACTTGGGTAGAAGGAACAGTTAAAGTGTCATGTAGTCACAAGGGAGGCCTCAGTCAATCTTATGGGGCACTCTGGAACTGGGATTTCCTTTTAGAATTGTCCCAAATTATGGCCCAAATCCCAATATCAACCATCATTAGATGTGGGAGGCCCTCCAAAAGGAGATTTAACCTTAAGTGAGGTGGCTGGCTGCATTGGCTAGGGCAATTTCCAAAGAGGGCCTGGTGTCTGGAGGTATGAGCACCTTGTTCCTGAAAGGAATATCTGTGCAGCACACCATAGCATCCACCACAACATCTGTCATTGATTTAGGGGAATATTGAGAGTAATGATTCTGGGAAGATAGGGTTTAGAAATGTTCAATTATTCATTAAGAGCATACTCCTCCTTTACTTCGTTAGCATTTTCTTTAGACCCTAAGTAAACATTTAAATTTATTTCAATTATATATTTTCATTGTTTTTGAATTGATTTTACCTTGGATTGACCCAAAGCAGAGATTGGGCCACATATGACCACTTTTAAATTCAGGTTAAGCGAATTTTGGAATGAAATTAACTGTGATAGTAACTGAAAAAGGAAAGATATGTAAACATAATATTTACTAGAAAAAGGAGATACAGGCAGGTTTGGTTCCAGAATGCTGCAATACAGCAAATATCACATTAAAGCCAGTCACACATTATTTTTTTGTTTTCCAGTGCATATAAAAATTATGTTTACGCTATACTGTAGTCTATTAAGTGTACAATAGTATTATGTCTAAAAAACAACATACATACCTTTATTAAAATACATGGCCAGACATAGTAGCTTACACCTGTAATCCCAGAACTTTTGGAAGCGAGGTGAGAGGGTCACTTGAGACCAGGAATTTGAGACCAGCCTGTGCAACATAGTGAGACCTCATTTCTACAGAAACATTTAAAAAATTAGCCAGACATGGTGGTGTGCACCTGTGGTACTAGCTACTTGGGAGGCTGGGGTGAGAGGATCACTTGAGCCCAGGAGTTTGAGGCTGCAGTGAGCTCTGATCCTCCACAGCACTACAGCCTGGGTATCAGAGTGAGACCTTGTCTCAAGAAACCCCCACAAAACTTTACTGTTAAAAATTGCTAACAATCATCTGAACATTTAGAAAGTCACAACATTTTTTCTAGTGAGGGTCTTCCGTTGGTGTTGATGGTTGCAGCCTGATCAGGGTGGTGGTTGCTGAAGTTTGGGTTTGCTGTGGCAATGAGGTTTGCCACATGATTCGTTCTTCCTTTCATTAAAGATTTCTTTGCAGCATGTGATGCTGTTTGATAGCATTTTACCCACAGTAAAACTTCTTTCAAAATTGTAATCAATTCTCTCACACCATGATGTTGGTTTATCAATTACATTTATGTAATATTCTAAACCCTTTGTAGTCATTTCAACAATGTTCACAGCATCTTCACCAGGAGTAGTTTCCATTTCAAGAAACTACTTTCTTTGCTCATCCATAACAAGTGGCTCCTCATCCATTCAAGTTTTATCATGTGATTGCAGCAATTCAGTCACATCTTCAGGCTCCACTTCAAATTCTAATCTCTTGCTATTTCCACCACATCTGCAGTGACTTCTTCCAGTGAAGTCCTTCTCCCCAAGTGATTCTCCCACCTCAAATGATCCTCAAGTGATCCTCCCACCACAGCTTCCCAAGTAGCTGGGATTATAGGCATGTGCCACCACATCAGTCTTCACTGAAGTCTTGAACCTTTTCAAAGTCATCCATTAGAGTTGGAATATACTTCTTCCAAACTCCTGTTAATGTTGATATTTTGACATCCTCCCATGAATCATGAATGTCTTTAATGGCATCTATAATGGTGGATTCTTTCCAGAAGGTTTTCAATTTACTTTACCCAGATCCATCAGAGGAATCACTATTTATGACAACTATAGCCTTAGGAAATGTATTTCTTAAATAAGACTTGAAAGTGAAAATGACTTCTTCATTCATGGGCTGCAGAATGGATGTTGTCTTAGCAGGCACGAAAACATTATTAATCTTTGTGTACATCTCCATCAGAACTCTCGAGTGACCAGGCGCATTGTCAATGAGCATTAACATTTTGAAAGGAATCTTTTTTCTGAGGAGTAAGCCTCAACAGTGGGCTTAATATATTCAGTGAGCCATTCTGTAAACAGATGTGCTATCATCTAGGCTTTGGCATTCCATTTATAGAGTGCGGGCAAGTAGATTTAGCATAATTCTTAAGTGTCCTTAGATTTTTGGAATAGTAAGTGAGCACTGGCTTCAACTTAAAGTCATGAGTTCCATTAACCCCTAACAAGAAAATCAGCCTGTCCTTTTGAAGTTTTGAAGCCAGGCATTGACTTTTTCCTTTCTGGCCATGATAGCCCTGGATGGCATCTTTTTCCAACAGAAGGGTGCTTTGTTTATATTGAGAATCTATTTTTTAGTGTAGCCACCTTCATCAATGATCTTAGGTAGATCTTCTGGATAACTTGCTAAGGCTTCTACATTAGCACCTGCTGCTTCGCCTTGCACTTTTTTATTATGGAGATGGCTTCTTTCCTTCAACTTCATGAACCAGTCTCTGCTAGATTCCAATGTTTCTTCTGCAGCTTCCTTACCTCTCTCAGCCTTCATAGAATTGAAGAGAGTTAGGGCCTTGTCTGTGTTAGACTTTGACTTAAAGGAATTTTGTGGCTGGTTTGATCTCCCATCCAGACTACTAAAATTTTTTCCATATCAGCAATAAGGCTATTTTGCTCTTTCATCATTTTTGGGTTCACTGGAATAGCAGTTTTAATTTCCTTCAAGGATTTCTTCCTTTGCATTTACAGTTTGGCTGTTTGGCACAAGAGGCCCAGCTTTCAGCCTGTCTTGGCTTTTGGCATGCCTTCCTCACTAAGTTTAATCATTTCTAGCTTTTGATTGAAAGTGAGAGATGTGCAACTCTTCCTTTCACTTGAACACTTAGAGGTCATTGTCAGGTTATTAACTGGCCTCATTTCAATATTGCTGTGTCTCACTGAAGAGGGAGGCCTGAGAAGAGAAAGATTGGGGAACGGCCAGTCAGTGGAGCAGTCAGAACACATACAACATGTATTGATTAAGTCCACTGTCTCTTATGGGTGCAGTTTGTGGCACCCCCATAACAATTACAATAGTAACATCAAAGATCATCATCATGGATCACCATAACAGATATAACAATAATGAACAACTTTGAAATATTGTGAGGATTACCAAAATGTGATAGAGACACAGAGTGAGCACATACTATTGGAAAAATGGTGCCGACACATTTGCCTGACACCAAGTTGCCATAAACCTTAAATCTGTAGAAAGCACAATATTTGTGAGGTACGCTAAATTGAAGTGCAATAAAATAAGATATGCCTATAATTGAAAAATGGGATGGTTTGGTGAAGTAGAAAAAAAGCACATCTGCTGGGCATGGTGGCTCAAACCTGTAATCCCAGCATTTTGGGAGGCTGGAGCAGGTGGATCACGAGGTCAGGAGTTCAAGAGCAACCTGGCCAAGATGGTGAAACCCTATTTGTACTAAAAATACAAAATAATTAGCTGGGCATGGTGGTGGGTGCCTGTAATCTCAGCTACTCAGGAGGCTGAGGCAGAGAATTGCTTGAACCTGGGAAGCAGAGGTTGCAGTGAGCCAAGATCACGCCACTGCACTCCAGCCCGGGCGACAGAGTGAGACTCCATGTCAAGAGAAAAAAAAAAAGCACATCTAATGGGACAGAGTGGGATAGAGTAGAAGGTTGTATCAGAGAGCGTAATTTTCACCTAGAACAGTAAGAGATAAGTTTAAATCAAGGATTGGCAAACTTTCTTTATAAAGGTCCAGGTAGTAAATATTTTAGGCTTTTGGGGCCTTATAATCCCTGTCACAACTACCTTGCTGTTGTGGTGTGAAAACAGCTATAGACCATACATAAATGAATGTATGTGGCTGTGTTTCAATAAATTTTTATTTACAAAAGCATTCAGAGAGCCAGATTTGGTTTGGGAGTCATAGTTTGTGGACCTGTTGGTTTAGATGATCAGAAAGATCACTGAATGGCTTGGAAGGGTCTACCTAACTTGTTTCACTGACTTGCAACAGATTTTTAAAAGATATCAAATAAAACAGCTGAAAGAAGATATAAAGGGAAAGCTGGAATAAAGTAGCCCTATGAAACCCACAACCCCATCACTTTTGTCTCATGGCTGATTATGTGTGCACAACAGTCTTCCTTTTCATGATTTATTAATCTTGTCATGCTTGACATTTATATTCTTACTTCAGAAATACTCAGGGTTGTTTGTTTGTTTGGTAGAAACAACGATTAATCCAACAAACATAAGCCACACTAATAAACCCCACATGGTTTTGCCAAACATATCATAAGACTTAGCTAATCTCATGCTAGCAGCAACCCAAAAGGAAAAGATTTGACTTCTGAAACACATGTGGCAGGGAGAGGGGTCTCTCCAGTTAATCTGTGTGTTTTTGACAAATATTTTACACTCTATACTTCATTATGCACCTATTCAATAAGAACACATTTGATAGTTTTCCAGTTTTGAAATCTATGTGATAACTTTTAACCATATTTGAAAAGGGTATTCGATGCCTTTTCAGAAAAAGGCAATAATATTTTCTACATCCAACTTGCTGCCCAGCCAAATCCACAAACATGGATGTTAGCAGAGAAAGCTATTGTTGGACTGCAGGTGAGATGAGATGATTCTTAACCATCATGATTGTACAACCAATAGGAATTTACTCTGACATTTTGTTTGCTTTTACAATTTGGATGCCCAAATAATTAAAAAGGTAGAATTAAAGAGAAGCCTTTATGTGTCTTGGCTGTCTTTTGGTAAATATATGCTGTTAAATTACATACTAAGCAGGCCAGAGCCTAATGAACAAATTGTGACTCAAAATCATGGAGAAAGACTTAACCTACTGTTTCCTTCTGGTAGGGAAAAGTGTCAGTTAAGAGTGAGTATGAGTGGCAGAATGACAATAGCTTTGTTAACCGCACTGTAGATTAGATGATTGTTGCCTGAAATGTCAGTTCCTGGTTGGCTATAAGAAAATGCCTGTTTCGGCCGGGCGCAGTGGCTCACGCCTGTAATCCCAGCACTTTGGGAGGCCGAGGCGGGTGGATCATGAGGTCAGGAGATCGAGACCATCCTGGCTAACAAGGTGAAACCCCGTCTCTACTAAAAATACAAAAAATTAGCCGGGCGCGGTGGCGGGCGCCTGTAGTCCCAGCTACTCGGGAGGCTGAGGCAGGAGAATGGCTTGAACCCGGGAGGCGAAGCTTGCAGTGAGCCGAGATTCCGCCACTGCAGTCCGCAGTCCGGCCTGGGCGACAGAGCGAGACTCCGTCTCAAAAAAAAAAAAAAAAAAAAAAAAAAAAAAGAAAATGCCTGTTTCTCATTTCACTCACCAGCTTTTCTCCCTTCATTTAAATGGTAATTACACACTTACAATGCACTGCAAGTATCTCTAGTTTTACTGAGTCCTCTGGGAGCTCTAGAAACCCTAGGACTTTCATAATGAGGGATACATTTTTGGAGTTATTTTTTTGCTTGGGAAGATTTTGGTTCTATTAAATTTTTTTTCTATTTTCACTTGCACTTTTTTTTCACTGAAAACCAATACAATTTTTTCCAACTAAATCGGGAGCATTGGTAAAATTGAATAATGACATTCAAGTCATGTAATTTTCAATTACATTTATATCTTAAGTATTTTAATTACCTTGGCAGTTACTGCATACATGCCAGTTTGGTATTGAGTGCCATTTTCTCATAAATAAGTCAGATTAATTTCCATTAATTCTTCCCCCATTTTTTCCCTTTTAAAAATTGTATTCTTAGGCTGGGCTTGGGGACTCACACCTGTAATCCCAGCACTTTGGGAGGCCAACAAGGGAGGACTACTTGAGCTCAGAAGTTCAAAACCAGTCTGAGCAACATGATGAGACCCTGTCTCTACTAAAAAAAATTTTTTTAATTAGCTGGATATGGTAGCATGCACCTATAGTCCTAGCTACTTGAGAGGGTGAGGCAGGAGGATGGCTTGAGCTGGAGAGATGAAGGCTGCAGCAAGCTATGATTATGCCACTGCACTCTAGCCTGGGTGACAGAGTAAGACCCTGTCTCAAAAAAAGTTATATTCTTATTTTATTTTAAAATCTAATGGGTAATTCTAATTCTTCATCTTTCCTTTTTTCCTTCTGCTTTGTGTGCATTGCATTAAGTTCAAGATTCATTTTGGTATTCTGTATCAGTAACTACTTATTTCTCTGGTGTGGTATTTTTTACTGATCTTCTAGAGGTTTCAGGCAAAACTTAATGGTCTGGTGAAATTAACAATGACCAGTACAGAATATGGGTCACTCGATATATTCCTGACCTATTGTTTGTATAAACAATTTTTATTCTTTCAATATCAAGATCACTTTGATGTAAAACTTCATCAAATTCTTGGGAGGACCAGCACTTGTTTTTTGCGAAGTTAGTTATAATAATTAGGCAGTCAATGTATAAAGACAAAAGGTGATCAAAATACAGTGTAGGGATAACATTTTTTTCTGTAAGTGTATGTAGTGATGATTTCTGTGAAAAGCTATCTAAATAAAATAAAACCACGTAAATGAAACCCTGATAATAGTAAGGGCAATGCATTTTTCTCAAGGGACTTCTCCTAAAATGTGACAAGCATTTTTGAGGAGTTAGGGTGGAGTGGGCAGGAGGCTTCTGTAGTTAGGCTCAAAGTTGCATCTGGAGTTTACTAGCTGTGAAACCTAAGGTAAATTGTTTAACATCTCTGAGACTTGATTACCTCATCTGGAATACAGGAAAAATAATAACCATTTTTCAAGGAGGGTTAGGAATAATTTAGGAAAAACTCCTAGAATATAATACATAATCACTAAATGGTGATTCTTGGGCTCTCGGGCAAGGGAAGGAGCCAGGCAAGATAGGGCCATGAAGTAGAAGGAGCTCAATCTCAGGGCCAGAAATATCTTGGATTCTCATCTCTGCCCCAACAGTTTTTCACTGTTTAACACTAAGCAAATTATTTAAATGACTTAAGTATTCCTGTATAAAAGGAAACAATGCTACAAAAGCTGTGTGAGATGTAATTTAAATACCATGTATAAAGCACTTTTTATAGTACCTGACACATAGTAGATGCTCAATAAATGGTTATATTATTACCTATTATGAGCCTATTATGTCACTGTAATTCTAGAGGCGCTGTGAGATCATAAAGAGGAACTTTACAGGGTACCATAAGGCACTTGAGATCTTTCAAGGAAGACAAGCCCTTGAGATAAGTATAAGTTTAGATACTATAAAATATCAGACTGGGCACAATAGCTCACACCTGTAATCCCAGTACTTTGGGAGGCTGAGGTGGGTGGATAGCCTGAGCTCAGGAGTTCAAGATCAGCCTGGACAACATGATGAAACCCTGTCTCTACCAAAAAAATACAAAAAAAATTTAGCCAGGCATGGTGGTGGTGCACGCCTATAGTCCCAGTGACTTGGGGGGCTGAGGTGCAACGATTGCTTCAGCACAAGAAGCAGAGGTTGCAGTGAGCTGAGATTGCGCCACTGCCTCCAGTCTGGGCAACAGTGAGAACTCGTCTCAAAAAAAAAAAAAAAAAGAAAAGAAAAGAAAAAATATTTCTACAGTAAGTTCCATGTTAGGCACCTAAGAGTTGAGTTAAAGCCTAAAGAACTCATGTAGTACATGGAGATCAAATAAGGCTTAATGGAGGTATCATGGTCTCCTACCTGAGCTTCAAGAATGTACAGTTTATCAACAGGCAGATTGGAGCTGCTAGGGGAGGAAATTTTCAGGGGAGGACATTTTCGGGGGAGGAATCAGAATAAACAGTAGACATGAAGGTGAAAAAGTACAGATTATACCTGAGCAATAGTAAATAAATTCTGCTATTCACTTACAGTATAAGGAACAGGTAAGGTGAGAACGTAACAGCTGACACTTTTTGGGCATTTATAATATTCTGGGCACTGTTCTAAGGACTTTACATGTGTTAACTCATTGAAACCTTACAACAATCCCTTGAGGTAAATCCTAATATTAGCCGTACTTTAAGACAAGGAAACTAAGCCTTTATATTGCCTTTATGTGAGATAGACAATGGTGCCACTTACTTTGAGGCTGTAGAAGCCCTGTGCTGAAACGTAGCGTGGTGAATGGTATGTGGACTATGCTTCCACACTCACTCATCCCTCAGCCAGCCTTGTGCCGGGACCCTCAGCCTAGACATGTGTGCGCAGTGGCCCTGCTCAATGTCGCACAGGTGAGGTGAGCAATCTGGCTTCAGAGGCTGAGCTTTCAATCATGACTCTGTGATGAGAAAGGCACTTGGGCCTTATTTGTGGGGAATCTTGAAATCTCCACATAGGGATATGAACTTTATTTTAAAGATGACATGGAAATATAGCCTTTATTTTGAAGGAATGTGAAGGCTTTTTTTTTTTTTTGGAGGGGCGGACAACAGCATAATCAGATTTGTAAGGAAACATACCTTGATGGTGTTATTGGGGGGATGGGGAAGTGGGTTGGGTGGGTGGTTTAAAGAAGGAAAGATTCAGTCAGGAAAACCAGTCAGGAGGAGACTGCTAGGCATTAAATTGAGCACAGATGAGAGCCCAAACAAGGGTGGTAGCACTGGAAACTGGGAAGAAGTGACAGACTTGAATGACATTCAAGTTAGAATTGGCAAGTCCTGGTGATCATTTAGAAGTAGGGAGTGAAAAAGAGTCCCTGGAAGAGACCCCAAAGTCTCCACTGTGGGTGGCTGGAAGATACGGATGCTGTTAATATAAAGGAGGAAAACAGGAGGAAGGGCAAGAAAGTTTTGGTGAGAAGGATGAAGTCTGCATGTTGAATTAGTAGTGATAGCAAGACATGCATGTAGTAACTCCAACCAGAAGCTGGAATTGTGAATCTGGAGCTGGGGATATTTGCGCTAGAGACCTAGTGAGGAAACAGTTTACAAACATGAAGCCAGGGGTGTGGGTGAGAGTGACTGTGGAGTGGACCCTTCAAGATAGCCTTAATATAAAGTGTGGATAGAAGTTGTGATTTCCCGCAAGAAGCTGGAGGCTGGGACTCACAGGGCAAGTGGGCTGGGACACACAGTGCTGAGGTGCAGTATAAGGGTGGTCAGGAGCACCAAATGCAGAGTGCAAGCAAACATTGTTCATATGCATAACCTATTAATATTTGTAAACTACAGTAATGCTTTTAAAATCTTAGGATGTTTCAAGGTACTAAGACGCACTTCACTAAATAATAGGTCCTATAGTAGCTGAAAATAGATTGTAGCTTTCCAAAGTGCCTTGAATTGCAGGATGCATTTTACATACTAAGAGAAGAATCATATACCATAAATGTTTTCTTTTACAAGACAGTGGCTACCTGGGAGCATCATGTAGAGATGTCATCTGAGCAATGAATGTCCAGGCTCAGTGGGAAAGAGCACTGGGATCTGTAGCAATATCTGCCCTGTGTGGAAGGGCGGGGACCACTGTGCCTAAATTGGCTTTCCCTCAATTAAAGGCTTTCCAAGGTACTGTTAAAATTAAATTTCTATGATTGTCAGTGCCTAGTTTATCACACATATTTACATATTATCCGAAAAGAAAAAACAAAAGAAAAAAAAGTGCAAATTGACTCCTTATAATTTTGTGGTAGCACAGCTCTGCAGTAGCCTAGATTTATGAAATGATGCTAAATGTCAGGCTCTCTAGAGTGAATGAATGAAAAAAAATGATATGCCTTCAATAGGATAAATAAGGGAGAATCATGTACACACCTTTAACTCAGCCCTTTCCTAATACGAGCTTTATTTGTGTGTGTGTGTGTGCACGCACATGCATGCATGTATGTTTGCCTGTGTCTATGTGTGTGTCTTTAGTTGTTTGGGACTTTGGATAAATATTCTAATGGAAGTATGGTAGGAATGTGTGAAGAAAATTGAAGGTAATTGCTTCTTACTGAAAGAGGAAGAAAAGTTTTTGAAGTTTCTCCAGTTCAAGAACTTTTATTATAGAAATCCACAGGCAGGCAATGTAAAAAAGCAAATGCTGTGTGAAATTATTCACCGAGGAGATGGTAACCATATCAATAAAGTTTTGGAGGAGACTTTCCACTGTTCTATGTAAATAACTGTGTTGCAGCTTTTGTTTTATGAGTACTCATTATCATAGAAATTTACTGTTTTTAGTCTTGAAAATGTGGTGCTTAAAAACTTGGAAAATACCACTGTAATTAAATATCTATTGGAGTTAACTCTGGAATACCGTAATTTTGTTTTGCAGACATCGGAGCTATAATCTTTTGTATTTCTTCTCTTTACTCTGTTGTCAGAACTTACACCAGTCATCATCTCTGTGACAATACAAGCCCCTTGAGGGCAAGGACAGTATTTTTTTTTTTTGTAATCACTGTGCCATTGGCACCACCTGGTATAGTGTCTGGCCTCTCTTTAGTCTCCTCTAACTTTTCTTCTTCTTGTCCACTGATGTTTTCAAGAGTCAACTTTCATAACCCCTCTTAGGAAAGTGTAAGATATAGTGCCTGCCATCAAAAAACTTAAAATCTAGTTGCTGAGAGGATAGCCCCCAGAAACAGATAATAAACAAGTGTTACTAATAACTTAGAGAACAGATATACTGTAATTTTCACAGTAACTTTTAAACCTTGATTGCATCTTTATTCCCTTTTTAGCCATGGCTGAATTCCTTAGTGATATAGGAAAGGACCTTCACAATTTGGGCTCAAGAGATAGAACAATGGATAATGACCCTGCCATTACTATTTTCTGTGCACAGTTAATATCTCTTTTTCCGTATGGTTGGTCTCACCATTTTCTTTCTGATAAGAGGCGCTTGCACCAATTCCAGGTATTTATTTATAATGTAGTTAAAACTCTTAACTTTTTTTCAAACCTTATTTCCACTGCCATCTCCAAACAATTTTTACTGGTTTTCCTTAAGCAGATGTTGTCTCTTTCCTCTGGAATTGCCAGCTCGCTTTACTTTTCCCTCTCTCCTCATACTCATCTTAAGAGGGAAATTGTGTTTTACTCAATAGAGTATAGAATCCCAGCTCTATCACTTACTGTTTGTGATATCTTGGGCATATTATTAACCTCTCTATGTCTCGGTTTCTTCATCTGTAAAATAGGGATTAAAAATAATTGGTTGTTCACATGGTTGTGGTGATACAATGAGCTAACATATTGCTACAGATCACTGTGTTCCTTCCACTCAGCCTGGGCATTGCTCAGAATACTTCTCTATATGATACTTTGCACATAATAAACACTCAGTAAATAGCAGCTGCAATAGCAGCACCTTATAGTTCTTGACATAGAGTCGTTATACATGTTGACTTGAATAGTAATGATAAGATTGAGTAAGTGATAAGATTATTTTTCTCTGGATCAGATAAGAATAAAGGGAGTCAGAAAAAGATAGCTCCAAGTAGAATGGAGCTGATTAAATAAACATTTATTGAGCTTTTGCCTTGTGCCAGGCATTGGGAATATAAGTTGTACAACACAGGCGATGCTCTCTGCCCTTGTGGAGCTTATATTCCTAGGTGGATACAAAAAAAAGTGAAGAGCAAAGCCAATAATTTAAAATTGTGGCACTGCTGGGAAGAAAAGAAGGGAGTAAAATTAGGGGAAAGAAGGGTGGAGAATGTACTTGCAATAACTAGGAAAGGCCTATTTATTGAAGGAGTAGGGTTTCAGCAAAGACAAAAATAGAATAAGGAGTCAGCTAGAAGACAAGTGGGAGAAGGGACGAACCGGGTGGAGGCTCCAAGGAGAGACAGAGCTTGGGGTGTTAGAGAAACTGGAAGTTCTTTGTGGCTATAGAAATATTCGGGGATAAGATTATGTCAGGATTTATTGGCCATTCTAAAGAGTTGGGGTTGCAGTAGACTGAGAGGTGTGATGTTCAGCTGAGCTTTAGACTATAAAAATGTAGAGAAATATTTGGAAGTAGACATTTGAGATGGAAGAGCAAAGACATGGGGTTGTGACTAACAATAGTGTCAAGGAAGACAAGAAGTAGTCTGTTGAAATGGAGGAGTTGCACTGGGGAATAAGAAAAACAATTGTCTTTTGGACGATATTATTCTACAGAACAGCTGCTGCTTTACAGTAACAGACTTTGACAGGACTTCTTTCTTAGCAGATGAAAAGTTGAACTGATGTGGTGACCTTTTGGAATAGATGGTTTCTTTACTGCCAAGTTGAACCCTTTCTGGGAATATTTGTGTTGAGTGAGCTTTCTAACCTTAGTGCAGGGTGAGTCAATGAGATCCTTCATGAACATTCCCTTTCGTGTTGGCAGAAGGAAATAAATCGTTTATGTTAGTTTGGGTAATTGAAGAAGCTTGTCATTTCCAATTTACTCTGGTGTATGTGGCTAATTTAAGTTGATAATCATTAACCATGTACAGCTTTTCAAGGGATGAATCAGGAGTTGGAAAACATTACATTTCTGTAAAAATTGGTGTAACGGCCTTGAACTTAAGCTTTCTAGTTTGAAGGTGAAACTTGAGAGTTAGCACTGTATTGTATTTCCAATAATGAATGTGTCTTTTTTCTTTCAGGCTTCCTTCAGGATTTTAATCATCCTTACAGCCTCTTTGAGAATGATTGAACTTCCAAATTCCCTGAAGTTAAAATTTTAAATTCTATTAAACATTTTTTCGAGTATTTCATTACTTTTACATTATGACTTGTACAGTAATTTGAGATCATAAGGGTTGAAAAATATCTTCAAATAAGTTTTTATAGTTAAAATTTTTTTGACTTTTCAAAAGTTCTTCTTCCTAGCTCATTTCATAATCTTCAAATGTAGATTCTCTTTGAACATAAAGTGGTATAAATATAGAATGTTCAGGCACCTGACGTATAAATTTACATACGGTTTGAAGATTGGAGGGTATACCCTGTGATAGTGTCTGACATTGTTATTTTCTCGTCAGTGTTACCAGACAGTAAATAAATACTTCAATTCTGCCAGGGGAGGTGGCTCACGCCTGTAATCCCAGCACTTTGGAGGCCGAGGTGGGCAGATCATGTGGTCAGGAGTTTGAAACCAGCCTGGCCAACATTGTGAAACCCTGTCTCTACTAAAAATATAAAAATTAGCTGGGCATGGTGGCACATGCCTGTAATCCCAGCTACTCAGGAGGCTGAGGCAGGAGAATTGCTTGAACCTGGGAGGTGGAGGTTGCAGTGAGCCGAGATTGTGCCACTGCACTCCAGCCTGGGTGACAGAGCAAGACTCCATCTCGGAAAAAAAAAATCAATTATAATTTTGTTTACATGTATTATTACACAAAATGGTCCATTATTCAGAAGCCTCCCATTTGAGGTAATGATTGGTATTATTAGGATCTTTTGATGAAATCTTGGTTGAATTGATGATAATATGTTTTTAAAATATATAGATGTTTTTATTTCCCAAATAAAAGAAATAAAGACTCTTTACAATTTAAGGAGAATATTAGAGAATTTTTAAAATAGGTCAGGCACGGTGGCTCACGCCTGTAATCTCAGCACTTTGGGAGGCTGAGGCAGGCAGATCACTTGAGATCAGGAGTTCAAGACCAACCTGGCCAACATGGTGAAACTCCATCTCTACTAAAACTACAAAAATTAGCTGGGTGTGGTGGTGGGTGCCTGTAGTCCCAGCTACCCAGGAAGCTGAGGCAGGAGAATCACTTGAACCTGCAAGGCGGAGGTTACAGTGAGCCAAGATCCCACTGCTGCACTCCAGCCTGGGCGACAGAGCAAGACTCCGTCTCAAAGAAACAAACAAAAAATAAAAAATAAAATAAAATTATGCCAGACTTGTTTCAATATCAATAGTTCTTCATTAAAATTCAGTAATGTTCTGTTATATTCATTAATAATTATTTCACCAACTTCTTTTTCATAACTTCCACTTGTTAGGCAAAATTTGGAAGAAGAAAGTATAAGTGTATATTTGATATTTTTGCTATTTGCAGTACTTTGATATAAAATAAACATGACTTCAGGTGAGCTTGAGAGTACAGGGCATGTGATATTAAAAATTGTAAGAAAAAAGTGATCCACTTTCATAGTGGTGGTGAATGAAGCTGGATTTTATATATATTAAAAGTATTCCTTAAAGATATCAAGGCTGGAATTGCTTGAGCTAGGAAAAACTAAATTTTTCTGTTTGTAACTCCAGCAAGACAGATCTTACATTGGATCAAAGATTGATTTCTCTACTAGAAATTTTGACTTTGGTTAAGGAGCTGAAATAGCAATGTGGAAATAAGTAAGCTCTTTTGTTCCACCAGAATCTCAGAACTTCCTCTGCCTTTGCCCCCATTAAGTAAGGCCATCTAGACAACTGAGTTTGTTTCTCCTGTCTCGAGTTTCCCTTAGTTGTTTCTGGGAGTTTGTCCTCACTTAAGAGTGGATGCTGAACCTCACTGTGAATGGAGGATGTCTTATAGTACTCTCAGTTTGCCTTTATGGTTATCTTGGTGATAGTTTTTTTCAGTAACATTCTTGGGGGATATGCATGCTGGGTAAATCATTCTGTCTCATTTGTCTGTTGGAAATACAGTTCTGGCACTAAGATATGGTGAACAGACAGATGGAGGCCACAACATTCAAGCTTTATTAAACTTGCCACAGGTTAGAGCTTTAATCTCCTAATTCTAGATAAAGGTGGGATGCTTACACGTAGAAAAATTAGGAAGAATAACTGGAGGTTGTACTTATTTTGACTATTTATAAGATTACCAGCCGGGAGTGGTGGCTCACGCCTGTAATCCCAGCACTTTGGGAGGCTTAGGTGGGAGGATTGCTTGAGGCCAGTTGTTTAAGACCAACCTGGGCAACAAAGTGAGGCCCCTTGGAATGTATATACGAAAAAAAAAAAAAGTCATTGCTAGATTTAAGTATATTTTATTTTTTTAGAGGGATTAATATCTCAAAAGCATGTTAACTTTTAGAATATTAAAAGTATATCTAGTTTTTCTTAATTCCCTACTTGTAGATATTTTCACATACTTTTCAAAATCTCATTAATTGATGGTTTGGGGAGAGTTTCATTTTTTTTCTCTTTTCACCATAGGAAATTCTGATTTGTTTTCTTGGCTCAAAACAATTCAGATAGACTGTGTTATCCTCTGTAGAATATCATGTCACCCTCAATAAATCATGAAAAAAAATCATCCTTTAATTACACAACCTGAGTATGGCCTTTAATTTCTAATCATCTGAAAAAATGCATAATCATCTTTAAGTAAAAGAAATGAAAAACATTAAGCCATAGTAAGAACTTTTATTTTATTTCCATTACAACAGAAGTTTTTAAATTAATTTCTTCATGACTGGCTCTAATCAATTCATTTTAGAATCTAACACGATTCTATTCACAAAAATTATTTAGTTTTTCCAGTTTTTAAATATTATTTTATATAGCCGTATTTAGTAATTATTGATAATCCTAATTACAAAATACACAATACTATTTCCAAATGATTAAATTTTGGATTTTTTGTGTTAAATGAAATTATTAATAACCTTTTTTTTCTGTTTTGGGTGACTTTTTTCTTTCATCACCTATCAATCAGTGAATCTAAGAAAGTAAAGTGCAAATCAGCTGACTGCCTTTGAAGAAAAATAATTTGAGATGAGAATAAGTTGATAGTGTAGTAATAAGGTCTAGTGATAGCTTTCCCAGGAGATAACTTATGCAAAAATGATGGAGGTCTGCCCATCATTGCATATAGAATGCTGACATTCTTGATTTTAATAGGAAAGCATTTATCTTTTGCACCTGCTCCAGTATATGAATAGCTGTCACGTATTTCAACAAAAGAGAAGAAAAACTGTCACTATGATTTAAGAAATATGCATTGGTGTAAGAAAAAGTGAAATATTTTGAGCAGCTAGAATTTATTTTTCTTGCTCTATTATGCCTCGTTTCTACAATGAATTATTTAAGCTTTGTTTAATCGTATTAGTATTTTCCTGTTGAGTTCATCAGTATGACTTCATCATTATAGAAAGGTCCTTGAATTATTAAAGAGTGCCTGTGTGCATGCTTTAGGAGTAAAAGGTTAGTGCATTTATGATTTCTAAGTTTTCAGTGATATGCAACAAAATGAAGCATCTGGCTAAAATGTAAATGTCATCTTTGGGAGAATTACATCATGAAGACATAAAATTTAAAGTTGATAACATTAAAATTTATTCCTAAAATTTCACTAATTAAAATAAAACAACTAAAAAATAGAATAAAATGTATTTTGAAATTGATATTAAAAAACAAAAGTTTATTACAGGTTTTTAGATTCTTGATATGTTGACCATGGAGCAGAGCCTTTAAATGTGTTAAAAACATTGAAATGCTACTGCCTTTTCACATTTTTATTTCTAAATATTACCACTTTTCTGGGTAAAATTATGAAGGAAGCCTATTAGATCTTTTTTACATTTCTGTTTTCCCAGCAGGTGTTTCCCTTCATGGCATTTTACATGCTGATTTTTCTTCTGCTTCCTTTCAGTTTTAATTTTCATTTTATAAATATGCAGGAGATTTTATGATTATACACACCCAAACCCATGCATAGGGTTTATACATGTATAAAGTATAGCTGTAATTTAATTTGGCTCATCTTTTAACATACTAAAATGAAGTACCAAAAGTAATTTT
The DNA here is from genome assembly GCF_000001405.40 of Homo sapiens. Lineage (NCBI taxonomy): Eukaryota > Metazoa > Chordata > Mammalia > Primates > Hominidae > Homo > Homo sapiens. Next base: position 90,517,375 of record NC_000007.14, read on the forward strand.
TCCCCTTGAGAGTGTTCACTATTGGACATTATTCACTTATTTTGGCATTCCTAATATTATTTAAAATGTCTTTGGACCTCTTCCTTTGCAATATTCTTAACAATCTGCAGAACATTTGAAAGATGTACATCTTCATGGTGGCAGGTCATCATTCTTTAAGGATGGTTGAGAAATGGAAACATAGAATTTGTTTTTGAAATAGCAGAAAGGCATTCAGAGCCATATGTGATGAACAGGTAATTGATTGTTTTAGAGCATCCATTTTTGGTCAAAGTCAGGGCTAGGCTATAAAGAACTAATTGTGTGCATGGGAGAGGAAAAATGAAAAGGCAGCAAGGAAAAGGAGGGGCCAAACTGACTGTGATAACAATTTAAAAAGAAAAATCTGAAATGGCTTCAGCAGTTGTTCAAAAAGCATAGGGCTTTCCACGGTGACTATTTTGAAAGCATAGCAATCATTTGGAAGTACTGGCAACCCATGAAGCACTGAGATTTTATGATTTTCATTTATGCTTCTGAGTCCATTATATCCATATTAGGATTTAAAATGAACAGCATATAAATTAAAGCTGACTCTGATGAATTCTTCCTAAGGCCCTTCTATCCACCCAGCAACAGTCTGGCCAAAAACCTTACTCCCCACCAGGTACCATTCTGTTTGATTCTTACTGGGGAGACACTTGTTAGCTTTGTTGAATTACTGGAAACTCTTCATTTGCATAAATAATGCTGAATCAAGAAAATCCAGAAAATGTCAGCTTTGGACAGAGAGAACAAAGTAAATTTAGAAAAGAGAAAGGAGCCTAGGTTCCGAGATAGTCACCATTCTAACCAGAATTTTGGGTGGTGTTTACACCCAAGCTACCATCTGGTGAGGGATCAAAAATGACCTATTTAATAACAGCTGCTAGCATGTCTTACATCAGGTGATTGAATGATATACTTGGAAATAGAAGATCGAGTTTTAGATTTAGGAGACCTTAGTTCAACTTAGTTTCCTTAGTTCAGCTTTGACATTGTTATTGGTGATCGTGGCAAGTTACTTCAAGAAAATGGTGGTTTTCTCATTTTTTAAATGAATCATTTGAGATAGATACTAGCACATTTATTTTATAGATAAGAAATTTTTTAAACAAGGCAAAATAAACTGCCCAAGATTATGTGATTTTCAGAGTGGAGACAGGATTTCAAGCACACAGCTTTTGTCTCATAAGAAGCTGATTCTTTGTGAGATAGCAGCTCAACCTTTTCCTTTAAATATGTATAAAATCATTCAATAATTGGTTATCATGCCATAAAAGACTTCCCCGTCAGTGAAACTGAATAGTTCTGGAGAAAAATGCTTTCTCAACTATACACCCATCAACCAGAAGAACCCATGCTTGGTTTTAAAGTTAAGGATAGGTTTACTTTTTATTACCCTTTTGTTTGGTTTGAATACTTCCAGTGATTTCCAGCTCAAATGTTTACTTTGTTCATCACCATAAAAAAATCCCAAAACACATAGATTATATTAAGGGCAGTCTTCTAGTCTGCCCTTAGAAGAAATCAAATACTGAAACCCTAGGGAATCTGGTTCCATTCTTAGGCTTTATGTCCCATGTTGAATCCTAACACCATTTGAAAGCTTACTATGTACAAAACATTATAGGTTGTTGATAATAATTGCAATAGCAACATTGCATGTAAAAATATTACAAAACCTCAGTGGACATCATGCACTATGGATACATATTCTACTGGAAGGAAGGATGTTTTCATATTCTCTTGCATAAACTTGCTGCTCTAGCCTATAGACAGAGATTATTTCATCTTTAAAGATAATTAAAACAGAAAAAAAATAATGGAATGTTTATAAACATCTGCAATTGCCAATATGGTTTTTTGTTTTATGTTTGTTTTTTGCCACAGGAGAGCAGAAGAAAAAACTTACAGTTCAAAAATGCTTAATCAAGTGTTGTTGATTCTCTAAAATTTCTCCTCAAAGATGCCTGGCAAAATATCTCCAAAAGAGCTTTTAGCATTCTATAATCATGCATTCTGATTTGTTGCTCTAAGGGAAAAAAATAAAATCTAGAATTGCTTAAACGGTAGAACTATTTGCAATATTTTATAAAATTGAGCTATATTAAGTACAGTGTTACAAGATGGTTACTATATTGTACTATTTAGTAAATACTTTCTGATGTCTTAGAGTATATACCATTTGGTTTAAAGATAAGTACATTTTGAATATATGAATGATAAACATAGCATTTTGCTAACTATTAAAATGTTGACCCTCAGATCCTTAGTCAAGATAAAACTTTTACCATATTTTTCCTTTGAGGATAAAAGAACAAACTTGCATTATTATTATTAGCTTATGGAATAAAAAGAATAAAATTTTATGTAACTTTAAATTAACAAGGCATTGTCGCATTATAATTCAATGAGTTAGGCTTTTTCCTTTCTCCATATCCTTCTTCCTTCACCTCCTTCATTCTTCTTTGTTTGGGTAACCATATGCCCCAAATTGCATAAGAAAGTCTCAATTTATGCCTGTTGTCTTAGTGTAATTAAAAATACAACATCCTCAAATAAACATGTGAAAACATATTTACCATCATTAGTCACTAGGAAAATGCAAAATAAAGCCAAGTTCAGATACTCACTAGAATGGTTAAAATTTTTTAAACCGTCCATACCAGTTGTTGACAAAGATGTAGAGAAACTTTAATTTCACCCATTTCTGTAAAGAACCTAAAATCGTGCAACCACTTTGCAAAATCAACAGTTTCTCAAAAACTTAAATACAGCTACCAGTGGTAACTCAGCCATTCTACTCCTAGATATTTACATAAGAAAAATGAGTACATATGTCCATACCAAAACTTTTCCATGAATGTTTATAGAAGCTTTGTTTATAATAACCCAGAACTGGAAATCCAAATGTACATCACCAGGAGAATGGATAAACAATTTATAGTATATCTATACAATGGAATACTACTCAGAAATAAATAGGACCAAACTATTGATACCACAACATGTAAGAATCTCTAATTGTGTGAAAGAAGTCAAATGAAAAGGGACATAATGTATAATTCTGTTTGTATAAAATTCTAGATAATGCAAACTATAGTGACAAAAACCAGGTCAGTGGTTGCCTGGAGATAGGAAGTAGGGAATGAAAGGAGGAATTACAGAGAGGCACAAGGGATGGTGGATATGTTTATCATCTTGACTGTGGCAACAGTTTCACGGGTGTATGTCAGAACTCACCAAACTGTGCGACTTAAATTTGCAGTTCATTGCGTGTCATTTATGTCTCATTCAGGCTGTTAAAATAGCGCCACCTTTTGCTTTCAAAAGTATCACAGTTTAAATGCTGGTAAAAGTCTATTTCTTGATCTAAATGCTGGTTTAATAGATTTTTAAATCTGGGTGTTAATTTCATAGTTTACTCGGTTTGCAAAAATCCACTCAAAATATGTGCACTTTTCTACACATATATTAACTTCAACTCACCTTTTTCCTCCAAAAAGCCTAAAAGATTCCCTGAGGGGGATATGCAGAAAATGTCCCAACTAGACAATAAATTACAAGGACACCCTATTGTTTTTCATTTTCAACTTCAGAAACAAGAAAACTAAGATTAGAAACAACTTTCAAAAAGCCACAAAAATAGGAAATATGTCAGTGGAGACTTCAACTAGGGAATTTTTTGCTTGAAAGTCTATATGCTTTCCTGTGTTTTTTAGGTCAGTGAAAGAACTGGCCTATCTTTAATAAAGGTTTGTTATGTTAAAAACCAATCATCCTTCTGTAATCCCTTGGCCCCCTTTAGGAGGCCAAGGTGGGTGGATCACTTGAGGCCAGGAGTTCAAGACTGGCCTGGCCAACATAGCAAAACCCCATCTCTACTAAAAATACAAAAAATTAGCTGGGGCATGGTGGCACATACCTGTAATCCCAGCTACTTGGGTGGCTGAGACATGAGAATCACTTCAACCCTGGGGGCAGAGGTTGCAGTGAGCTGAGATTGCACCACTCTACTCCAGCCTGGACAACAGAATGAGATTCTGTCTTAAAAAAAAAAATCATCCTTATTCCTTATGATCACCTCTGTACACTCATATAATTCCTGACAATTCACATCAGATTCCTTCTCAGTTAAAGAATAACATTTATTTCCATAATTAGAGCACATTTTGGGACACAAAGCAACTGATCCTTGTCAGTTATCACAATGGTGCACATATGGTCTTTGGGACAAGGAACTATAATAGGAAGTGTTTTATGGAAACAAAAGACTTCCCACTAATGGAGAGAATATAATTCTGACCATAGAATAAAATGGCCAATAGGAGAAAATGATATATTCATCAGTATTTTGAGATACAATAAACAATTATGAAGAAAAACCCATGCGCCAATGGAGAGTTTTACATATTTTGGTGGCAATAACTCCGTGGAAAATCTTTTCTCTGTGGAAGATTATTGATTACCATAATAAAAAGAAAGAAAGAAATGAGCTTTTGATATTAAATAGCCATTTGGTTTAGAAATAGACATAAAACAATGAATTGATTTTAAAGTAATAAGGCTCATATAATTTTAATAATCCCACCCCAAATATTAAGTTGTATTATTAAGGTCCTTTGCATGCAGTAGACCTTCAAAGTGGTGTAGACTAATTCCAGTTCATGGCCAGTTTAGCTTAAGGAGAGGGAGGGAGAGGGTAATAAGGCAGGCAGGGAAGAAAAAGAAAACGATAGCCACAGCAGAGCAAGAGACAGCTGAGTAATGCTCTGCAGGTTTCTGAAATGTTATTCCCAGTGATCTTCAGCTGTTACTTAAGGCTTTGGGCCCCTTATATAGTGTAGAAGTTTCTTTTGGTTGCCTACCCAATATCTCTTTCTTTACACACAGGTGCTAAAATGCCCCTGATTTTGTTTAAGTAGCTACCGTTCTCCATATGGCCATATATTTGAGGGAGGCTGACCTGATTTTTTTTTTTTTATTATACTTTAAGTTTTAGGGTACATGTGCACATTGTGCAGGTTAGTTACATATGTATACATGTGCCATGCTGGTGCGCTGCACCCACTAACTCGTCATCTAGCATTAGGTATATCTCCCAATGCCATCCCTCCCCCCTCCCCCCACCCCACCACAGTCCCCAGAGTGTGATATTCCCCTTCCTGTGTCCATGTAATCTCATTGTTCAATTCCCACCTATGAGTGAGAATATGCAGTGTTTGGTTTTTTGTTCTTGCAATAGTTTACTGAGAATGATGATTTCCAATTTCATCCATGTCCCTACAAAGGACAGGAACTCATCATTTTTTATGGCTGCATAGTATTCCATGGTGTATATGTGCCACATTTTCTTAATCCAGTCTATCATTGTTGGGCATTTGGGTTGGTTCCAAGTCTTTGCTATTGTGAATAATGCCTCAGTAAACATACGTGTGCATGTGTCTTTATAGCAGCATGATTTATAGTCATTTGGGTATATACCCAGTAATGGGATTGCTGGGTCAAATGGTATTTCTAGTTCTAGATCCCTGAGGAATCGCCACACTGACTTCCACAATGGTTGAACTAGTTTACAGTCCCACCAACAGTGTAAAAGTGTTCCCATTTGTCCACATCCTCTCCAGCACCTGTTGTTTCCTGACTTTTTAATGATTGTCATTCTAACTGGTGTGAGATGGTATCTCATAGTGGTTTTGATTTGCATTTCTCTGATGGCCAGTGATGATGAGCATTTTTTCATGTTTTTTGGCTGCATAAATGTCTTCTTTTGAGAAGTGTCTGTTCACATCCTTCACCCACTTTTTGATGGGGTTGTTTGTTTTTTTCTTGTAAATTTGTTTGAGTTCATTGTAGATTCTGGATATTAGCCCTTTGTCAGATGAGTAGGTTGCGAAAATTTTCTCCCATTTTGTAGGTTGCCTGTTCACTCTGATGGTAGTTTCTTTTGCTATGCAGAAGCTCTTTAGTTTAATTAGATCCCATTTGTCAATTTTGTCTTTTGTTGCCATTGCTTTTGGTGTTTTGGACATGAAGTCCTTGCCCATGCCTATGTCCTGAATGGTAATGCCTAGGTTTTCTTCTAGGGTTTTTATGGTTTTAGGTCTAATGTTTAAATCTTTAATCCATCTTGAATTGATTTTTGTATAAGGTGTAAGGAAGGGATCCAGTTTCAGCTTTCTACATATGGCTAGCCAGTTTTCCCAGCACCATTTATTAAATAGGGAATCCTTTCCCCATTGCTTGTTTTTCTCAGGTTTGTCAAAGATCAGATAGTTGTAGGTATGCGACGTTATTTCTGAGGGCTCTGTTCTGCTCCATTGCAAGGCTGGTTCAATATACGCAAATCAATAAATGTAATCCAGCATATAAACAGTGGCCTGATTCTTAGTAGATAAATCCTAACTGCTCTATGGCACTCTCACTTTACTTCCAGTCACTGTTCTAGAAAGGACACATAACTCAATTCTTACCATCCAGAAATGAGAAATCTGCTGGAAGCTTTTAGAAAAGGTTCCCCCACTCTTAAGACACAAGGAAGACACCTTCCTCTTCCTCAGCTGGACATTATTGTGTCTGAAAGTCATTTCCAGATTTGCTGTAGTTACTTTCTTATCATGAGATAAGTAAGTCTATGGGAAAAGTTGATACGTTAAGGACAGAACTGAAAAATACGTCCTTGATGATGTCATTGAACTACGGAATTATCGAATTCTAGAGTTGCTACTAGCCAACCAAGTGACCTTGAAGGATTGTTGTGAGCCTATGTTGCCTATGAAATAAGAAGGATAAATTATTTACTTGATCCATCTGGGACCCTTCAGCTCTATCATCATTCTATGGTTCTCACAATGTACAAACCATTTCACTGAAGTTACTGAATACTTCTTGCCGGCGAAAATATATAATCCAGAGAATGCAAATATCAGTGAGCTCTAACATGAATTTGTCAGTGTAATTTCTGGGAATATGAGTTTTAAAAGTTGCCTGAGGCCATGCTCTTAAAAGATTTCTAGGCATTCTAAATATCACAAGCTCATATGTGCTTACTGTTGATACCGTGTGAAAAATAATTGGTAAGAAGCTGGAGTAAGTGCTGTGCTGCAGAATCTAGGCTGGAACTCTTGATGTTCTTGTTATATTTATTACAATATAAAAGAAGAGATGGGCTACTCCAGGTAAGCTCACCTCACTCATTTTTTGGGGGCCATTATACCTTCATACTGAGGTATTTTATAAGTTGGTGATTTTCACACTACTCTGACTTTACAATTTTGAAGTTTCAGCTTAAATGAGATGAAATGAAATTGTTCTTTGTGCCAGGAGTTAACAGGGACTATTCTCTTTTGCTTTCAATGGTGTTGCTGCTACTACCTAACTGTTAACTTATATCCAGTGTTTTAAAACCATTTCATGTTGGTCTGGTTTTGTTGGTGGTGTTTCAGAATTGCTGAACTTTTCAATAGTCTACTGACATTTGTTTTCAAAACCAATAAAGGAGGGGGATGATTCTTGCATCAAGTGGTATTTTAAGCTAAATGATCTCCAAGGCCTTATCCCACTCTTGAGAATTCCTCAGAAGTAAACATTTTCCTCAGTGGATTTTTTTTCTATTTATTTATTTATTTATTGAGATGGAGTTTCCCTCTTGTCACCCAGGCTGGGATGCAATGATGCGATCTTGGCTCACTGCAACCTCCATCTCCCGGGTTCAAGAGATTCTCCTGCCTTAGCCTCCCAAATAGCTGGGATTACAGGCACCCGCTACCATGCCCGGATAATTTTTGTATTTTTAGTGGAGACAGGGTTTCACCATGTTGGCCAGGCTGGTCTTGAACTCCTGATCTCAGGTGATCCACCTGCCTCAGCCTCCCAAAGTGCTGGGATTACAGGCGTGAGTCACCACATCTGACCTTTTTTTTTTCTATTTAATAAAACAACTATTAATGTTTCAAAATTATTGATAGAAAAGGAAGTGCTTTTTTAGTCTTTTTTTTATTATTATACTTTAAGTTCTAAGGTACATGTGCACAACATGGAGGTTAGTTACATATGTATACGTGTTCCATGTTGGTGTGCTGCACCCAGCAACTCATCATTTAACATTAGGTAGATCTCCAAATGCTATCCCTTCCCCCCACCCCACCCCACAACAGGCCCTGGTGTGTGATGTACCCCTTCCTGTGTCCATGTGTTCTCATTGTTCGATTCCCACCTATGAGTGAGAACATGCAGTGTTTGGTTTTCTGTCCTTGTGATAGTTTGCTGAAAATGATGGTTTCTAGCTTCATCCATGTCCCTAAAAGGGACATGAACTCATCCTTTTTTATGGCTGCATAGTATTCCATGGTGTATATGTGCCACATTTTCTTAATCCAGTCTATCATTGTTGGACATTTGGGTTGGTTCCAAGTCCTTGCTATTGTGAGTAGTGCCACAATAAACATACGTGTGCGTGTGTCTTTATAGCAGCATGATTTGTAATCCTTTGGGTATATACCCAGTAATGGGATTGCTGGGTCAAATGGTATTTCTAGCTCTAGATCCCTGAGGAATTGCCACACTGACTTCCACAATGGTTGAACTAGTTTACAGTCTCACCAACAGTGTAAAAGTGTTCCTATTTCTCCACATCCTCTCCAGCACCTGTTGTTTCCTGACTTTTTAATGATTGCCATTCTAAATGGTTTGAGATGGTATCTCATTGTGGTTTTGATTTGTATTTCTCTGATGGCCGGTGATGATGAGCATTTTTTCATGTGTCTTTTGGCTGCATAAATGTCTTCTTTTGAGAAGTGTCTGTTCACATCCTTTGCCCACTTTTTGATGGGGTTGTTTGTTTTTTTCTTGTAAATTTGTTTGAGTTCATTGTCGATTCTGGATATTAGCCCTTTGTCAGATGAGTAGATTGCAAAAATTTTCTCCCATTCTGTAGCTTGCCTGTTCACTCTGATAGTAGTTTGTTTTGCTGTGCAGAAGCTCTTTAGTTTAATTAGATCCCATTTGTCAATTTTGTCTTTTGTTGCCATTGCTTTTGGTGTTTTAGACATGAAGTCCTTGCCCATGCCTATGTCCTGAATGGTATTGCCTAGGTTTTCTTCTAGGGTTTTTATGGTTTTAGGTCTAATATTTAAGTCTTTAATCCATCTTGAATTAATTTTTGTATAAGGTGTAAGGAAAGGATCCAGTTTCAGCTTTCTTCATATGGCTAGCCAGTTTTGCCAGCACCATTTATTAAATAGGGAATCCTTTCCCCATGTCTTGTTTTTGTCAGGTTTGTCAAAGATCAGATGGTGGTAGATATGCGGCATTATTTCTGAGGGCTCTGTTCTGTTCCATTGATCTATATCTCTGTTTTGGTACCAGTACCATGCTGTTTTGGTTACTGCAGCCTTGTAGTATAGTTTGAAGTCAGGTAGCATGATGCCTCCAGCTTTGTTCTTTTGGCTTAGGATTGACTTGGCGATGCAGGCTCTTTTTTGGTTCCATATGAACTTTAAAGTAGTTTTTTCCAATTCTGTGCAGAAAGTCATTGGTAGCTTGATGGGGATGGCATTGAATCTATAAATTACCTTGGGCAGTATGGCCATTTTCATGATATTGATTCTTCCTACCCATGAGCATGGAATGTTCTTCCATTTGTTTGTATCCTCTTTTACTTCATTGAGCAGTGGTTTGTAGTTCTCCTTGAAGAGGTCCTTCATGTCCCTTGTAAGTTGGATTCCTAGATATTTTATTCTCTTTGAAGCAATTGTGAATGGGAGTTCACTCATGATTTGGCTCTCTGTTTGTCTGTTATTAGTGTATAAGAATGCTTGTGATTTTTCCACATTGATTTTGTATCCTTAGACTTTGCTGAAGTTGCCTGTCAGCCTAAGGAGATTTTGGGCTGAGATGATGGGGTTTTCTAGATATACAATCACGTCATCTGCAAACAGGGACAATTTGACTTCCTCTTTTCCTAATTAAATACCCTTTATTTCCTTCTCCTGCCTGATTGCCCTGGCCAGTACTTCCAACACTATGTTGAATAGGAGTGGTGACAGAGGGCTTTTTAGTCTTTATCTAAAGCCAGGCTTATGTGTAGACAGAGTAGGAAGCAGTGATTTTCAGGAGTCCTGAGGTTCAGGTTCATCATTAACCCAGCTCCTGTGTTTGAGATGCCCATATAATGTAGTTAATCACTCTCTGAGATAAAATTCTCCTCTACCAAGAAGAGAAAAGATGGACAACAACGCTCTCCAAATATTCTTCCAGGTTTAAATTTCTATTAATAAGATATAAATTGGGAAATTTGTAAAGGCCATTTCACTTTCTTTCATAAAAATATAATGTTTGGTGAGTCCCTATAATATACAAAGTACTATGCTTCTATTTCATGCAAAATTAAAAAGTTACAGCCAGCAAGCTAATAGAAGTGTAAACATCATGCAGAAAACATGGACAAAGAAAAGCAAGTGATAGGCTGCATGTGTTGCCTTATAGCTGTAATCCCAGAGCTTTGGGAGGCCAAGGCAGGAGGATCTCCTGAGGCCAGGAGTAGGCTGCAGTAAGCTACAAGTGCCACAGTACTCCAGCCTCCAACGGTGATAGAGCGAGACCCTGTCTCTAAAAAAACAACAAAAAAAGCAAGTGATATAGTGGATCTATATAATGGTGGTAAATTGAATGCTCTTGGCTATTAATAAAGCCACTTGTTTACAGAGGGCTTATAATTTTATGAATTATGGTAGAGCAAATGTAAACATGATTTAGAAATCTTTAACAAAACTAATAATACTCTCACCTAATGCAGTTTGAAAAGTGTATAAACTCTATTTTGATCATAATGTTTCTAACATGGCAAACATGACAGTCAAGAGACGGCTCTTCTCCAAACACAGAGTCTGCTCTTTGGAAGTAGTGTTAGGGAAAGCCAGTGCCCATTTTCATTCCTTTGCCCTTGTCTTTTCCATGGATGCCCTGTACCCACATGCACAATTCCACTCCTGTTTCTGTCTAGTCTTAAGTTCCTCAGCCTATCTGCAAGCTTTTCAGATTTAACACATCATTCATGACTTGGATCACCCAGGCTCTTCTCTTGAGTCTCTAATTCTGACAAACCTGGAATCTCTGGTATGCCTTGGATACCTGGGCACTCCTGAACTATAATGTTCTTTCTCCTCTTCTTCTCTTGCCTAGTTGGCATGTCTATGCATACAGTGTCTGCCTCAGTTCCCCTGTCTGTGGTCTCATTTTCCTAGCTAATGATAATGTCCCTCCTCCTGGGATCAATCAGGTCCTTCCAGGCCATTCCATAAAACAAGACATCAATACCATAGAGTTGAATACCAGACAAAATTGATCAGCAATATGCCTGGCCACCTAGCTTAAAACTCCACTCCTCTTCCTCCCAGCGGCAGTCCCAACTTATGTTTGGGATCTTCCACCAATTTTAGTCCGGGTAGGCTAGGTGGACCTCCATCCTTGGTATAGTTTGGATCTGTGTCTCCACCAAATCTCTTGTTAAATTGTAATCTCCAGTGCTGGAGGTGGGGCCTGGTAAGAAGTGATGACACCATAGGGACAGGTTCTCATGAATGGTTTAGCACCATCCTCTTCGTACTGTTCTCGTGATAGTGCGTGAGTTCTTGTGAGATCTGGTTGTTTAAAAGTGTGTAGTACCTGCCACTTCTCTCTCTGCCTTCCATTCCAGCCATGTGAAGTGCAGGCTCTTTGTTTGCCTTCTGCCGTGATTTAAATTCCCTGAGGTCTCCCCCAGAAGCTGAGCAAATGCTGCCATGTTTCCTGCACAGCCTGTGGAACCACGAACCAGTTAAACCTCTTTTCTTTATAAATTACCGAGTCTCAGGTATTTATAGCAGTGCAAGAACAAACTAATACAATCCTAAACCCTAGGCAATAAAACTTGGGACTCAAAATATTCCTATTCCCACAGTGATTGGTTCAGAAGTGGGAATGTGACCTTAAATTATCCCATCAGAGAAAATGTTAAGACTTCTACTGGGAGTTCTGGAATAGTTGTTCCCTCTTCTTTGGTTAAATTTGAACCTGGAAAGTTCAAGGGTAAGTGCAGCTTTAGGTGTGGCTTATGTGGAAACTCATATGATGTACAAAATTAACCTTTGGTTAAATTTGTAACTAAGCAGTTTCAACCCTGACACTGCAGGTCACATAGCAAGAGAAGAAATAAAGGCCTTATATTCTAAATATAGAACTATATGCCTATGTATGTGAAAATTATAAATTCAAGCATAATGTTAAAAACAACTGTTCTTTTCTCCTAGTGTATTGTGTGGACAAAATACACTTTCATAATGACCTGGAAGGTCAGGTTCAAGTTCTTAGAATCCTTAGATTTCAGCTCTGGAACATGGCTGGATGGAAAGATCACATCTTCTCACTCTTTGTCCCATCTCTTTCTCACTCTTGCCTCAATTCTGCACAACAAGAGGACTCATAGTCATTTGTGAAAGCCTAGCCTGTTCATTCAAATTCCATCCACATCCTCTGCAAACAGTTAACACCTGCACCCAAAGGTATACACATTGACAGTTTGGCTCATCTTCAAGAGGATGAACCAGAGGAAGAGATCTACACCTACTCCAAGCCAAGAACTAGCTTGGAGATTTGGGGCAGGGAATCCTTGTGTCCATGGTATCCAGAGTATGGTCTAAAAGGATGTGAGAAGGTTCCAGGAGGATATGTCCCATTGGTCCCAGAGGCTGTTTTGTCCCATGGGTAGGGACTGACGTGGAGAAGAGCTCTTTATAATGCAGGGTCCAGGGGAGGGGCCTTTTTGCCTGGATTTAAGGATGTTACATAGCTTCAGACAATCATCTCAATTGTGAGGGTAGAATCTGTGTTAGAATAAATCCAAGATAGTAGAGGAGGACCAAGGCAAACCAAGGAATGATAAAGAGCTGGGTTATGGTTACATCATATGAGTTTCCACATAAGCCACACCTAAAGCTGAGCTTACCCTTGAACTTCCAGTTATATAAGCTAATTCATTTGGGTTTTGTCCAAGCCCATTTAGGGTAAGGCTTCTGCCATTTGCAGGCTGAAAGAATATGTCTGATAGGTTTCTCATGGTGTTGTGTGAATGACTCACGTCTGGGCTGCTCTGCTTCCTGAAACAGTGGGGTTACCCTTAATCTCTGCAAGTGAGAGAGTTGCCCTAACTCCCTTCCCTATTCCCTGGTGTAGAGGAGGTTCTACATCTGGTGCTAAATCTATCCTTTGTCAGCCCCATTTTGCCTAACTACTAGCCTGCCTCATAGCTGCACCCTCCTAGTTTACAGGGGGAAGAAACTATCAACTGCCAAAAAATAAGCCACTTAGAAAAGTACAGTCATCCCTAGACATCTGTGGAGAAATTGGTTCCAGGACACCCCTCAAAATCCTTGGATATTCAAGACCTTGATATAAGATGATGTATTTCCATATAACCTACATATATCCCAGATATCCTCCCATATACTTTTTTTTTTTTTTTTTTTTGAGATGGAGTCTCACTCTGTCACCAGGTTGGAGTGCAGTGGCATGATCTCGGTTCACTGCAACCCTGCCTCCCAGGTTCAAGCAATTTTCCTGCCTCAGCCTTTCGAGTAGCTGGGACTACAGGCACGTGCCACCACACCCAGCTAATTTTTGTATATTTAGTAGAGACGGAGTTTCACCATGTTGGCCAGGATGGTCTCTATCTCTTGACCTCATGATCTGCCCGCCTCGGCCTCCCAATGTGCTGGGATTACAGTGAGCCACCACGCCCAGCCCCTCCCATATACTTTAAACCATCTCTAGATTACCTATAATACCCAATACAATGTAGATGCTATATAAATAGTTGCTATACTGTATTGTTTTATGAATACATATTGTTTTTATTGTTGTATTGTCATTTTTTTACTGTTTTTTCCTTTTTTTTTTTTTTTTTTTTTTTTTTTTTTGAGATGGAGTCTCGCACTGCCACCCGGGCTGGAGTACAGTGGTGTGATCTCAGCTCACTGCAACCTCAGCCTCCTGGCTTCAAGCGATTCTCCTGCCTCAACCTCCAAGTAGCTGGGATTACAGGAGCCTGCCACCACGCCCAGCTAATTTTTTGTATTTTTAGTAGAGATGGGGTTTCACTATGTTGGCCAAGCTGGTCTCAAACTCCTGACCTCATGATCTGCCCGCCTTGGCCTCCCAAAGTGCTGGGATTACAGGCATGAGCCACTGCGCCCAGCCCCAAATATTTTTTATCTGTGGCTGGTTGAATCCACAGACACCTGTGCATTCACAAAGCCAACTGCAATGCTACCTGAGCCAATTTAAAATATCCAACAATGGGATAAACCACAAAGAAAAGACTTCAGCAACTTAGTGAATTCTATCATCTTGAAAGCATCAATTCTTTATCACCAGATTCTTCAGTACAGGCAGTTCAAACATGCCTTTACTGTGAAGGAAATAGATACTCCTACTTTGAAAACTGGTTCTTGTGTTCCTTTGAAGGTTGCATTCAAAATTTAAGAAGTTTTGTTTCTTATTACTCATCTCCAATGACTGCAGTTTTAGTGCCAGTTAATAAAGATTCAGCTTTGAATTCTGGACCCCTAGCAGAGACCCTAAATCCTAGAAATTAACTTCTTGAGGTCCACAGAACATTACTTTATAATAAAGGGGAAAACAAAATACATCACCAATTTCAATTGATATATCACCATTTTCCCCATGAAATCATGCCCTTATGAAATGTGTGGCTTTTTTTAAATCAAAAAAGTGTTGAGGATGAAAAGTTATACATGTGGATTTTTTAAAATGAAAATCATGGCCAAGCACAGTGGCTCATGCCTGTAATCCCAACACTTTGGGAGACTGAGCGGGGAGGATTGCTTGAGCTCAGGAGTTGGACATCAACCTAAGCAACATAGCAAGACCTCGTTATTACAAAAAAATCAAAAAAATTAGCTGGGCCTAGTGGCTGACGTCCCAGCTATTCAGTAGGCTGATGTGGGAGGATCACCTGAGTGTAAGAAGTCGAGGCTGCAGTGAGCTGTGATTACGCCACTGCACTCCAGCCTGTGTAACAGAGCAAGACGCTGTCTCAAAGATAAGTAAATAAAATAAAATGAAATGAAAATCATAATATAAATTTTCAGAGTATTAGCACAAGGAAGACATCCCCAATTCTCTAATAAGTGACTTCTCCAGCTCCTGTAGATGGTATGTCTGCTCTGTTTATACAACATGCCCTGACACCACTCCTTTTACCTTTGGCCACAGAGGGGAAGAGAGAAAGTGGGGGTGAGAGGACAAGAATAAAGCTGATGAACAAAGAAACAGAAATGAGAGCTCAAGAGGGCCCAGAGAGACACACACAAAGTAGGTGTGGTGGCCAAGGACGTTGACTGCTTTCCAGTTCCTGGTGCCAGTCTCACTTGAGGGCCACTTTCCTGCCCATTGATTTGGAAAGAGACTCCCCATAGCTTTTCAATAAATTATGGGTTTTTTTTCCTCTTTAGGCTAGTTCCAATAGGTTTTTGCTATTTAAAATGGAAATTCTTAAGTAAAACACATACTTTAAAAAAGTTTATCTTCTAACTTGTGTACAGTCATGGATTTTTAGCTCATTAAACTTTAAAGAAAACCTTAAGAGTGACTTTTTTTGGTTTGGGCATATCCTGAAATTCTGTGATTACTGCCAGTAGAGCAAGAATTTTCTCTTCTGTTACCTAAGAAAGTGCTATTTAAAGCAGTCGTTTTACTAGCAGTCAATGTAAGTGGTGCAATTTGCGATGTTCTTGGGATTTTAAAGTACAGATTTCCCCTGAAATCCTCAGCAATAATTAGGTTTCGAATCAATTGCTGAAGTCCTTAATGACTCAAATCATCAGCACATTTGAAAATTTTGAACTTTACCTCTTGGTTTCTGTGGTCTCTATTTACTCTATATTTAAGTGATTCTAGCAGGCATTGATGTTTGTCCTCAAGGAAAAGAAAAGAAACAATCTCTGCCTGTTTTTTTCTAACCTTGATTAATTTTCCTGATCGGTCTTTTTTTTATTAAAAAGAAATAACATTCATAAAAACCTCTCTGCCATTTATATATTTGTATTAGTTTGCTAGGGCTACCATAACAAAGTACCACGGACTGTAGTGATTTAAACCACAGAAATTTATTTTTTCACAGTTCTGGAGGCTGAAAGCCTGAAAACAAGGTGTGATCAGGTTTGGTTTCTTCTGAAGCCTCTCTTCTTGGCTCGTAGATGACCATCTTCTCCCTGTGTGTTCACCTGGTCTCCCCTCTGTGCCTGTCTGTGTCCAAATGTCCTCTTACAAGGACACTGGTCATATTGGATTAGGGCCCACCTTAATGACCTTGTTTAACCTTAATTAGCTCTTTAAAGACTCTGTCTCCAAATACAGTCACATTTTGAGGTACTGGGAGTTAGGACTTCAGCATATGAATATTGAGGGGCCACAGTGCAGTCCATAACAACATTCAAGCAACATTTTGAGTGCCTAATAGGAGCTGTTCTAAAGACTGAGAACAACTACGCAATAAAAAAGCCCTCTCACTCACCTTCATAAACATTCATATCTTGAAGGGTATGTTTTATTTAGAATGCTGTTTAAGTCTCTGCAACAGAGACCATAGAGTAGAATAGGTGGAAGCTTCATTCCCACATGAGAGTCCCAAGGTGGACAGCCCAGACCTGCAGGACAGCTGTGCCATCCCACAACCGGCTTCCTTTCTGGGCCCAGGGTAGCTTCTCTGGCTCTCACCGTCTCCTCCACATCACAATCAGCAGGAAGGAGGAGAGGAAAATGCCTGTTCCTTTTAAGGGCATGGTCTGGAAGTCCCACCTATTATTTCTGTTCACATCACTTTGGTCAAAAGAGAGTCATACACGTACAGCTGGCTGCCAGGAAGACTGAAAAATGTAGTATTTAGCTAAGTAGTCATGGGCCTAGCTAAATCACAATTTACTATGGATAAAAGGGCGAATGGACAGTTAATGG
Source organism: Homo sapiens (assembly GCF_000001405.40). NCBI lineage: Eukaryota > Metazoa > Chordata > Mammalia > Primates > Hominidae > Homo > Homo sapiens. Next base: position 90,534,406 of record NC_000007.14, read on the forward strand.
GGACAGAGACTGTAAGAGGCAGTGTTTCTATTTACTATATAGTGAGTGAGACAGAGTAGACTATTTTCAGAAGCAACAAATGCTGGAGTAGAAAAAACAATGGAAAAAGATGGAGATGTACAGAAAAGTGGAAACCAGAGACCAGAGAGAGAGCAAGTAAGAAAGGAGCTGCCTCATTCCCTAAAGCTTTTTAGATCCTGATCCTAATCCCTCATGTTATGGCAGTACTTTTTTTATTGCTTTAAAAAAACCTTAAATTGCTTATAAATTCAGATTTCAATTTCTTTTCAAAGTGACTTTTCTATTTACAATGCCCCCTTGCCTGCCAAGCAAGTACTTGGTTTCAACCAACAATTCAGAAAACTGGGTCCTACTGCTTACTCTTATGGAAAAATAATGCCATAATTGCAACTGGGGAAGAAGTCAGCCCCACAGTTGCTTAATAGTATACATTGATATTTTAACTGTGTAACCACAAAAGAAGGAATGTATGAAAAAAGGAAATTATGTGTAAAAGGTGCTGAAAGTTATTAATAGGGTTTGTCAAACCTGTTAATCTCTTATATTTTTGAGTAAAATGTACTTTTAGAGAAATAGTGTTCATAGAAAAGGCTGTACACATATTCGAAATTGCTATCACAAGGATTGTACAGTTTTCTAGCAATAAGGTTTTCCTATATAGTGTAATAAATACATGCAAAGCATCCCAGTCAAAAGTATTGATCTACTAGTGGTTATGAAAGCCATAAAGCTCAGATAAACTCATAAAAGTTTAAAAGGGAGCTTTTCTAAAGACTGGAAATTCATTTATTTTATATACTTCCTAGATAAATTTCAAAAATGATGGTTCATAAAATACTATAGTTTTTTAAAAAAAGGAATTCCAAAATTACTTCACTCTGCAATCAATGAACCAGTGAAAATTCACCTGCAACTGCTACAAATTAGACTTACAAATGTTTGGACCACCCAACATTCATTCCCTCTTCTTAACAGTATCCCAATTTCCTTTGGGAAATTATTTCTTCTGCTTGGAAATACTCCTGGTAAAATGGTGAATTCAGGTGCCTTCATTTCTGCTGTGGATGAGAAAGAGACCTCTGGAGGCTCCTTTCACCAGAACCTTCCACTCAATGACGAGACAGAGCTAGAGGCCTCGCACCTGATGTAAGCTAGGTCAATTTAAAGTTCACTCCTGGGAATTTAAATCTTAAATAATGTGAAAAAGAACCTGACATTGATAGGATTTACTCATTCCTGCACTGGTACTCTGCTTGTTGAGTCTATGCTTAAGTCTCCAAAGATTTGCATAAATTCCACCAGTTCCTATATAATTCCATTTTCCTTAGATTCAGCAGATTTGGTTTCCATTGTTTTCAATCCTCAAGCCCTAACTGTTCCACCTTCTATCTACTCATTTATAAACTGACCAAACTACAACTAAAAATAAGTAAGTAAAATAAACAATAAAACCCAACAACCTTACAACAGATGAAGAAATTTAGGCAGGAACGGCCAACAGGAATAAAAGATGGACAAAAAGGTAGAAGTCTGAATAAAGTTGCTACAAAGTTTTCTCAAATTTTTCAAAAATCTTAATAAGTATGATAATCATATGGTAATTGTTCCCAGTAGAAAAGATAAAAGAAAGTATCAAAAGTATCACAGGGCTGGGTGCAGTGGCTCAGGCCTGTAATCCCAGCACTTTGTGAGGCTGAGGCGGGCAGATTGCTTGAGCTCAGAAGTTTGAGACCAGCCTGGGCAACATGGCGAAACCCTGCCTCTACAAAAAATACAAAAATTAGCCATGTGTGGTAGCACACACATGTAGTCCCAGCTACTTGGGAGACTGAGGCAGGAGGATTACTTGGTCCTGGGAGGTGGAGGTTGCAGTGAGCTGAGATTGCACCATTGCACTCCAGCCTGGGCAACAGAAGGAGACCCTTTCTTAAAACAAAAACAAAAAACGTATCACACACAAAAAAATAGTTCAACTTCATTAGTAATCAAATAAATATAAATTAAAACTTGATATAAACTTTTCCAACATAAAATTGAAAGTGGTTTAAAATGTAAATACTGTTGAGAGGGTACACTGTAATCTGGCAATATGTGATAAGAACAATCAAAATATTCGTATTTCGTATACCACTACAAAGATTATAGAATAAAAGATGAGTGGTATGAATAGATCTTACACAATTGTGGGAAAAGCTGGGGAAGTGAAAGCCCAGATAAGGGGAAGTTTGAGAATCAGAAAAAGAATCATTAACCAGTACTCAACCACTGGGGTTGGAGGAGAACCAGTGTTAAAGGAAACAATCTGAGATACTGGCATGGACAGTGAGGTGATTTGGAGGCGGTTTTTGGGAATCCATTGCCTCTGAAGATCTGCAGCCAGGCATCTGGTGGCAGGTCTGGGGCCACTCTCCATCAGCAGGGCCAGGAATAGGAAGAAGGGCTAGGCACCAAGAGGAAAAGAGCAAGGACTACCTGGAAGTTTTCATGTACTGACAACAAAGACCTTCAAAGAGAAAAGGAAGCCACTGCCTAACTTCCACTGTTCAAACCTCACATGAGTTCCTCCTTTGGCCAACTCTTGCCTCCTAGCCTGTAGGGAAAGAAATTCTGGGAAACAGGTCCAGACCCAACCAAATTGACAATAGTACAATCCAGTCCTCATATATTTTAACCCTGTCTTTCCACATCTAGGAATGGATTCTAATGAGGTGGGAAATGTCATCAAATATTAAATGAAAGTATAACTATGGCTGTCATAGTTAAATCAGGCAAGGACCAGGCATGGTGACTCATGCCTGTAATCCCAGCACTTTGGGAGGCCGAGATGGGTGGATCACCTGAGGTCAGGAGTTTGAGACCAGCCTGGCCAACATGGTGAAACCCCGTCTCTACTAAAAATTAGCCAGGCATAGTGGTGCATGCCTGTAATCCCAGCTACTCAGGAGGCTGAGGCAGGAGAATTGCTGGAACCTGGGAGGCAGAGGTTGCAGTGAGCCAAGATCGCGCCCCTGCACTCCAGCCTGGGCAACCAGACCATAACTCCAACAACAACAACAAAACAAAACAAAAGAACAGGAAAAAGTGGAAATAAGTTGGTAGCTCCACAGCAGAGGAAAGGTGAAATAGGTTAGGGTAAGACACAGATAAGACTTTTCTTCTTACCTGAATAAGAAAAGGAAAAAAATAAATAAATAAAAGACTTTTGCATGTTCATTAAAAACATTACTTTGAATGACTTTTAGTGATATGGTTATATCTTCATAATATATAATATAAAAAGTATACACAAAATTCTACCTACATTAGAATTACAATTTTGGAAACATAGTCATAGATTTTGTTTTCTTTTTACATTTCCTTACACTTTTTACACTTCTTTCATTCTTCGTGAAAGACCCAAAGTCACTTAAAAATCCGAATCTTTTAAAAATGTGTAACCTTTGGCTAAAATCCCATCGAGGCTTTTCACTGCACCTAGAATAAAGTGCAAATCCTTCCCACTGTCTGCAAGGCCCTTCATGGTCCTGCCTGTGTTGGCTGCTCTAACTGCATATCAGATAGCTCTTTGCTTGGTTCACTGAGCTCCAGCCCCACTGGACTTTGGTAGGTTCCTAGCATAGGCTAAGGTCTCTCCTGTTGTAAGGGTTTGGCAATCATTGTTAGTCACTTGAGATGCTGTTACCCAGATCTCGTTATTCAGGTCTGAGTTCAAGTGTTACTTCCTCAAAGATATCTTTCTCTGAAGACCCCATCTAATGTGTCTCCATTCCCCACCCCTACCCAGCAGTCTTTCACCCTCTTATTGCCCTGTTCATCTTGTCTTCATTAACTAAAATTATGCTTTTCCTTAGCAATGCCCCTCACTAGGAAGTAGGGTCCACTACTCAGAGCAGGGACCTTATCTGTCTATTTATTATTGTACCCCTGTGATTTCAACAAAGTCACCAAGGCTCTCTATGTTACTGAATGAATGGATTAATGGATGAATTAATTTTTTGAATTTTTTACAATGAAAAAGTTTCCTTTTATTAGGAAAAAATATTTGGAAGGGATATGTTGCTTGAAGGGCAATCTTGTGTCAGGAGGGATTTTCACATGATATGTAACTTAAGCTTTCTTGGTTGTCTTATCTAGTGATTACCCAGGCCTATTTTTGCTGCTCTGTTCCTCTTGCAAGATCTAGGTAGGAGTCTCCCTTCTACAGAAGGGTTACGAATTAAATGTTTGTAAATGCGTGGAAATCTGGAAAGCATTCTCCCCTACAGTATGAATCATGTCATTCATAGCAGTTAGTAGGCAAAATGAGTTTTGCCCACAATATCATGGTAACACTGTAAAATTTCCAGAGATCATAAATTCAAACCCTATTTTATGACCATACCTGCCTCCCTTTCTAGCTCAAGGCATCAGGCACTCTCAGCACTCTGGTCTGTGACCCCAGTCCCCCCAGTGACAATTCTGCTCTCTTCACATTGCTTGGCCTTGTCTGCTTTCATGTCCTATCCTATTATGACCAATGTGTCAACTGCTCTTCCTCATTAATCCTAAACTTACTTATTTCTGTGTCCTTCAGAAACTCCTCTCTGAGAAAAATCTCAACTAAGGAGAAATGCAACTGCCTATCTTCTCCACATCTGTGCCTTGGTTTTGAGCTGTCTTGGGAGCAGCAAAATTATATCTGCTTTTGCCTTAGAAGAACTTATAATGTTCCAATCTTTGGATGCCTTTTGAATAGGCAAGTTTGAGTGAAGTCAGGTTACAGTGCCTGAATAGCTTTACCCTCCTGATCCAGCAACACATACATACAAGGATGGAAGATAGTACTGGATATGTGAGTACTTGCTAAGCCCTTCCCTTCACTGCAGTGGGCAAGTGGTCGTCCAGGCAGTGATTAGCTCACTTGGTGGACAGCCAACAACAAAACAGTACCACCTACCTCCTGTACTAGCTAGGTCTCCCTCCAGTCTGGGGAAGCTGTCTCATTCTTTTGGGGGTAGGGAGAAATTTTATATACAAGAAATAAAAGCATCAAAGTGGAGTTTTCATTAGGTTTTAGTCAGAAGGTAGAATAAACAGGTGGACCTATTTCTGCAAATTTTATTTTGGGAATTTTCATATGATAATCTTTTCCACAATAACCAATGAAAAACTTCTAGTGCTTTCCTGCGGTTGATGGGTTTGATTTCTTTAGCAAACATGAATTCTAGTGAGGGCAGCTAAATAGAAAACTTTATGGCATGGAACTTAGCATCCTGGCCTATTTTGCGCTAACCTAATTTTCTGTGAGCTTTGTAGCAAATGAAGCTCTCTATGTGACAGGTTCCTTTTTTAGATTCTAAAACCGGCAGCTAAGTTGTTAAATTTTATGGTTACATGATTTTGGAATCAGCCTCAGCAATTTTTCATGCTTTCCGTGTCTCCCTAAGGGAAAGTGGGCAGCCATTAGAAAGTAGCCATGGAAAACTTCCCTATTAACTAAGTGCTGCTGGAGGAAAAAATAAATCACCCTATGGAGCAGATTTCTTTCACTATAAACTTATGGATACTCACTTCACCTGGGCCCACAACACTCCCTGTCAATCATCCTGTTTCCCAACTCACCTCTTTCTCTTTTCAACAATAATTTTTCAAACCTTCCCTATTATTTTCACATCCCTTGCCACTTCTCCACTATCAAAACTCCAGTTGCTCCAATTCTCTATTCACTCTTAGAAACTGTCCTTGCATAGAAAATAGAAGCCATCTGAAAGGTACTCCTTCCATTCTCACCACAATTATACAAATCTGCTCTAATCCAGACCCAACTCTTCCCCCTTCCTTTCTATTACCATAGAAGAAGTCTCCCTCTTCTGTTTAAAGCTTACCTCTCTGTGGTAGGCACCTGGAAGATGATGGTTCCCAGCGTTCCCCACTTCTTGGTTATTCATGCCCTTGTGTAATCCCTTCCTTTTGAAGAAGGTTGGATATGGTGACTTGCTCTTAATAAATAGAATACAGAAAAGTGATAGAATGCCACTTCCAAAGTTAGGTTATCAAAAGATTGTGACTCCTGTCTTGGGCATCCTCTAGGTCTCTATTGCTCTCTCACACACCCTGGAAGAAGCTAGCTATATTGTGAGTTGCCCTATAGAGAGATTCGTGTGCCAAGGGAGGCATCTGGCTGACAGCCAGCAAGGAACTACCCAACAGCTTGTAAAACACTGAATGCTGACAACAACTATATGAGCAAACTCAGAAGCAGGTCCTCCCACTATGTGAGTCTTGACAGATTGGACCACAACCCAAGCAAGTAGCCTGATGGCAACCTCTTGCCTTAAGCTAGATGCACCCAGTGAAACTGAACCCTGGTTTCTAACCCTGAGAACTGTTGAGAATAATAAATGTTTGCTGTTTCATGCTGCTAGATTTTTAAGTGATTTCTTACGTAGCGATACATAAATAATACAACCTTCATCTATCCTCGGTATCCTTCTCATCTGCTTCTCTCTTTCCCACATCTTCAAATCTTCTCTCTACCCACTCCTTCTAATTAGCAGTTAAACATGGGGGTTGGGGACAATCTATCTAAAAGAAGAAAATCTTCAATTCTAATTCCTCTTTTAGCTACTGCTACGTTTCTCCCCGCCTCTTTAGAGTCAAACTTGAGTTATCTGCATTTACCGTCTCCATTTCCCTTCCATCAGAATGACCTATAGGGCTTGTTAAGTCACAGACTTCTGGGCTTCTCCTTTAGAGTTTTTAATACAGGATTTTTGAAGTGAGATCTGAGAATTTGCATTCCAAACCATGGCCTGAGAATTTGCATTCTAACCTGTTTCCAGATGGTACTGATACTGCTGGTCTATTGATCACACTTTGGGAATTGCTGCTCTACACTTGTTAGAAATGCAGCCTCTCAGGTCTCAGCTGCGTTCTACCAAATTAGAATCTACATTTTAACAAAATCATCAGGTTATTTGTATGAACACTAAAGTTTGAGAAGCACTCAGATGGCCTTATGTGTCAGACAATTCCAAATTCATTCCATGAAAACAGCCTTTATGCTATAGCTGTCATGCTCACATTCACCTTTTACCTTTCAAACTGGTTTAAAACAAAAGAGCTAAATCATGTATGTGGTCCTACTCTTTGTCTCATCCATTGATCCTTCTCTGGATTGGAATTTTCTTCTTGAATACACATAAAGTCTAACAACAAATACATGGTGCTTTAGATAAGACAAATTACAATGCTACATCTAAACCAAAAGTGGTTTGTACTCTGCCTGCCAAGTTTTTCAATTTGTTCTTTAGGCTTTTCGCAGGGTGCCTTTTTGAGGTTACTGCCCCCTACCTTTTCAGTTTTACTCCAAGCTGAAACACAGCCTCTCATTTTCCTAAAGCAGGACCTGGTTATAACTTTACCAAAGACTTGGAGTTCATGGAATGGAAACACATGCAAAAAAAGCAGCCAGTGGATATGAGTGCTTCACCTTTCCCAAAGGTGTTCTGACCTATTTCTTGATGTGTTGCTAAGATGCAGCTTACCTGCCTCGCTCTTATCCTCTGCCTTCTACCTCATGTTATGCCTTCTTCCAAATTCCTGCCTACCCAGAACACAAACCCCTATCTCATCTGAGTGCAGAAACTGGGAAAACCCTAGTTTTCCCTCCTTGCCCCAGTCTAAAGTCTGCCCCAGCCAACAGTGTATCATCATTTGCAGTTTAATTCCTCGGAGTCCTTAAAACACTCCAATCTAGAAGAGATTTTGGCTGTATCTTTGTATAGTTTAAAAGGTTCACTAGGCTGGGCGCAGTGGCTCATGCCTGTAAACCCAGCACTTTGGGAGGCTGAGGTGAGCAGATAATGAAGTCAGGAGTTCGAGACCAGCCTGGCCAACATGGTGAAACCCCGTCTCTACTAAAAATACAAAAAATTGGCCGGGCGTGGTGGTGCGTGCCTGTAATCCTAGCTACTCAGGAAGCTGAGGCAGGAGAATCGCTTGAACACAGGAGGCAGAGGTTGCAGTGAGCCAAGATCGCGCCATTGCACTCCAGCCTGGGTGACAGAGCAAGACTCTGTCTCAAAAAAAAAAAAAAAAAAAAAAGGTTCACTAGAGGTTTCAAGTTACCACCATTTCGCCCCTCAAAAAAGATTTATCTGACTTCAAAGGCACTTAGTCAAAGAGATAAATGCTTCAAGATTTCAAAAAATTTAGAATTCTACTGCAGGATCCAGCAATTCCACTTCTGGGTGTAGCCAAATAAATTGAAATCAATTTGCTGAAGAGATAGCTGCACTACTATGTTGACTGCAGTATATTCACAATAGCCAAGATATAGAATCAACTTGTGTCCATCAATGGATGAATGGATTAAAAATGTAGTGTGTATGCATACATATATATATGTGTGTGTATGTATACACTTTATATATGTATAGATGCTCTGTCTCTCTCTCTCTACACACACACACACACACACACACACACACACACACACACGCACACACACAATGGGTTACCATTCAGCCACAAAGAAGGAAATCCTGTCATTTGTGACAACATGGATGAACCTGGAGACATTGTGCTAAGTGAAATAAGCCAGGCACAGAAAGACAAATACCACATCATCTCACTTATATGTGGAATCTAAAAAAAAGCCTAACTCATAGAAATAGAGAGTAGAGTGGTAGCTACCAGAGGCTGGAGTGGGCAGGGTTTGTGGGGGGCTGGGGAGAGAGGGAATGAGGAGTTATTGATCAAAGGGTACAAAGTTTCAGTTAGAGAGGAGAAATAAATTTTTGAGATCTATTGGACAGAAGAGTGACTACAGTCAATAATAATGTATTATATATTTCAAAATAGGTAAGAGAATAAATTTCAAAGGTCTCACCACAAGAATAATGATTGAGGTAATGGATATGTTAATTAGCTAGACTTAATGATTCCACATTGTATACATATATTAAAACATTACATTGTGCCCCATAAATGTATACAATTATGATTTTTCAGTTAAAAATGATAATAATAATAATTTTAAAAATAATTGTACCATAGATAGAGCACTTTTTCCATATAAATTATTCAGGCAATAGATCTTGCTGTCAGAAATTCATACATGTGATGGCTGTGTTTAAAAATGATACTAACAGTCACTTGTATATGTTTTCTGTATGGGTATAAACAATGATTCAGGCATGTCAAGTGTAATTTTTAACTCCTAATTTCTTTTTGTCAGCAATCTTTCAAAAATTTTCTGTTTCTTGACAATTTTGGTGAATTAAACTGGAACAAAATCATTTCATTAGATGGTGCTGAACAACTAGATATTCATATGAGAAAAAAATGAACCTCTGAAATTTACACCTCAAACATACACAAAAATTAATTTGAGATGGATTATAGGCCAAAACATAAAACTGTAAAGCTTCTAGAATAAATCATAGACAAACATCTTTGCAACTTTGAGGTAGGCAAAGATTTCTTAAGGAAAATACAGCAAGCACTAACATTCCCCTCCCAGCCACACGCACACACATTGGTAAAATAGACTTCATCAAAATTTAAAACTTTCAAAAGACACAGCTAAAAGAATGAAGATGAGCCACAGGTTGCAAGAATATGTTTGCAAGACACATATATGACCAAATACTTGCACACAGAATATATAAATAATACCTACAAATTAATGATGTTTTAATAAACACAATTTTAAAAATAGGTGAAAGATTTGAAGACACCTCAAAAAAAGATGCATAAATGGCCAATAAGCACTTAAAAAATACTCAACATTATATTCTCATAAAAACACAATTTTAAGCCACAATGAGATACCCACAAAACCCACTAGAATGGCTAAAACTAAGGAGAATAAAACTCCAAGTTTTTATAGGTTACTTCTCATATATTGAAGTATAAAATAATTTAACCACCCTGGAAAATTATTTGGCAGTTTCTTGTAAAGTTAAACATTCACTTACCACCCAATTCAGAAATTCCACTCCTAAATATAACCCAAGTAAAATGAAATGATGACCACACAAAGATCTACATGCAAATATTCACAGCAGCTATATTCCTAATAGCCGCCACTGGAACCAGCCCAGGTATCCATCATCAGGAAAATGGATAAACAAACTGCAATATAGTCATACAATGGAATACAACCCAGCAATAAAAAGGAACTAACTACTGATATACACAACAAGGATAAATCTCAGAAGCATTATGCTGTGTGAAAGAAGTTGGACTCAAAACACTACATGTGTGATTTTTACTGCATACATGAACTTCATGTAAGAAGTTCAAGAACAGGTAATCCAGGATTTAAAAAGGTACAACACACCCAAATACAGGAGGATAGTTGATATAACCAACAGAGATGTTAATTGTTACCTTGTTTATGCTGGTATAGAAGGGGATATGATAGTCTGCACAGCACATGCTCATAAACTCCCAAGGTATGGTGTGAATTTGGCCAAATTATACTGCAGCACAATGAAATGGCCCACTGAAAATGTCTTCAGCACTTTACACCTTGCCACCCAATTCTATGAATTCTCACCACCCAATTCAGATGTCATTTCCTCTATGAAGTTTTTATTCCCTCTTATAGCTAACACAGTTTTAAATTATTTTCTGAACTACTGAAGCACTTTTATTCTTCCAAGCTCTAGTTCTCATGATGCAATGGCTGAAAATATAACTGGAGCTTCTTTTCTGAAATGTCCTTTTTTATAGTGTGAGCCACACAGGGTTAGGCACACAGAAGGTATTTGAATGCCTAAATAAATATTTGAATTTCAAAAATGTTTAATCTCATATGATGTGGATCTCTTTCCCCTGAACTCAGAGCATACACATGATAAGATAAATAATTTAAATTTTTCGAAATAAATCTTGCCTTGGCCAAGATAAATAATTTAAAATTTTCCAAATAGATCTTGCCTTGGCCAAAAAGAATAATTGGAAAAGTTGGATAATACTCTAACTTTTTTTAAAAAAAACTATACTTTAAGTTCTAGGGTACATGTGCACAACGTACAGGTTTGTTACATAGGTATACATGTGCCATGTTGGTTTGCTGCACCTATCAACTCATCATTTACATTAGGTATTTCTCCTAATGCTATCCTTCCCCCAGCACCCTGCCCCCCGACAGGCCCCGGCATGTGATGTTCCCCGCCTTGTGTCCATGTGTTCTCATTGTTCAACTCCCACCTATGAGTAAGAACATGTGGTATTTGGTTTTCTGTCCTTGTGATAGTTTGCTGAGAAAGATGGTTTCCAGCTTCATCCATGTCCCTGCAAAGGACATTAACTCATCCTTTTTTATGGCTGCATAGTATTTCATGGTGTATATGTGCCACATTTTCTTAATCCAGTCTATCATTGATGGACATTTGGGTTGGTTCTAATTTTTTCTATTGTGAATAATGCTGCAATAAACATACGTGTGCATGTGTCTTTATAGTAGCATGATTTGTAGTCCTTTGAGTACATACCCAGTAATGGGATCACTGGGTCAAATGGTATTTCTAATTCTAGATCCTTGAGGAATTGCCACACTGCCTTCCACAATAATTGAACTAATTTACACTCCCACCAACAGTGTAAAAGTGTTCCTATTTCTCCACATCCTCTTCAGCATCTGTTGTTTCCTGTCTTTTTAATGGTTGCCATTCTAACTGGTGTGAGATTGTATCTCATTGTGGTTTTAATTTGCATTTCTCTGATGACCAGTGATGATGAGCATTTTTTCATGTCTGTTGGCTGCATAAATGTTGTCTTTTGAGAAGTGTCTGTTCATATCCTTAGCCCACTTTTTGATAGGGTCTTTTGTTTTTTTCTTGTAAATTTGTTTAAGTTCTTTGTAGATTCTGGATATTAGCCCTTTGTCAGATAGGTAGATTGCAAGAATTTTCTCCCATTCTGGAGGTTGCCTGTTCACTCTGATGATAATTTCTTTTGCTGTGCAGAAGCTCTTTAGTTTAATTAGATCCCATTTGTCAATTTTGGCTTTTGTTGCCATTGCTTTTGGTGTTTTAGTCATGAAGTCTTTGCCCATGCCTATGTCCTGAGTGGTATTGCCTAGGTTTTCTTCTAGAGTTTTTATGGTGTTAGGTCTTACATTTAAGTATTTAATCCATCTTGAGTTAATTTTTGTGTATGGTGTAAGGAAGGGATCCAGTTTCAGCTTTCTACATATGGCTGGCCAGTTTTCCCAGCACCATTTATTAAGTAGGGAATCCTTTCCCCATTGCTTGTTTTTGTCAGGTTTGTCAAAGATCAAATGGTTGTAGATGTGTGGTGGTATTTCTGAGGGCTCTGTTCTGTTCCATTGATCTATATGTCTGTTTTGGTACCACTACCATGCTATTTTGGTTACTGTAGCCTTGTAGCATAGTTTGAAGTCAGGTAGTGTTATGCCTCCAGCTTTTTTCTTTGGCTTAGGATTGTCTTGGCTATGTAGGCTCTTTTTTAGTTCCATATGAAGTTTAAAGTAGTTTTTTCCAATTCTGTGAAGAAAGTCAGTAGTAGCATGATGGGGATAGCAATGAATCTATAAATTACCTTGAGCAGTATGGCCACTTTCACGATATTGATTCTTCCTATCCATGAGCACAGACTGTTCTTCCATTTGTTTGTGTCTTCTTTTAATTCGTTGAGCAATGTTTTGTAGTTCTCCTTGAAGAGGTCCTTCACATCCCTTGTAAGTTGGATTCCTAGGTATTTTATTCTCTTTGTAGTAATTGTGAATAGGAGTTCACTCATGATTTGGCTCTCTGTTTGTCTATTATTGGTGTATAAGAATGCTTGTGATTTTTCCACATTGATTTTGTATCCTGAGACTTTGCTGTAGTTGCTCATCAGCTTAAGGAGATTTTGGGCTGAGATTTTGGGTTTTCTAAATATACAATCATGTCATCTGCAAAAGAGACAATTTGACTTCCTCTTTTCCTAATTGAATACACTTTATTTCTTTGTCTTGCCTGATTGCCCTAGCCAGAACTTCCAACACTATGTTGAATAGGAGTGGTGAGAGAGGGCGTACTTGTCTTGTGCTGGTTTTCAAAGGGAATGCTTCCAGTTTTTGCCCATTCAGTATGATATTGGCTGTGGCTTTTTCATCAATAGCTCTTATTATTTTGAAATACATTCCATCAATACCTAGTTTATTGAGAGTTTTTAGTATGAAGTGCTGTTGACTTTGTCAAAGGCCTTTTCTGCATCTATTGAGATAATCATGTGGTTTTTGTCATTGGTTCTGTTTATGTGATTGATTGTGTTTATTGATTTGCTCATGTTGAACCAGCCCTGCATCCCAGGATGAAGCCCACTTGATCATGGTGGAGAAGCTTTTTGATGTGCTGCTGGATTCGGTTTGCCAGTATTGTATTGAAGATTTTCACATCGATTTCATCAGGGATATTGGCCTAAAATTCTCTTTTTTTGTTGTGTCTGTGCCAGGCTTTGGTATCAGGATGATGCTGGTCTCATAAAATGAGTTAGGGAGGATAATCTCTTTTTCTATTGATTGGAATAGTTTCAGAAGGAATGGTACCAGCTCCCCTTTGTACCTCTGGTAGAATTTGGCTGTGAATCCATCTGGTTCTGGATTTTTTTTGGTTGGTAGGCTATTAATTATTGCCTCAATTTCATAACCTGTTATTGGTCTATTCAGAGATTCAAATTCTTCCTGGTTTAGTCTTGGGAGGGTGTATGGGTCCAGGAATTTATCCATTTCTTCTAGATTTTCTAGTTGATTTGCATAGAGGTGTTTATAGTATTCTTTGATGGTAGTTTGTATTTCTGTGGGATTGGTGGTGATATCCCCTTTATCATTTTTTATTGTGTCTGTTTGATTCTTCTCTCTTTTCTTCTTTATTGGTCTTGCTAGCAGTCTATCTATTTTGTGGATCTTTTCAAAAAACCAGGTCCTGTATTCATTGATGTTTTGAAGGGTTTTTCCTGTCTCTATCTCCTTCAGTTCTGCTCTGATCTTAGTTATTTCTTGCCTTCTGCTAGCTTTAGAATGTGTTTGCTCTTGCTTTTCTAGTTCTTTTAATTGTGATGTTATGGTGTCGGTTTTAGATCTTTCCTACTTTCTCTTGTGGGCATTTAGTGCTATAAATTTCCCTCTACACACTACTTTAAATGTGTCCCAGACATTCTGGTACGTTGTGTCTTTGTTCTCATTGGTCTCAAAGAACATCTTTATTTCTGCCTTTATTTCATTATTTACCCAGTAGTCACTCAGGAGAAAGTTGTTCAGTTTCCATGTAGTTGTGCGGTTTTGAGTGAGTTTATGAATCCCGAGTTCTAATTTGATTGCACTGTTGTCTGAGAAACAGTTTGTTGTAATTTCCGTTCTTTTACATTTGCTGAGGAGTATTTTACTCCCAATTATGTGGTCAATTTTACAATAAGTGTGATGTGGTGCTGAGAATGTATATTCTGTTGATTTGGGGTGTAGAGTTCTGTAGATGTCTATTAGGTCTGCTTGGTCCAGAGCTGAGCTCAAGTCCTGGATATCCTTGTTAACCTTCTGTCTCATTGATCTGTCTAATATTGACAGTGCGGTGTTAAGTCTCCCATTATTATTGCGTGGGATTCTAAGTCTCATTGTCAGTCTCTAAGGACTTGCTTTATGAACCTGGGTGATCCTGTATTGGGTGCATATATATTTAGGATAGTTAGCTCTTCTTGTTGAATAGACCCTTTTACCATTATAGTGGCCTTCTTTGTCTCTTTTGATCTTTGCTGGTTTAAAGTCTATTTCATCAGAGACTAGGATTGGAACCCCTGCCTTTTTTTGTTTTCCATTTGCTTTGTAGATCTTCCTTCATCCCTTTATTTTGAGCCTATGTGCATCTTTGCACGTGAGATGGGTCTCCTGAATACAGTACACCGATGGGTCTCGATTCTTTATCCAATTTGCTAGTCTGTGTCTTTTAATTGGAGCATTTAGCCCATTTACATTAAAGGTTAATATTGTTATGTTTGAATTTGATCCTGTCATTATGATATTAGCTGGTTATTTTGCCCATTAATTGATGTAGTTCCTTCATAGCATCAGTGGTCTTTACAATGGGTATGTTTTTGCAGTAGCTGGTACCAGTGGTTCCTTTCCATGTTTAGTTCTTCCTTCAGGAGCTCTTGTAATGCAGGCCTGGTGGTGATAAAATCTCTCAGCATTTGCTTGTCTGTAAAGGATTTTATTTCTCCTTCACTTATGAAGCTTAGTTTGGCTGGATATGAGATTCTGGGTTGAAAATTCTTTTCTTTTAGAATGTTGAATATTGACCCCCACTCTCTCCTGGATTGTAGCATTTCTGCCGAGAGATCTGCTGTTAGTCTGATGGGCTTCCCTTTGTGGGTGACCCGACCTTTCTCTCTGGCTGCCCTTAACATTTTTTCCTTCATTTCAACCTTGGTGAATCTGACA
Source organism: Homo sapiens (assembly GCF_000001405.40). Classification (NCBI taxonomy): domain Eukaryota; kingdom Metazoa; phylum Chordata; class Mammalia; order Primates; family Hominidae; genus Homo; species Homo sapiens. The sequence continues at coordinate 90,549,857 of NC_000007.14, forward strand.
ATTATGTGTCTTGGGGTTGCTCTTCTTGAAGAGTATCTTTGTGGTATTGTCTGTATTTCCTGAATTTTTTTTTTATCATACTTTAAGTTTTAGGGTACATGTGCACAACGTGCAGGTTTGTTACATATGTATACATGTGCCATGTTGGTGTGCTGCACCCATTAACTCGTCATTTACATTAGGTATATCTCCTAATGCTATTCCTCCCCCCTTGTATTTCCTGAATTTGAATGTTGGCCTACCTTGCTAGGTTAGGGAAGTTCTCCTGGATAATATCCTGAAGCATGTTTTCTAACTTGGTTCCATTCTCCCCATCACTTCCCAGAACACCAATCAAACCTATATTTGGTCTTTTCACATAGTCCCACATTTCTTGGAGACTTTGTTCATTTCTTCTCACTCTTTATTCTCTATTCTTGTCTTCTCCCTTTATTTCATTAATTTGATCTTCAATCACTGATATCCTTTCTTCCATTTGATCGAATTGGCTATTGAAACTTGTGTATGCATCACGAAGTTCTTGGTTTTCAGCTCTACTGTTTATTCTAGTTAGCCATTTGTCTAACCTTTTTTCAAGGTTTTTAGCTTCCTTGTAATGGGTTAGAACATGCTTCTTTAGCTCGGAGAGGTTTGTTATTACCAACCTTTTGAAGCCTACTTCTGTCAACTCATCAAACTCATTCTCCATCCAGTTTTGTTCCCTTGCTGGCGAGGAGCTGTGATCCTTTGGAGGAGAAGAGGAGCTCTGGTTTTTGGAATTTTCTGCTTTTCTGCTCTGGTTTCTCCCCATCTTTGTGTTTTTATTTACCTTTGGTCTTTGATGTTGGTGACCTACAGATGGGGTTTTGGTGTGGATGTCCTTTTTGTTGATGCTGATGCAATTCCTTTCTGTTTGTTAGTTTTCCTTCTAACAGGCCCCTCGGCTGTAGGTCTGTTGGAGTTTGCTGGAGGTCTGCTCCAGACCCTGTTTTCCTGGGTATCACAAGTGGAGGCTGCAGAACAGCAAATATTGTTGCCTGATCCTTCCTCTGGAAGCTTCATCCCAGAGGGGCACCTGCCTGTTTGAGGTGTCTGTCGGCCCTTACTGGGAGGTGTCTCCCTGTCAGGCTACATGGGGGTCAGGGACCTGCTTGAGGTGGCAGTCTGTCCATTCTCAGAGCTTGAAAACCATGCTGAGAGAACCACTGCTCTCTTCAGATCTATCAGACATGGAAGTTTAATTCTGCAGAAGCTGTCTGCTGCCTTTTGTTCTGCTATGCCCTACCCCCAGAGGTGGAATCTAGAGAGGCAGTAGGCCTTGCTTAAGCTGTGGTGGGCTCTGCCCATTTTGAGCTTCCTGGCGACTTTGTTTACACTGTGAGCTATTCAGGCCTCAGCAATGGTGGATGCTCCTCCCCCGTCAAGCTGCAGTATCACAGGTTGATCTCAGACTGCTGTGCTAGCAGTGAGCAAGGCTCCATGGGCGTGGGACCTGCTGTGCCAGGCAAGGGAGGGTATTTTCTGGTCTGCTGGTTGCTAAGACCATGTGAAAAGTGCAGTATTTGGTCAGGAGTGTACCGTTTCTCCAGGTACAGTCTGTCATGGATTCTCTTGGCTGGGAAAGGGAAATCCCCCAACCCCTCATGCTTCCTGGGTGAGGTGACACCCTGCCCTGCTTCAGCTCACCCACCATGGGCTGCACCCACTATCCAACCAGTCCCAGTGAGATGAACCAGGTACCTCAGTTGGAAATGCAGAAATCACCCGTCTTCTGTGTCAATCTTGCTGGGAGCTGCAGACTGGAGCTGTTCCTATTTGGCCATCTTGGAAGTGGCCGATAATACCCTAACTTTTAAACTCTTATGGTTAAAATATATTGTTCTCATAACCAAGGTCATTTTATACATGACAACCAATATACCAAAGAAAGTTCAACAAAATAAAACAAAAGATTTTACTATCAAATCTTTACCATTTTACTGTCAGAAGATCAAGAGACTGGTTTGATGAAAAGTATCTATTTTCAACAGGTATTTTCTGTCTATCTTTGACGGAAAGTTAAAAAGGACAGTTCTATATTTCAAATTATTTGGAGCAGTGACAAACATATAGCCAATTCATTAAGGAGTACATTTTATACTTTTATTGAAAAGGTTAATTATATGGTTTTGTGTGATGTGAGAGCTTTTAACACATACTAAGGACAATCATTTGAAACGTATATTTTAGGGGCCAAGCGTGGTGGCCCACACCTGTTAGCCCAGCACTTTGGGAGGCTGAGGCGGGCGGATCACGAGGTCAGGAGATTGAGACCATCCTGGCTAATATGGGGAAACCCCATCTCTACTAAAAATACAAAAAATTAGCCAGGCGTGGTGGCAGGCGCCTGTAGTCCCAGCTACTCGGGAGGCTGAGGCAGGAGAATGGCATGAACCCGGGAGGTGGAACTTGCAGTGAGCCGAGATCACGCCACTGCACTCCAGCCTGGGCAACAGAGCGAGACTCTGTCTCAAAAAAAATAAAAGAAAGAAAAAGAAAAAAGTATATTTTAAGTTTCAGGTGTGTTTGGTTGTTATATTCTGTACTTTATTACTGAGGCTCTCATTAATTAGTTCTGTACTATAATGACATTAACAGAAATAATGTTCATAACTGGTGATTCATTACACTGGATGTACAAACCCTCTTGCATGAATTAATGTTTTTCCCTGTTTTGAATATTAGCCAATGTCCATTCTTATTAAATGAATGTATCTCAAGGCCCTACCAAATAAGTACATGTAAAAAGTAGGAAGAAATGTGATATTAAACAATATACAATACCTTAAACATAATACACATCAGATATAAGGTAGGTAGTTGCAAATTTTAAGAAATTAAAAACCACCAGAGGGCAGCTCAATACAATAGTGATGAAATACTTAAAACAGTATGGTAGGTATAGTATTTTGAAGTAATTATAAGTCAGGTATTATAGATATAGAGGATAGAGAGTGAAAAGCGACACATTTAATAAAATACTTAAAATTTTTATATTTATATTAATACATGTTTTTTAGTTGACCTTCAAATGTAAATACATATTTCAATTATGCTTCTCTCTTTTTTTTTTTTTGTTGGCAGCAGCAAAATTGGCCAGGGGGCAAGCAACCTGGCTAATATTAAATTTTATTTTATTTTATTTTATTTTATTTTAAGTTATTGTAGAAAGAGGGTCTTACTGTGTTGACCAGGCTGGCCTTGAACTCCTGGCCTCAAGCGATCCTCCTGCCTCTGCCTCCCGAAGTGCTAGGATTACAGGCACAAGCCACCATGCTCAGCCACAATATTAAATTTTTAAAAATGTGATCTTTTATGCTCAGGGACTATTACGAATACCTCTATACACACAAACTAGAAAATCTAGAGGAAATGGACACATTCCTGGAGACACATAACCTCCTCAGATTGAATTAGGGAGAAACTGAAACCCTGACCAGACCAATATCAAGTTCCAATACTGAATCAGCAATAAAAACCTATGAACCAAAAAAGCCGCACACCAGATGGATTCACAGCTAAATTTGACTGGTCATATGAAGAAGAGCTGGTACCAATTCTACTGAAACTATTCCCAAAAATTGAGGAGAAGGGACTCCTCCCTGACTCATTCTATGAAGGCACCATCACCCTGAAACCAAAACTTGGAAAAGACATAATAAAGAAAGAAAACTATAGGCCCATATCCCTGATGAACATAGACACAAAATCTTCAACAAAATACTAGCAAACTGAATCCAGTAGCACATCAAAAGTTAATTAATTCACTATGATCAAGTAGGCATACCTGGTATTCAAGGTTGGTTCAACATTCACAAATCAATAAATGTGATTCACCACATAAACAGAACTAAAGACAAAAACCAGGCTGGGCACAGTGGTTCACGCCTGTAATCCCAGCCTTTGGGAGGCAGAGGTGGGCAGATCGCCTGAGCTCAGGAGTTTGAGGCCAGCCTGGGCAATATGGCAAAACTCTATCTGTACCAAAAATTTTTAAAAAGCCAGGCATGATGGTGCATGCCTGTGGTCTCAGCTACTTGGGAGGCTGAGGTGGGAGGATCATTTGAACCTGGAAGGGAGAGGTTGTGGTGAGCCAAGATCATACCATTGCACTTCAGTCTGAGTGCGAGACCCTCTCTCAAAAAAAAAAAAAAAGAAAAGAAAAGAAAAAAACCATATGATCATCTCAATAGACATGGAAAAAGCTTTTGATAAATCCAATATCCCCTCACGATAAAAAAAAAAAAAAACCAACAAACTAGGCATCAAAGGAACATACCATCTATGACAAACTCACAGCCAACATTGTATTGAATGGGCAAAAGGTGGAAGCGTTCCCCTCGTGGACTGGAACAAGACAAGGCTGCCCTCTCACCACTCCTATTCAACATAGTGCTGGAAGTCCTAGACAGAGCAATCAGGCAAGAGAAGTAAAAGGCATCCAAATAGGAAAAGAAGAATTCATATTAACTCTCTTCATTGACAATATAATTCTGTACCTAGAAAATCCTAAAGATTCCACCAAAATGCTCCTAGAACTGATAAATGACTTCAGTAAAGTTCCGGGATACAAAATCAACATACAAAAATCAGTAGAATTTCTATACATCAATAATGTTCAAGCTAAGATCCAAATCAAGAATGCAATCCCATTTACAAGAGCCACACACACAAAATAAAATACCTAGGAATACATCTAACTAAGGAGGTGAAAGACTTCTTCAAAGAGAACTACAAAACATTGTTGAAGGAAATCATGGATGATCAAACTAATGGAAAAATATTCCATGCTCATGGATTGGAAGAATCAATATCATGAAAATGGCCATACTGCCCAAAGCAATCTATAGGTTCAATGCTATTCCTATCAAACTACAAATGTCATTTTTCATAGAATTAGAAAAAACTACTCTTAAATTCATGTTAACCAAAAAAGAGCTTGAATATCTAAAGCAATCCTAAGGGAAAGAAGGCCAGAGACATCACACTACCCAACTTCAAATTATGCTATAAAGCTACAATAACCAAAACGTAACGGCACTGGTATAAAAACAAACACACAGACCAGTGGAACAAAATAGAAAATCCAGAGATAAAGCCACACACCTACAGCCACCTGATCTTTGACAAAGTCAACAAAAATAAATAATGGGGAAGAAACCCCTCTGTTCAATATATGGTGCTGGGATAGCTGGCTAGCCATATGCCAAAGAATGAAACTGGACCCCTACCTTTCACCATATTATAAAAAATAACTCAAGATGGATTAAAGATTTAATTGTAAGACCTCAAACTATAGGAATCCTAGGATAAAACCTAGGAAATACCATCCTGGACATTGACCTTGGGAAATGATTTGTGACCAAGTCCTTAAAAGCAATTGCAACAAAAATTGATAAGTAGGACCTAATTAAACTAAAGAGCTTCTGTGTAGAAAAATAGAAAAACAAACCAACTATCATCAGCGTAGAAAGACAACCTACAGAGTGGGAGAAAATATTTGCAAACCATGCATTTGACAAAAGCCTAATATCCAGAATCTATAAGGAATTTACACAATTCAACAAGCAAAAAACAAATAACCCCATTAAAAAGTGGGCAAAAGATATGAATAGACATTTCTCAAAAGAAGATATACAAGCGGCCGACAAACATATGAAAAAATGCTCAGCATTTTTCATCAGCATTAATCAGCAAAACACAAATCAAAATGCAAATCAAAACCACAACAATCAGAATGGCTGTTTTTAAAAAGTCAAAAAACAACAAATGCTTGCAAGGCTGTGGAAAAAGGGGAATGCTTATACACTGTTGGTGGGAATGTAAATTAGTTCAGCCACTGTGGAAAGCAGTTTGGAGATTTCTCAAAGAACTCAAAACAGAGCTTCCATTCAACCCATTACTGGGTCTATATCCAAAGGAAAATAAATCATTCTACCAGATAGACACATGCATTTTTATGTTCATTGCGGCATTTTTCACAGTAGCAAGACAAGAAATCAATCTAGATGCCCATCAATGATGGATTGTATAAAGAAAATGTGTTGCATATACACAAGGAATATTACACAGCCATAAAAAGAATGAAATCAAGTCCTCTGCAGCAACATGGATGCAGCTGGAAGCTATTATCCTAAGCAAATTAATTCCGGAACAGAAAACCAAATATTGCATGTTCTCACTTATAAGTTGGAGCTAAACACTGGGTACACATGGATGTAAAGACGGCAGCAATAGACACTGGGGACTACTAGAGGTGGGAAGGAAGGGGACAAGGGTTCAAAGACTATTGGCTACTAAGCTTACTATCTGGGTGATGGGATCAATCATGCCACAAACCTCAGCATCACACGATACAGCCATGTAACAAACCTGCACATGTGTCACCTGAATCTAAAATAAAATTTGATATTATTAAAAAGTAAAAATGTGATCTTGGATTTTCCCTAATTTGTGGTGGTCAGTGCTCCTCTTGTGAGAAGGAATTAGCAGCACTAACTTGTTTCTAATTTAAAGAAATATAAATAAAAATTAGAATAATAATGATAATCCTTTTTAAGGTACTTTTCAAAATGTGCAATAACTTGATTTATTTGTTCATTTGTTCTTTGTCCCTCTTTCTAGTTTGAAAGCTCCATGAGGTCAAGAGCATTTACTTCAGGGACCTTGCCAAACACCATAACTAGAGTTGACTTTCAATAAGTATTTGTTAACTCCATTAAGTAATTAACTGTAAATTCTTAAGGGAGTAACCCTTCTAGAGATTATTCTGTGTTTTCATGTAGTCAGCAGTAATACCTTCCATGGACCCATCCATCTATCCACTCACCCACCCATCCATCTACCCATCCATCTTTTCAGCCAGCCATCAACCCGTTCGTTCATCCTTTAGACCACCCCTCCTTCCATCCCTAAAGATATCTAACGTTTAAGGACAGTCTTTACAAACGGATCCTTTCTTCTTGGTAATTAAAAAGAATGTCCTTCAGGAAGGAATTCCCTGTTCAAAGACTTTCCTTCCAGATCTTATAAAGTTGCTTGAGTAGGTTTTACAACAATAATGGCCCAATTTTCAAAATATGCAGTCTTCCTCAACTCCTCTCCTTGGCCTCTTCAATGGTGAAAGAATACATTAGGGTTCATTATGCTCCATTTCCCTCCCTAAAGCCCTGCTTTTTGGTTAGGAACTACTTTTTGACAAAGTAAAAGACTAAGTCCTTCCTCTTCCACAAAATTTACATTATTTATTTTGTAATATGACCAGAGGTTTTGAAGAAAATTCATTGCCATTCCTGTAGCTTCTTAATAATAAAGTATGACCCCTAAGACTTTCTATCTATCATGATCTCATTCATAAGCCCCACGGCTTCAACCATCACTTTTATATTGAAGCCTTCTGTCTTAGACTGTTTTCACCTTGTATAGCAGAATACCTGAGACTGGGTAATTTACAAAGAACAGGGATTTATTTCTTACAGTTCTAGAGATTGTGAAGTTCAAGATCAAGGGGCTGGCATCTGTTGAAGGCCTTCTCTCTGTGTCATCTGGCAGAGAGCAGAAGGGCAAAAGAACACATACATGCCAGAGAAGAAGGGGGCTGAACTCAGTTTTTAAATCAGGATCCCAATCCTGAGATAACAAATTCCAAAAAGAAAAAGAAAAAAGGAGAGAGTGAGTGGAGAGGAAGGGAGGTAAAAAACTAAACAAAAACAAGTTCACTTCAATAATATTAATCCATTTATGAGGGCAGAGCCCTCATTACCTAATGACCTCTTTAAGATCTCATCTCTCAACACCATTGGATTGGAGATTAGGTTTCCAGTACATGAACTTTAGAGGACACATTCAAACCACAGCACCTTCTGAATATGTACCTTGACCCCTGATTGCTTCCCCAAACTTCAGAGTTTTGTACCCACCTAGATGACCCACAGCCACCATCCATACACAGTGGTAGGGCAAGGAAAGGAAAGGAAAGGAAATGAAAGGAAAGGAAAGGAAAGATAAGAGAAGGAAGAAGAGAGGAGAGAGAAAAGAGAGATTGGCTGTTTTTATAGATTACTCCCCACCTTCCCTTCTGAGAATAGACTTCCAGAGAGTTTTCAGTATCTGTCAACAGCAGGGGCATGGGCCCCTTCCATCCAGAATTCTGGGAGGAGAATGCCATGTAGAGCCTGAAGACAGCATGGGGCAGCCTAGGTATAGTTTTGTTGTCTCATTTTTAGGCAGAAACAGAGGCTGGAGAAGATACCCCACTCTCCAATACCTCCAAGTCTGCATGAGGCAGAGAGAAGATACAAAAGTTCCATATCCTGGGGGTTGGGGCTGCCAAGGATTGAGTCAGGGGTTTGCCAGGAGTCACTGGGGTGGTTGGTGGAGAGTCATCTAGACCTGAGGGCTCCATGGCAGAGGAAGATCAATCCCAACTAGGAGGGCTGAGGTGAGGCAAGTCAAGGGCATGGTGGAGTGATGGGGTAGGGAAGGGGGATCAGGGATGGGGACAGATAGGACAACCACAGGGCTTTAACCATGTGTGCCAAGACAAGTGACCAGGAATCACTTTCCAGACCTTCAAAGAGTGCATGCAGTGAAGATGGGCCAACAAGCCTCCTCACCTGGGGTCAGTAGGAGCCCCGAGCAAGGACCAGGGACCAAAGCCCCACAACCAATGATGTTCTAAAAACTACTCCCTTCTCAGACATCCCAAGAAGTGAGGGAAGGGACAAAATTTTGAGAAATGAGGACGGAGTTCAATCTTTGAAATGATAAAATAGTAAGCCAACTCTGACTGAATATTCATGAAAAGGAGCTCAATTTTATGCTGAAAGTAACTAAGCTAGCTGTAATTGGCATAATTATTTTCACTGTCAAAAACGGGATCTCATAGAAATTGAGCTCAGTTTAGCATAATTAAGTAATATTTCTATAGTTTGGAGCTGTGACTCTGAAATTATTAGCACCTACACAAAATTGACCCCAAGATTTCTTACCAAGAAATAAATTTTACAAAAGTTCTCCGTAACACCAAATTTTTATAACCTTGAGATATTTAACACTGCTCTCTAGTCAGTTTTTTTTCACTTAGCCAAAAATTTTGAACATTTTCCTAAGTAACCAAATGTTCTTCCTCAATATAATTTTTAATAACAGAATGGTAATTGATCATAGGGCTGTTTCATAAGTTAATTAACTTATCCTTTTTTTGTTTTAACTATACTTAGATTGTTTCCTATTTTCTGCTATATGAATAGCAATGAGATAATGAACAACCTATAGATATATCTTCCAGGGCCTTTTTTTTTTTTTTTTTTTTTCTTTGGAGATGGAGTGTCTCGCTCTGTCGCCCAGGCTGGCGTGCAGTGGCGCGATCTCTGCTCACTGCAAGCCCCACCTCCCGGGTTCACGCCATTCTCCTGTCTCAGCCTCCCGAGTAGCTGGGACTACAGGCGCCTGCCACCACGTCAACTAATTTTTTTGTTGTTGTTTTGTATTTTAGTAGAGACGGAGTTTCACCGTGTTAGCCAGGATGGCTTCGATCTCCTGACCTCGTGATCTGCCCGCCTCGGCCTCCCAAAGTGCTGGGATTACAGGCGTGAGCCACCGTCAGGGCTCTTAAGATAATTTCTTTTTTTTTTTTTTTTTTTGAGACGGTGTCTTGCTCTGTTGCCCAGGCTGGAGTGCGGTGGCGCGATCTCCGCTCACTGCAAGCTCTGCCTCCCGAGTTCACGCCATTCTCCTGCCTCAGCCTCCCCAGTCGCTGGGACTACAGGTACCCGCCACTATGCCCAGCTAAATTTTTTTGTATTTTTAGTAGAGACGGGGTTTCACCCTGTTAGCCAGGATGGTCTCGATCTCCTGACCATGTGATCCGCCTGCCTCGGCCTCCCAAAGTGCTGGGATTACAGGCATGAGCCACTGCCCCCGGCCAAGATAATTTATTTGGAGTAAGTTTCTTGAAGTGGAGTTTCTGGACCAAACAGTATACATATTTTTAAAGTTTTGATCCATGTGACCAAATTGGCCTTGACAGATGTTATGCTACTTAAAATTCCAACTGAGTGCCTCTTTTCTTACCTCCTCAGCAACAATGGGTATTAGAGTGTTTAATTCTCTTTAAAAAAAAAAATCTTTTTGGGCTGGGCGCATTGGCTCATGCCTGTAATCCCAGCACATTGACAGGCCTAGAGAGGTGGACCATTTGAGGTCAGGAGTTCGAGAACAGCCTGGCCAACATGGTGAAACCCTGCCTCTACTAAAAATACAAAAAAGTTAGCTGGGCGTGGTGGCATGTGACTGTAATCCCAGTTGCTGGGGAGGCTGAGACAAGAGAATCGCTTGAACCTGAGAGGTGGAGGTTGCAGTGAGCACCACTGCACTCCCCTGGGTGACACAGCAAGACTCTGTCTCAAAAAGAAGAAAAGGGAAAAAAAGAAAAAATCTTTTTGATTAAAAATCATCTTGTTGGCTGGGCATGGTGGCTCATTCCTATAATCCCAGCACTTTGGGTGGTTGAGGCAGGAGGATCACTTGAGCCAAAGAAGGCTGCAGTGAGCTGTGATTACACCATTGCATTCTAGCCTGGGTGACAGAGTGAGACCCTGCCTCAAAAAAAAATCATCTTCTTTTAGTTTGTAATGATATGACTATAGTGAAATGAGACACTTCTTATTGATGGGTAAATCTCTCTCTCTACTAAGAATATCAATGCTTTGCTGCCAATATTTCTCCCAGCTTGGTATTTTAACAGGTATTGAGCTTCTCTGTGAACAAGGTAAAGTGACATGGAGGTATGAAAATGTCAGTGATGGCAAAAGCATTAGGGATGTGTGTATGTGCGTGTGTGTAACCAAATGATTTATGTTTTGAAGAAGTGGTTAATGGACAATGTCCTGTTACCATTTTTTATTTTGTACAAAGTAAAAAAATTCCTTTTTACTCCTCAAAAGGTTAACCATAGTTTAGAACAGGCAAATCCATAAAGGCAGAAAGTAGACTAGGGGTTGCTCAAAGTTGTGGGAAGGAGGGAATGGGGAGTGACTGCTAATGGGTACAGGGTTTCATTTTTGGCATGATGAAAATATTCTGGAATTAGACAGTGGTAATGATTGCACAACTTTGTGAACGTACTAGGAAACCACTAAATTATACACTTTAAAAGGGTGAATTTTATGGTCTGTGAATTATATCTCAATAAACCCAGTATTTTAAAAAGTCAATGTGCTTATTTTTCAGGTACACAGATGATATTTCCCTTTGAATAAAAAGGACAAGATGTTTTAAATTATTTTCTCAAGGCAGGAAGAATAGACTCTAACCTTACTGATCCAATACTAATTCAAGGCAAATGGGCATAAAGTTTGTATTTGGGGTGCTGAAAATTTTCTGGAATGAGATGATGGTGATGGTTGTGTAGCCTTGTGACTATACAGAACCCCAGTAAAGTGTACACTTAAAAATGATGAATTTTATGGTATATGAATGGTTAAATCTCAACTTTTAAAAAGTGAAATAAAAAGTTAGGTACAGATGCTCCTTGGCTTATGATGAGGTTATGTCCCAATAAACCCATCAAAAGTTGAAAATATCCTGTGAAAAATGCATATAATACCCCAATAAACCCATTGTAAAGTCAAAAATTATTAAGTCAAGCCATCATTAAGTTGGGGGCTGTCTGTATATGTACATAAAAATTTGTATACATGAATGTTCATAGCAGCATTATTTATAATAGCCTCCAGACAACCCAATGTCTATCAACTGATGAAAGAACAAGGTATGAGATACTCATACAGTGGAAAATTACTAGGCAGTAAAAAGGAATGAAATACCAATACATGCTACAACAAGGATGAACCTTGAAAACATTATGCTTAGAGAAAGAAAATATAATGGCCCAAAAGACTACGTTATATGACACCATTTATGTGAAATGTCCAGAATAGTCAAATTTGTAGAGATAGAAAGTAAATTAAACAGCTTTATTGAGCTCTGGGTTGCTCTGGGTGAAGAGAAAAATGGGGAGTGACTACTATTTGGTAGGGGCTCCTTTTAGAGCTGATGAAAATGTTCTCAAGTTCAATAGTGATGAAAATTCACCTTGTAAATATAATAAAAACCACTGAATTGTCCACTTTATTTATTTATTTATTTAGACAGAGTCTTGCTCTGTTGCCCAGGCTGGAGTGCGGTGGTGCACTCAGCTCACTGCAACCTCCACCTCCCAGGTTCAAGCAATTCTCCTGCTTCAGCCCCACTAGTGAGTGGCTGGAATTACAGGCATGTGCCACCATGCCCGGCTAATTTTTGTAGTTTTAGTAAAGACAAGGTATCCCCATGTTGGCCAGGTGGGTCTTGAACTCCTAACCTCAGGTGATCCACCTGCCTTGGCCTCTCAAAGTGCTGGGATTACAGGTGTGAGCCACTGCACCTGGGCAAATTGTCCACTTTAAATGGGTGAATTATATGGTATGTGAATTACTTCTCAATAAAGCTGTTTAAAAAGGAAAAAAAATTACTGACAAATAGTTACAAAATGTTGAGACAAAGGTTGAAGAGAGACAGATGGATGATAGAAGATGGCCTCTGCTAATACGATGTAAAAAAAGAAATCCTTGATCTTTGAGGAATCGCCACACTGTCTTCCACAATGATCTAGAACCAGAAATACCATTTGACCCTGCAATCTCATTACTGGGTATATATCCAAAGGAATATAAATCATTCTATTGTAAAGACACATGTGTGCCTATGTTCTCTGCAGCACTATGCACAATGACAAAGACATGGAATCAACCCAAATGCCCATCAATGATAGACTGTATAAAGAAAATATGGTACATATACACCATGGAATATTATGCAGCCATAAAAAGGAATGAGATAATGTCCTTTGGAGGGACACAGATGGAGCTGGAAGCCATTGTCCTCAGCAAACTAACACAGGAATAGAAAACCAAACATTGCATGTTCCCACTTATAAGTGGGAGCTGAACAATGAGAACACATGGACACAGGGAGAGGAACAACACACACTGGGGCTTGTCAGTGGGGTGGCAGGACAGAGAGCATCAGGATCAATAGCTAATGCATGTGGGGCTTAATACCTAGGTCATGGGTTGATAGGTGCAGCAAACCACCATGGCACATGTTTACCTGTGTAACAAACCTGTACATCCTGCACATGTATCCCAGAACTTAAAATAAAATAAAATTTTATTTACAAAAAGAAAAAAAAAACCCTTTTTTTTCTTCCCAACCTTTTCTCAATTGTAGGCAGCATTTATCTATTTCTTGAATCTATAATGATTCCTTTAACACTTTTCTAGATCTTGAGTTATTTGTTCAAATTATTTGTCTCCTCTCCAAGACTCATTGTTCTATACTTGTACGCATTGCAAATACTATGCTCACTTGCAGAGTTTTTGAAATCGCATGCATTTGTTTGCTCAATATTACGATGTATTATGTTACAATGAAGAGTTTAATGCCATCTTTAAATGCTTGCTTTTGCCTTGCACCCTTTTTTAAAATATAAAAGTGCTAGATTAAGCGTTCATGCCAGTTACCACAATTGTTGATTCTGCCAGAAGAGCATTTACCAGTAGGTTCTGGTTCTTGTTACCCAACTCCTTCCCTATGAAAATTATGTCTCCCTAGTAACTAGGTTGTTTTGGCCATTGTTTTGACTTTAACAGCCCTGGGAGTGGAATCTTGTCAAATGTTTTAAATCATAGCACTTCCAAATTCATTCAACAAACATTTATTGAGTACCTACTATTGGCCAGATACTGTTTTGCTATTTTTTTTAATCAACATTAAAGAACTCCAGCTGGTTAATCGAGCATGATTTTTCTCTTACAGATACCAGTAACAGCAATTCAAAGATGTGAATGGGATTAATTCAGGGCTGTTGCTCCTGACAGATAAGTCAGTCTACCTGTTGTTGAATGACATGCAGAAAAGAAATTTGGTAAGAAGAAAGTGATTTGAGTAAGTACTTTTTGAATTTGTAGAATATTTTTGTTTTTCAGCTTTTAAATAACATTTGATGTTAAATCCTTACAAGAACGTTGGGAGTCAGGCTGGGCAACACCTTCCCCATCATTCTTCTGTGGATGAGGACATGGAAGTCAGGGAGGTTAGCTGATGTGCTTGTTCAGAGGTGCACAGGAACCCAGAAAGTCCAACTCTTATTTCATCTTACCCTCTAGGTAAAACATCTAGGATCAAACAAGACTGATAATACAGTCTCCTAACCTTTTCCAAACTATTTTAATCAAACTTGATTCTAATGTGAAGTTGTCTTTAATAAGGAAAGAATCCCACTTAGCTATTTGCTCAGCGAGGTCTGGGATTCTATCTAATCTCTATATGTCAGTGTATAATTTGAGCAAGGTTAAAAAGAAAACTAAACATTTCCTTAATATTTGGAGAGGGTGGAGTCAGTCTATTTGTCTGTAAGAAATAAAAAGGTAAAGCGTATCCCTGCTTTTGGTGAGGAAAGTTCAGAAACGACTGTGTTTTGTTTCTGAAAACTTTGGAATACTTATCTTTGGCTAAATATCAAATATAAAAAATCCATAAAAAATTATCCTATGATAATTTTTGCTGGCCGCCCATGATGGCTCATGCCTATAAAGGCAGGAGGATCACTTGAGGTCAGGAGTTCGAGATCAGCCTGGCCAATATGGTGAAATCCCATCTCTGCTAAAAATACAAAAATTAGCTGGACGTGGTGGCATGATCCTGTAATCCCAGATATTTGGGAAGGTGAGGCAAGAGAATCGATTGAACCCAGGAGGCAAAGGTTGCAGTGAGCTGTGATTGTGTCACCACATTCCAGCCTGGGCGACAGAGCAATACTGTCTCAAAAAAAAAAAAAAATCGATAATTTTTGTAAAATTATACATAGTAAAAATAAATGGATCAGATTTTCCATCTGTTGCAAAAATTTTATAGCCTTAAATATTGCGCAAATGCGTGGTGGCTCATGCCTGTAATCCCAGCACTTTGGGAGGCCGAGGTGGGTGGATCACCTGACGTCAGGAGTTTGAGACCAGCCTGGTCAACATGGCAAAACTCTGTCTCTACTAAAAATATAAAAATTAGCCGGGCATGGTGGCAGGCATCTGTAATCCCAGCTACTTAGGAGGCTGAGGCAGGAGAATCGCTTGAACCCAGGAGGCGGAGGTTGCAGTGATCTGACATCATTCCACTGCACTCCAGCCTGGGCTACAAGAGTGAGACTCTATCTCAAAAACCAAACAAACAAAAATAATTAATTAAAATATATATATTGCCCAAATGTGTATAAATGCTGTATATGGAGTCATTTTCACAATAATTTCTCATTTTTATTGAGTACTAATTGTTTTCCAAGAACTGTTAGAAGTTGTTTGTAAGTATTAACTTATTTAATCTCACACACTGTGAAGTGAGCTCCATGTAACATAACATAACATAACATAACATAACATAACATAACATAACATAACATAATGTGGCATGACATGGTATGATGTGACATAACATACCTCCATCTTATAGATGAGGAAACTGAGTTTCTTTTTTTGTTCTGTTTTGTTTTTTTTTGAGATGGAGTCTCACTCTGTTGCCCAGGCTGGAGTGCAATGATGCAATCTCGGCTCACTGCAACCTCCGCCTCCCGGGTTCAAGTGATTCTCTTGCCTCAGCCTCCTGAGTAGCTGGGATTACAGCTGCCCGCCACCATGCCCAGCTAACTTTTGTATTTTTAGTAAAGATGGGGTTTTGCCAGGTTGGCCAGGCTGGTCTCGAACTCCTGACCTCAGATGATCCACCTGCCTCGCCCTCCCAAAGTGCTGGGATTACAAACGTGAGCCACCGTGCCTGGCCGAGAATTAGTTTCTTGACCAAAGTGTCTTTTAAGGAATAAGGGCAAGATTTGAACCCATGCGCTCAAGCACTATCCTCTGCTATCTTATTTAGGTTAATGCTCTTGTGCTAAGCAAGGTTCTATTTGAGTCCCTTCAGAATTCATGTGTTGAAATCCTAACCTCCAAGGTGATGGTAGTAGGAGGTGAGGCCTTTGAGAGGTGATTAGGTCATGAGGGTGGAGCCCTAGTGTATGGCATTAGTGCCCTTATAAAAGAGACCTTAGAGAACTCACTTACCCCTTCCACCATATGAGGTCACAGCAAGAAGACAGCTGTCTGCAAACAAGAAGAGGTCCCTCACCACACACCAGGGTCTCACTCCATTGCCCAAGCTGGGTGCAGTGGTGTGATCTTGGCTCACTGCAGCCTCAACCTCCCTGGGTTCAGGTGATCCTTCCACCTCAGCCTCCCAAGTAGCTGGGACCACAGGCACATACCACCATGCTCGGCTAATTTTTGTATTTTTTGTAGAGATGGGTTTTCATCAGGTTGCTCAGGCTGGTCTCAAACTCCTGACTTCAAGTGATCCTTCCGCCTCAGCCTTCCAAAGTGCTGGGATTACAGGCGTGAGCCACTGTGCCTGGCCGGATCTGCTGGTATCTTAATCTTGGACTTTCCAGCCTCCAGAACTGTGAGAAATAGATACCTGTAGTTTTAGCCACCCAGTCTACGGTGTTGTTATAGCAGCCCAAATAGAATAAGACATGTTCTTAGTTCAGATACCAGCAGCTTTCCCCATATTTATCAAATGCAAGCAGTGAGTTCACCAACACTAGGGCCTTGGGCAAAGTTTGAAGTCTTTCTTTAACACCTTTCCATTTCCCTGTACATATCTGTCATCCCCTTCTTTTGTCTCTGTCCACCATTTTCCCTCCTCTCATGGGCTGTGGCTCTGGTGTCTGGGGCTCCTAAGTCCTATCATGGAACTCCATCCAGGGCAGCCCTCCCGTTTAACTGACCTTTTCCTTCTTTTTTCCGAATCTAAACTGCCTCCACTGTGCCACAGCTATTATGAGATAAGCTCAGTCATATTTTATGTCTAAATAGAAACCTGTTGATTAGGCCAGAGCACAAAATCTGGCCAGGATTTCAGGGTGAATGAGAACAGTGACTTCTAAGGTAGCTTGCCTTTTGCCTGATTCCAACCCAGCAAGCAATGCAGGGAATAGACAAGACATCAAGAATGCAAAGGAGTGGCCATGACTATCCATTACCTTACCAGTTCCCTATGTAGTGAAATTCAATGGAACTTCCTAACTGCAGTGAAACAATGCTAGGTCAGAAGAGCCCGAAATGTGGTTCACTGCCTTTGGTATGCACGGTAGGGAAAGGGGGCACATCACAACCTGTTAGGGAATGCCTGCTTCTCCACAGTTACTTAATACTATGTTCTTATGTTCTTAGTTTTTGGGTCTACAGAGGAATTTACCATAAAGCTAATAACATTTAAGCTTCAGGACTCCTCATTTCCCCAGGCCTCTGTGAGTGGTGGGAGTTGCTTGGAGTTGTAAAGTATTCCACGTGAGGAGGGGAAGCCAGCATGCAATTAGAAAACAGAATTGTATAGGCATTTCTGTTAAATTTCCTAGAGACCTCAGAAGAAAGAGACTAACTGATTTCTTTTCTCAATCTGAATTAATAATCAGTTTCATGCCTAATTGATATTTGTGGTTTAATTAATTTATGTATTTATTTATTTTGAAGTGGCTCATAACTGCATATGCACCAGGCCCCACTCCTGAGGTCTACCTGCCCCTTATTATCCTAGCTGGATTACAAAAGAATAGAATTTGTTGGAAATTGATGTGGGGGCTAGCAGCTGGTGCTGCATATTCTGTTTGCCCCTCCAGACCTACTCTTCGCTCTTCTCTCCCTAGTCTGTCGCCCAGGTGGCTACTCTCTGTGGATGCTTCCCTGGCTCCCTTGCCATCAGGTTGTGGTCCATCAGTGAGATCTGTATTTTTAGTAGAGACAGGGTTTCACCATATTGGCCAGATCATCTGCAGGGGATGGGAGGACTGGAGGAGAGTGTTGATTTCTCTGACAATGGGTTGGCAGCAGGGTGGGCCTCATGGGTGTGCAAACTATGGAGTCAATAGAACCCCATTCTTAAGAAGGGCCCTGTGCTTGGTTTAATGCTTTTCTGTCACGGTCTTAAATTCTTCATTTTATATTTTTAAAAAAATTTCAACTGTTATTTTAGATTCAGGGGGTACAGGTACAGGTTCATTATAAGGGTATATTGTGTGATGCTGAGGTATGTCATTTTATCTTTGAATGTGTGTTTTGTAAGTGAAATCAAAGGGAAAGTGGAGCATATATGTGAACAGAGGGGTTACATGAAATATATGTGTCTGCAATTTCCAGTTGCTCCGTTTGAATATAGTATTTACGGTGTCCCCACGATCATAGAATGCCTATGTACCCATGCACTACATAAGGAATTCAGGGAGACTCAAAGCAAGTACAAGGTCCAGCTGATAAAGCCCCGAGATGTCATGCTTTCTATTTCAACCACAACTTGCTTAAAATTCAGAAAAAAGGCAATGAAATTTGAGAAACACATACAACCAAGGAGCCTCATCATATCGTTTCTTTCTCATGTTACTTCTCTGTTACTTCCTAACCACTTACACTAAAAATGATGTCATAGAAGGAAAGGGGAAGATAGGGCAAGCCATAGTTCCTTTTCCTTTCAGTCTTTCCTTCCTCATCCGTAAGCTGAAAGTAGAGTGTTGGAATACTGTATGAGTATAAGAAAGTGAAATGAAACAGTCGAGTTAGTTTTGTGCACTATTTCCACTGTTTCACTAGGAACAAAATATGTATATATGTACAAACTATGAAATGTAAGTGTATAATTTTCATGATTCTGCATGATAGTTAAATGCCCTTATAATGGCATTTAAAATTGGCATTGCACAAGATAAATGGTAGAATTCAGGCTAATAATTTAAAGTTTTAATGTTTTCTTTTTTCTTTTTTTTGTTTTATATTTTTTCACCAGCAGTTTCAATGTTCTCTTTATTTAGAATAGTGTTAGATACAAAATTTTAGAAACATGACAAGTTGAGGAAAGAAAAAGAGACGGCAGAAGGAAAGCAAAACTTTATACTTTAGTACCTTTACCACACTTTTTTCTTGCTTTTTTCAACTTGCACTGGGCTGCTCAAATTATATAGTGGGCTTTGGTTAATAGTGACTCTTTCTTCCACCGAAGTCCACAATTCCTGATGGGTGGCCATGTCCTGCAGCTACAGGTCTCCCTGGGCTCCAGGAGTTGCCCCCTTTTCCTTTGTTCTTCAAGCCTACTCCTGGTAGCACTCCGTACTGTGGGTAGCACTCCTGAGGGTAGGTGGGGTGTGCGGGGGCGTCACCAGAGAAGGGAAGTAGATTTCACCTTCCCTTGTTATTTTCCTTTAACCTCTGTCCACATCTGTGTAAGTTATTCTTTCATTAGTCTCTCTTTTACACTGCTCTGTTTGTTTGTGTATATTTTATTATGGACAATTTCAAACATAAATAGTTAATAGTATAACAGACGTCCACGTACCCAGTATCTAGCTTCAACAATAATTTTTTCACCCCTTTGGAGTGTGTCATTTGCTTCCTGCTGGGATCTTGGCTGATAGAAGGCCTGCTTATGCATTTTGACTATTCATCATACCCCTGTCCTCAACAGGGACCAGCAACTTGACAGCTTGTTTCTAAAAAGAAATTAATGAACATTGACCTACAGATTAAAATGGCGGAAGTAGCCTTAAACATATTCCCTGCCTGTTCAGTGAAGCTTGGTTCCCTAACTTCCTCCTGGGCATCCAAGCTCATCTGAAACTATGTTTTGTTTTGTATGCAAAGCTACAAAAAGAGGGCATGCTTTGTACCCTCTAAAGTAAGTGACTCACATTAATTAACAGCATTTATTCCCACCAATTGATAAATGCTTTATCTTTTCACTTGTAGGAGAAAAGGAAACATGTAGGAAGAATTATTTTCTTTGTGAGGAGGTCCTCTTTGTGAGAGGACTGATTACATGGTCATAGATCAGCAGCATATTTGTCTTCCTCAATTTCATGAACATAATTTTGTCATTAATGAGATTTGCTAGTAAAGCAGAAATGTCATGTCTACAAGGATAGATTCACTCTTAGTATGAGACCCTCGCCACTTGTCTCATCAAAAATAATCATTTCGGGTTTAGTTTTTTTACTAGTAGACATAATAAAAGTAATATATTACTATTCCATAAATAGGCATTTGGAATTAGTCTCTTTTTCATCATATCCCATCAAGGATACCATAGAATTGTCCAAATCAATAGGAAAATAGAGAAGGAAGGGGTTGGGGAAAAAACTAATCTTTATTTTTTTGAGATGGAGTCTTGCTTTGTCACCCAGGCTGGAGTGCAGCGGCCCGATCTCAGCTCACTGCAACCTCCACCTCCTGGGTTCAAGCAATTCTCCTGCCTCAGCCTTCCAAGTAGCTGGGATTACAGGCATGTGCCACCACGTCCGGCTAAATTTTTCTGTATTCTTAGTAGAGACAGGGTTTCACCATATTGGCCAGGCTGGTCTCGAACTTCTGACTTTGTGATCTGCCCACCTTGGCCTCCTAAAGTGCTGGGATTACAGGCATGAGCCACCTCACCTGGCCAGAACTAATATTTATTGAATGCCTTCTTTGTGTTATAAATATTTATTGTCAATTTAATCCTCACAGTAATCCTAGGAGGTAGATGTTATTATTCCTGCATTATAGAGGAGGAAGGTGAAGCTCAAGGAGGTTAAATTGCTCCAAAGTCTACAGCTACATGATAATTACAAAAGCCACTATTTATGTTTTGCAGAGCTTGACCCTATGCAAAGCACTTTAGATCCATTAGGAAATTTTACCCTCCGTTGTAAATCACATTATGTCCATAATACAGATTAGGTGAGTGAAGCATCTTGTCCAGGGGCACATAGATATTAACTGGCAGTGTCAGAATTCTGAGTCAATTTTGTCTGACTCAAATCCTTGCTATTCTCACTCCCCTCTGCTGGTTCCCAAGGGAGATGGGTACAATTTCTGTTACAATTTCTTTTTCCATCTTGAACTTCTCTTCCCTTTTGCCAATGTTCATTCAATCATTCTGATCTTTCTCTTTGATAAAGGGCACAAAATCAAATGTGAGTAGACAGCTCCTTTGTCACCATATTGCATTGCATAGTCAATCTCAACAGTGGGTCTGTTCTTTCTTTGATCGTTTTCTTGTCTAATGTTTAATTTTCTCTGTTCATTGTCTCCAGATATTTTCACACATGCAGTCCTAAAATATCTTAAAAAGTAATATATTTTAAAATTGATGCATAAAATTTATCATTTTAATTTTACATTAAAATTTTATAATATAAAATTTTTTATATACAACTCTTTTACCAAGAGTTGTATATACTTACATATATATAATTTCTGATATAACTAATGACATCTAAAAAATAAATATCACATTATTCGTTGATATCTATACGGTGAGATCTAAATAGTATAGCAATTTGATGCCTTATCCTACTTTCTAATTTATTTTTTATTGTATGTATTTATGGTATATAGCATGATGTTTGGACATACATATATCCAGTGAAATGATTACTACAGTCAAACAAATTAACATATCCATCACCTTCCATAGTTACCTTTTGTGTGTGTGTGTTTGTTTGTGTGTGTGTTGTGTGTGTGATATGAGCACCTAAAATCTACTCTTAACAAATTATCAATGTATAATATTAAGTATAGCCATCAGGCTGTCCATTATATACTTTTAAAATATACATCATAAAGTTCTTCTTTACCTGCAGGACATTTTCTTTTGTTTATTTACTCCTTGAAATTATATTTCCATTCCACTTCCTACTATTTTTTCTACTTTAAAGAATTTCATAAGTACATACTTCTCCACAACAAAAATATGTAAAAAAATGAAAATAATTTTAAATTTCCTGTGATGGTTCAATTCTGTTAGAAAATTCTACACAATTTCTTAAAACCACATAAATATATTACAAATATTGATGGGTAATTATTAAACATAAAATGTAAGACTGCATTGGAATTGCAGTTCTTACTGAGATGGGTAGTATTTTCCCCCCATATACCCATGGTAAATATACCAGGAATAGCATCAGTGCTATGATTTGGTTGCTACAGGTGCTGAGAAGCTTTTCAACTAAATAAATAAATGGGAATGAGAGTTTTGTTATGGCAATGGGGCTCAATTCTTTGAATTCTTGTTCAGTTACACACCAAAAATTATATGGTAATCTATCATCAAGATGGTTTTTAGTGATCTCTCCTCTGTGGACTTGATTAGAAGTCTTTCACTTTGGTGAAAAGCAGAGAATTAGAATCCATCTAACTTGCAACAGGATTAATTATCCCATCATTGCAATCATTTTTTCCCCTTTTTTGAGTGTTCTAGAGGTTTTTGCACCTGAGGCAATGCATTCGTAGGCTTGGGATGAGTGTGAGGTATGCCTTTCTATATTATCAAGTGATAAAAGCAAGATGATTGGGCAGGGGAGATAGGAAAGGAGAACAGCCCGATGATGACCACAGGACAAGCTTATCAGAAAACCTATTCCTTTGAAACTATCCATGCCCACTTACCCCTTAGGAAAACTCCACATACCTTCCCTCCTCTGCCTGAAGACTGCTGATCTGTAGACTTCACTCATTTGGTGCTATAGCACCTTGGCACTGTGGATAAATGTTGAGGCTGATCTCCTACATTGTCCTGTGGGATGGCTTTTTTTCTCCTCCCATTTTTAGCACATATTTTCTTAAACTTTCAACTCTTTCAAAAGCTTCTTTAGTTAGCCATGTGTGGTGATGTGTGCCTGTAGTCCTAGCTACGATGGAAGCTGAGGCAGGAATGATCACTTGAGCCCAGGAGGTCGAGGCTACCGTGAGCCATGATCATGCTACTGCACTCCAGCCTGGGTAACAGAGTGAGACCCTGTCTCAAGAAATCAAGTAAAATAAAATAAAATAAAATAAAATAAAATAAAATAAAATACAATAAAAAATAAAGCTTCTTTAGGGCACTATAAATAAGACAGCAACATTTGTGCACAGATGTTTTATAATCCTGGCCAATTCAATTTTAAAAAAGAAATAAAAAGAGAAAGAAATAAGGAGAGAAAGGATGAAGAAGAAAGAAAAAGAAAGACCATAAGGAGTAAAGGAAGAAAGAAAGATCACAAATACTCTTGAAGATAGAGAGGAGAGTTACAAAAGGCTGATTCTGTATGGAGGGGCTGTACATGGTATATCAGGCATGTGGGGATTCAGGTTTCTCTTTCCACACGTATACAGACATTGACTGGTTACCTCTGTTCAGCATCTGTTCCTCGCTTCCCTCAGCAAGAGTACCCCCAGCTCATTCCCAATTATCTGGCTTTTATGATTGAGCCCATGTCAGCTCCATGAACAAGACCTGATTGCTGACCTAGGCCAATCAGTATATCCCATACTCCTGGCTATAGGAATTGATTGGTTCAGTTAAGCAAATAGTCCAGTCCAAGAGATTATGCTCATGCTTCTATGGAGAAAGAAAGCATACATGCTTTAAATATATCCGTTATTGGCAGAGAGACGCTTTCTTTGCTGCTGGACATGAGTGTGGAGATGTAGCACCAGGAGCCTCTGGTAGCCATCTTGCAACCATAAAGGCAAAAGTGTCTTAATTTTTTTTTTTTTAATTTTTGTGGGTACATAGTAGGTGTATATATTTATAGGATACTTGAGATGTTTTGACATAGGCATGCAATGTGAAACAAGCATATCATAGAGAATGGTATGCATCCCTTCAAGCATTTATCCTTTTAGTTACAAATAGTCCAATTACATTATATAAGTGACCCAACGCTATTGGTTTCTACTACAATTTTTTTTTTCAATCTTGAGCTTCTCAAAGTTCTTGGCAGGACCAAGAAAGAGAAAGAAACTGCGTGCCAGTCATGGTTATTTGACCAAATCAACCTCTATCTGATCCAGATAAGTCCCCAAATATTCTGTTATGTGAACCAATGAAATTTCCTTATTGTTTTTCAGTTTTAATGGGATTTCAGTGACTTGCAGAAAGAATGATAAATTATATAAAAAGTAATAATATAGTAACTCACTGTAATCAGAATATCTCTGCATTTATTTTTACTCTTTTTTTTCTGCACATATTGGGATTCACAGACACATGTTTTGAAGAAAGCATAGCGTTGCTTAAAAACAATGAAAAGCCACAGACCTAAAAAGAAAAAAGAAAAGAAAAGCCATAGACTTAGATCTTGATTCATGTCAGGAAAGATACTGGTGTTTATGGGGGTCAATACATAGCACCCATCTTTTCTCTACCTCATCTCCAAAGCCACTGAGATCTAGATCAAAATGTGAATATTCTTCTGATGGAGCTGCTGCAGTCATGGCGAGCTTCCTAATAGTTCAGACCTAGCTGGACTTTCTCACCCAGCCACAGGCAGCACCGAGCCAGCACAGGCCTGTTCTTGGGAAACTAATGATAAGGGTGCATAAACAAATGAAGACTTCATAGACAGGCTGACTTTTAAGAGAAGAGAGAAAGGAGGGGCATGGCTACAGTACCAGTGTCTTATCTCAGCCAGTATGTCAATCCTCTTACCCAGAATAAGATAAGAATAGTCAGGGGCTGAGAGTCAAGAAAGCAAATGTACAAAAATATGTAATGAGAATTGTGGCAAATACTAGAAAGGAAACAAACAAGGCCTTGTGAGAAAATAACTGGGCAGGGCTGCTTTAAAAGGGATAGCCCAGCAAGGCTCTATGAGAGGACATTTAAACTGAAGCCCAAAGGACGAAAAGGAAACTGTCATTCAAATGGGGGAGGAGATTAGAGACAGGAGAGCATTCCAGGTTGAAAGATCCTGCAAATACAAAGTCCCCAGGGTGGGGATGAGTATAGGCTAGGGGTGCACAAGGTGAAGCCTTTAGGCAAGGCTGAACCATGCCTTAAGTGGGGATCAGGTGTTTGGATTTTGTTCCAAGTGCAATGGGGAGTTGTTGAACCATCAAATAGGAGAGTGACATGAACTGATTTATGGTTTCAAAAAATACCTTTGGCTGTTCTGAAAATGAGCTGGGCAGGTTTCAGAGCAGAGACAGGGAGGTCAGTTGGGAGAACATTGTAGTAGCCCAGATAAGAGATAGTGGTCTAAAGCAGTGCCAGTGGATATACGCAGAAGGTAATGGGTCTGAGACATATTTTGGAGTTGGCTAGACACAGTATGCTGATGGATTAAATATAGTTGACTAAGGGGTGCCTAGATTTTTTGCCTAGAGCAAAAACATATATTATTTCCTCCCTCCCTTCCTTTCTTTCTTTCTTCTTTCTGTAAATAAAATGTACAAGAGGCCATTGGTTTGGACTTAACTCCTGCACTAAGCCCAACAGACCAAACCAAATGGAGTTACTCGTGCTGAAGTTCCAAGCCACCATGCTGAAATTAATCTGTTTATCTGAACTTCAGAGAAATCAGGGGAAAGAGAGATAATAGCCAAATCCCCAAACAGGCCAGTTTTAGCTAGCATGATAAAGAAGTCACTTCTGCTTTAACCTTTACAAAGAAAGTAACTATGAAATGACCAATCCACTTTTTATTCTCAGTTTCGTTTATTCAGCCTATAAAGTCAATCTCTTCTGCTCAGCTCCTCGGAATACCAATTCTATTTTATAGGGATTGCCTGATTCTGGAATCACAAATAAAAGTCAATTAGATCTTTAAACCAAACTTGTGATTTTGTCTTTGACCCTTCCTTTTTTCCTCTTTTTCTTCTTTCTTTCTCTTCCTCTTCTATTCTTCTTTGCCTTATTCATATTTTTTTGTATGAGAAGAGTACATCAATATTTCATGTACAGACATGTTAAGTTTGAGATATATAGTCGAGATTCAACTATAAGGATAAGAGATTCTGGAGTTTAAAGGAGATGTTTAGTTTGGATACATATATATATATTTGGGAATTATCAGCAATTACATGGCATTTAAAGCCACAGGAATAATTGAGAGCATCTAGGGAGAGGGTAAAAGAAGAGAAGAAGTGCAAGGAATCAGAAGATCTCCAACATTTAGAAGTCTAATAGAAGCAAAGGAGCTAGAAAGGAAACTGAAAATGCATAGCCAGTTGGGTAGGTGGAAAACTAGAATATAGCCTCATGGAAGTCAAGGGAAGAGCACTTTAAAGGAGGGGGTGGCCAACTGTATCATATGCACAACAAGAACACGGTGAAATGAAGACAGAAAGATCTCTTGCATTTTGTCCCATGGAAGTCTTAGGTTGCCCGTAACAAGAGCAGTTTTAGTAGGGGAAAGAAAGATAATCATAAAGAGTTGAAGAATGAATGGGACGGGGAAAGGATGGTCTCATCAACAAATAATTTTAGGATATTTGGATATCTATTGCAGAAGAAAAAAATTAGACCCTTATCTCATACCATATACAAAAATCAACTCAAAATGGATTGAAGATTAAACATAAGACCTGAAAATATAAGACTACTAGAAGAAAACATAGGGACTTAGCTCCATGACATTGGTTTGGGCAATTACTTTTTGGATATGACCCCCAAAGTACAAGCAACAAAAGTGAAAATAAACAAATGGGATTATATCAAACTAAAAAGCTTCTGCACAGCAAAGGAAATGATCAACAGCATGAAAAAACAACCTATATAATGGGAGAAAATATTTTCAAACCATACATCAGCTAAGGGGTTAATATTCAAAGTATATAAGGAACTCAAAAACTTACTAGGAAGAAAACAAATAACTCAATTTAAAAAATGGGCAAAGGACCTGAATAGACATTTCTCAAAAGAGGACATACAAATGATCAACAGGTATATGGGGGGAAGAAAAAAGCTCAATAACACTAATCATTAGAGAAATACAAATGTAAACTACAATAACATATGACCTCACAACTATTAGAATAGCTATTATGAAAACGACAAACGATAACAAGTGTTGGTGAGGATGTGGAGAAAAGGGAACCCTAGCACACTGTTTGTGGGAATGTAAATTAGCACAGCCATTATGGAAAACAGCGTGGAGATTCCTCTTAAAAATAAAACTGCCGTATGACCCAGCAATTCCACTTCTGGGTACATATCCAAAGGAAATGAAATCAGTATGTAGAAAAGATATCTGCACTCCCATGATCCCTGCAGCACTATTCACAATAGCGAAGATATGGAATCAACCTGTGTTCATCAATGAATGAATGGATAAAATATATGTGGTATATATGAAAAACTATTCAGCCTTAATAAAGAAGGAAATCCTGTCTTTTGTGACAATATGGATGAACCTGGAGAACATTATGTTAAGTACAGTAAGACAGGCACAGAAAGAAATACCATATGACCTCACTCATATATAGAATCTGAAAATTTGAACTCATGGAAGCAGAGAGTAGAATGGTGGTTACCGAGGGTTGTGGAGGGAGAGAGGTTGGGGAGTTGTTGATCAAAGGACACAAAACCTGAGTTAGACAGGAGGAATAAGTTAAAGAGATCTATTGTATAGTGCGGTGACTACAGTTAATAACAATGTATTGCATGCTCAAATGTTGCTAAGAGTAGATTTTAAGTGCTCTCACCACAAAGAAAGTGAGATAATGCATATGTTAATTTACTTTATTTAGCCACTCCACAATATATACATATTTCAAAACATCATGTTGTACACTGAAATTTTTAAAAAATCATTAAAGCACCCAAAAAGCCTATAAAATAAAAATAAATAAACAATAATTTAAATGAAGAACAAGAATGAATGGGAGGTGAAGAAATGGAAACAGAGCTCTAGAAAACTCTTTTTGATAGATTTTGCTGTGAAGGGGGAGTTGAAAAGCTGTAAATAGAAGGAAATGTGGGGCCAAAGGAGGTGTTTGTGTGTTTCTTTGCTTGTTTAAAGATGGGAGATTCTATGGCTGTCTGTTTGCTGATGGAGCTGTGATCTAGTAAGGTGGGATGTAGTGACATGCAGGAGAGAAAAGGGTAAAGCAAAGAAGTGAGGTCTTCGAGAGGAAGGGAGGAAATAGTCCAAAGCACAAAGATTGAGACTGAAAATTGAGAGTGAAGCCTGCCCTTCGCCTAACTGGAGAGAAAAAGAAGGTAGAAGCAGAAATGAGGCTGGGCATGGTGGCTCATGCCTGTAATCCCAGCACTTTGGGAGGCTGAGGCAGGAGGATAACTTGAGGCTAGGAGTTCGAGACCAGCCTGGGCAATATTAGCAAGACCCCATCTCTACAAAAAAATTAAAAATTAGACAGGCATAGCTGAGTAGCTGGAGCTACAGGCGTGCACCACCTGTGTGCCGCCTGCTCTACAGGTGGCACACACCTGTAGTCCCAGGTATTTAAGACACTGACGCAGGAGGATCACTTGAGCCCAGGAGTTCGAGACTGCAGTGAGCCATGATCGCTTCACTGCACTCCAGCCTGGGCCACAGAGCGAGCCTCTGTCTCAAAAAAATGAAAAGAAGGCCAGGCACAGTGGCTCACGCCTGTAATCCCAGCACTTTGGGAGGCCAAGGCGGGCAGATCACCTGAGCTCAGGAGTTTGAGAACAGCCTGGCCAACATGGTGAAACCCCGTCTCTACTAAAATGCAAAAATTAGCTGGGTGTGGTGGTGTGTGCTTGTAATCCCAGCTACTCAGGAGGCTGAGGCAGGAGAGCTGCTTGAACCTGGGAGGCAGGGGTTGCAGTGAGCCGAGATCACGCCACTGCACTCCAGCCTGGGTGACAGAATGAGACTTGATCTCCAAAAAATAAAATAAAATAAAATAAAATAAAATAAAATAAAATAAAATAAAATAAAAAAAAAAACAAAACGAAACAGACATGAGCAGGCAAAGAAGATGAGTGAGGTTCTGTCTGATTTTCTATTTTCTTACTGCTATCCAAGGCCTAGGATAGAGTAATATAGCTATATCACCCTCAATAATTACGATGTCTTATAATTATATTTTAAATCCTGCCATGTATAAATCAAAATATGACTTAATTGGTAACGTTATGAGACTTTCCATAGATATAAATTTACAAAGAATAACAACTTTCTTGGTTAGAGCATGTGTGCGATTTTTTCAATATAAGTACAGTCTAATCGACCACATTTAGAATGAAATATGAGAACCAAGAGTATTCTATGATTATGATTATAGATATAATTACTGACAGTTGAAATTTGCTTGCTTGAGTAGACCAGATAATTAAAATATCATGTTAAATAGGCTTAGGATCAAACCTATACAGAACTGACGGCTTTGCAAAGAGAAAAATTTCCATGGCTGGAGAACTGCATTCTTAACCTGGGCCAGGTATTTCAAAAATATGCTGTTTTGGTCATGAGGGAATACAGGGAGGGAGGAGCGTGGGTGGGGACAGAAATGTTACAGATGACTTTGTGCAAACTCATCACCACTGTAGGAAAAACAACACAAAACCACGACCCAGTCAGTAACATTATCTTAGGTCTATAGAGAACTGGCACACTTTTTGGCTGACTGTCATCCTCAATAATTTATCTTGTAGTTACACAATGTGTTTCCTTAAGAAAACTCAAAGAGCACTATACAAGTTATTTCATTGTCTTCGTAACATTCTGAAGATAAAAGCAGAAGGGAAGTTGTCTAGACCAATGCTATCCAATAGAAATATGACTCAAGCCACACATGTAATTTAACATTTTCTAGAAGGTACTTTTTTCTTTTTTTTTGAGACCGTCTCCCTCTGCTGTCCAGGCTGAAGTGCAGTGGTGTAATCATGGCTCACTGTAGCCTTGACCTCCTGGGCTCAAGCAATCCTCCCACCTCTGCCTCCCAAAGTGGTGGGACTACAGGCATGTGCCATCACGCCCAGCTAATTTTTGTGCTTTTTGTATAGACAGGGTCTCGCCATGTTGCCCTGGCTGGTCCCGAACTCTGGGCTCAAGTGATCTTCCTGCTTGGCCTCCCAAAGTGTTGGGGTTACAGGCATGAGCCACTGTACGCTGCCTTAAAAGCTACATTTTTAAGACCTAAAAAGAAATAGGTGAAAATAAGTTGAATATTATATTTTATTTAACCCACCACATCTAAACTATTATCATTTCGCCGTAATGAATATAAACAATTGTTCATGAAATCTGTTACATTCTTTTGTTTGTACTAAGTCTTTGGGTTTATTTTTTTTCAGCTTTTATTTTTAGATTTAGGGGGTACAGTACTAAGTACTTTGAAATCTAGCGTGCATTTTACACTTCCAGCAAACCTCAATTCAGACAGGCCACATTTCACATACTCAGTAGCCACATAACAGCACAACTCAAGAGAATAAAAGAAAGGGCGACAGTCACAGAACCTGAAGTCCAGACTCTATTGCAAGCTAAGATAATGTGAGTCACAGTTTGTCACTGCCCTGCTTAAAATCCTCCATGGGTTTCCTGTCACACCTATCACAACAGCTGACGTCTTACCTGTAAGGCTGCACATGGAACTGCCCCTGCCTTCCTTACTGATTTCATAGCCTGCTAATTTCCCCCTCATTCTGTCCCCATCCTAGGCCTTCTCCTTTGCTGAGTCCAGTTCATTCCTATGTCAGGTTGGTGGCACTTCCTCCTCCTTCAGCCTCAAATATATCTTCTCGTGGCTCAAACCGTGACTTAATTCATGTTTTTGCTGAAAAGTCATTTTATAAAGGCCGGCCTATGATCAGAAATAGCTCCTTCGCTAGCCACTCTCCACCTACTTACCCTGCTTTCTTAATGTTTAATTAATTAATTAATTAATTAATTTTGAGATGAAGCCTTGCTCTGTCGTGCAGGCTGGAGTGCAGTGGCACGATCTCAGCTGACTGCAACCTCTGCCTCCCAGGTTCAAGCAATTCTCCTGCCTCAGCCTCCCAAGTAGCTGGGACTACAGGCGCATGCCAATAAGCCTGGCTAACTTTTGTATTTTTAGTAGAGATGGGGTTTCATCATGTTGGCCAGGCTGATCTCGAACTCCTGACCTCAAGTGATCTGCCCTTCTTGGCCTCCCAAAGTGCTAGGATTATAGGCATGCTCCACCACACCCGGCCTTAATGTTTATTGTGCTAAGTATTGAAAGTATATATGCATGTATACTGTTTTATATATACATTTTTTTTTTGAGATAGGATCTTACTCTTGCCCAGGCTGGAGTGCAGTGGTGGGATCACAGCTAATTACAGCCTCAACCTCCCACGCTCAAGAGATCCTTCTGTCCCTGACCCCAGTAAATGGGACTACAGGCATGTGCCACCATGACTGGCTAATTTTTAATTTTTTGTAGAGACAAAGTCTTGCTATATTGCCCAGGTGGGTCTTGAACTCTTGGGCTCCAGTCATCTTCCTGCCTTGGCCGCCCAAAGTGCTGTGATTACAGGCATAAGCCATGGCACCCAGCCTGAATTTTGTTGTTGTTGTTGTTTACTATCATCTCCTCCACTGGAAAGTAAGTTTTATGAGGTCAGGGGCTTTGGTTTGGTTTGTATACTGTTAGATTACAGCACCTGGCACACAGTAGGCTTGTTGAATGGATGAGTCATTTTGGGCAGGTCATTTGGAGGGTACAGTGCAACATTTAGGAGCTTGCACTCTGAAGTGAGACTCCTTGAGTTTGTACTGTAGCCTGTCTGCTGACTAGCTCTGTTCCTTTGAGTAACTGCTTAACCTCTTGCAACCTCAGGTTCTTCATCTGAAAAATTGGGATGTTAATAATATCTACTTCGTAGAGATGATGTTATTTTGAGGATTAAATGAGATAAACTAGGTCAAATACTTAATACAGTATCTAGCTCATAATAGACTTGAGAAAAATTGCTATTATCTATTAAACAGAGATGAAAACGAGTGCTTCTGCTTAGACATACTTCACCTACTCCAGTGCTCCATAGCCTTGGCTCTGGTCAAGGTTCCTAACAGACGTTCCTCTGTGTGATCCATCCTTATCTGTTACCCTTTTGGCACCACTCGATAGGTTGAACGTTCTCCTCCCTGATTCCCACAGGACACAGACTTTCCTACTACTTTTCTGCTTGTCTCTGTTCATGCCCCTTTGCAGGCTCCTCATCCTCTCCCCTTTTTATATTTGTTCAGGCTCTGCCTTTGACACTGATTATTCTTTCCTTTTTCTTCAATTTTTCAATTCTGTTAATATACACATAACACAAAATTTACTATGTTTAAGTATATACAATTCAGTGGTATTAAATATTCATAATGTTGGGCAATCATCACCACCATCTATCTTAACTTTTCTTATTTTATAAAACTGAAACTCTATGCCCATTAAACAGTAACTCCCCATTTCCTTCTTGCTTCAACCCCTGGCAAGTACCATCCTACTGTCTGTCTCTATGATTTTGACTATTCTTAAGTACCTCATGTAAGTGGAATCATACAATATTTGTCTTTTTGTAATTGGCTTATTTTTCACTTAACATAATGTCAAGGTTCATCCATGTTGTAACATGTGTCAGAATTTCCTTCCTTTTCAAGGTTGAGTAATATCCCATTGTGTGTCTACATCACACTTTGTTTAACCATTTATCTGTCAATAGACACTTGAACTGCTTCCACATTTTAGCTATTGTGAATAATGCTGTTATAAACGTGGGTGTGCAAATATGTCTTTGAGACCCTATTTTCAATTCTTTTGGGCATATACCTAGCCACCGATTACTCTGTATACCTTCTACCTGAGCAATCTCATCCACCCCCAGGACTTCAATTGCCATTTCTTTTCTTTCTGCTTTATTTATTTATTTATTTTTTGAGATGGATCTCACCCTGTCGCCCAGGCTGGAGTGCAGTGGCATGATCTCAGCTCACTGCAACCTCTGCCTCCCGGGTTCAAGTGATTCTCCTGCCTCAGCCTCCTGAGTAGCTAGGATTACAGGTGTGTGCCACCATGCCTGCCTAATTTTTGTATTTTTAGTAGAGACGGGGTTTTACCATGTTGGCCAGGCTGGTCTCGAACTCCTGACCTCAGGTGATCTGCCCGCCTTGGCCTCCCTGATGCTGGGATTACAGGCATGAGCCACTGTGCCTGGCCTTCAATTGCCACTTCTATGCTGATGATTCCAAATCTACATCTCTAGTCCAGCTTTCTCTCCTGTGCTCCAGGTCCGTACCTGTGATGCCCTTACAGCCATTCTGCTTGGATATCCAATATTGAAATTATTCTATTTCCTCCAAACCTGCTGCCCTTCGGTATTTCCTGTCTAAATGAATGGCAACTCCATGTACCCATCGTCCAAACCAGAAAATGTGGTATCAATCCGGAGTCCTCCCTCTCCAATCCCACAATCCAATCAACCTCAAAGTAGTCACACATCTACTTCTACATACTCCTATAGTCATACCCGAATTCAGGTCAATATCACTTCCTGTCTACCTTCCAGGGTACTGGTAACTAATAGCTTCCTAGAGACACCTCTGTATCCATTCTTTCCTCCCTCAAATTCTTTTCCATAAAGTAACTAGAATAATTTTAATAAAATGCAAATCTGATCTCATTATCGGATGCTCAGATCTTCATTGCTTAGAACTCCAATGTGATGGGTAGCTCCCCCTTGCCTTTAGGACAAAGTCAATGTTTTTAGCCATTTAATATTTAGTTATACATATTTTAAGTTTTATATACACACCTGTTACAAACAAACAAAACAGCAGCCCTACAACATACCCTCTCCCATATCACTGTCCACCATTTCTTATGGTTCAGTTCCCTAGGGGCAACCCCTTCCAGCTATTCTACCTGATTCCTTTGAAATTATCTCCATATCTCTAAATAACGTATTTATAGTGCTATTAAAGTTTTCCTCAGTAACCTCTAACTTTAGAAATGAAGATTTAATTTCACCAAACCCCATAGGTACCCATACGCATGTACACCTTCCATTCTTCTTCTTCCCAACATGATCATGATTTAATAATATTGCATTCAGTATTTGCACTGATAGGACTTTCTACATATTTATTTCTATATATTTATTTATATCTCACCATATAGTATACTATGCTATGAGTACACTTCCTTTCTTGTACTGCTTTTTGTTTGTTTTTTTTCTGGAGTTAATAGCTCTCTTTTTCCTCCCCTGTAACTTTATTTTTGTGATGAAGATGCTGACTCCATTTTTGTCGTTTGACTGTTGATAGCTTTCTTCTTTTATCTTTTCTTTCCTTTTTTTTTTTTTTTTTTTTGAGACAAGGTCTCACTATGTTGCCTAGGCTGGAGTGCAGTGGTGTGAAGACAGCTCACTGCAACCTTAACCTCCTGGGCTCAAGTAATTCTCCCTGACCACAGGTGCCTGCCATGACACCAGGTTATTTTTATTTCATTTTATCTATTTATTTTTTGTAGAGAAGAGGTCTTGGCCATGTTGCCCAGGCTGGTCTTGAACTCTTGGGCTCAAGTGATCCTCCTGCCTTGGCTTTCCAAAATATTGGGATTATAGGCATGAGCCACCATGCCTGGCCTGTTGACAGTTTTCAATTACTACCACTTTTTCTTGTCTCCTGTACATCTGGGAACCAGGATAAAAAAAACCTGTGTAGGCCCTTGCTTCTGAAAGCCAATGAGAATTTAAAATGACACTCTGGCCCATTCTAGGAGAATTTTCTTCCATGCTAAGTCTATCCTTTAACCACAATAAAATCCCCAAACCACGCCCAGCCTTTTGCTCATCTTCTTTCCCTTTTGGGAACCCCCTAATTACTGTACTAAATCTAGTTTATTCATATTCACTGGTGAGTGCATTGTGTCATTTGTCTGGATACCTAAATTTCTGGGTGGGCAATCATGCCCATCTCTGTGCAGACTGATCAAAACAGCTTTCTATGTTCTTATTAATATGTCTCCAAACTGTCCCCACCTCTAGTTTTGTAAATCTTCCCTCAACATGCTTTTTAAAATTTTTTAAATAAAATTCAGTCTGAAAGTTTTCTTTTTTTTTTTTTTTATCAACCCATCTTCACATTGATCAATGTGGTTTAAAAACCAGTTGTTCTATCAATGTAATTTTCCTGATGAACTTTCTCCTAGAGTCTTCTGCCCTGCTCCAGTCCACCAGATTGGTTGACTGGCATCCATCTGCACTGTGGTCTTAGGTTCTCCCTCCATTATCATCCTGCCCTTCTCACATATTGGAACCCTGTTACATGGATTACATTTCCCCTTTTCTTGTTCTGGTTGAACAAATCTTCTGATGGCTTACTGAGAGGTGAACCTGGGAGGTGGCATTTTTGACCTTTCATATTTGAAAGCATTTATTCTCTGCTCTCCCACCTAATTAGTAATTTGGCTGGAAATAGAATTCTAGATTAGAAATCACTCTCTTTTACATTTTCTAGTATCCAGTGTTTCTGTTGAGTAGTCTAAAACCATTCTGATACTGGATTCTTTTTAGAATCCTAATTTTGTTTTCTGAAAGCTTTTCGAATATTCTCTTGGTTCACAGGGTTATGCAATTTCACAATGAAGTGTCTCAGTGTAGATTTATTTTCATTTGTTTTCTTGGGAACTCAATAGACCCTTTCAATTTGGAAAGTCATTTTCCTTTATTAAAGGAAATTTTCTTGAATTATTTCTTTGATAATTTCCTCTCTTCTATTTTCTTTGTTCTTTCTTTCTGTAAACTTCTATTATTCAGATATTGAACTTCCTGAACTAGTCTGTACCTTTCTCATCTTTTTTTCTCCACTTTCCCTCTCTTTATCTTTTTGTTTTACTTGCTGGGGAATTTCTTTTCCTTTAAATTTTAAAGCTTTACCTGAAGTTTTCATTTATCTTTTTTCTTTTCTTTTTTTTTCTTTTTTTGAGAGACGGAGTCTCACTATGTTACTGAGGCTGGAGTGCAGTGGTGTGATCACAGCTCACTGAAACCTCAACCTCCAGGGCCCAAGCTATTCTACTGCCTCAGTCTCCTGAGTAGGTGGGACTACTGGCGCACACCACCATGCTTGGCTAATTTTTAAATAATTATTATTTGTGGAAACAAGGTCTTGCTATGTTGCCCAAGCTGGTCTCGAACTCCTGGACTCAGTGATTCTCCTGCTTTAGTCTCCCAAAGTGCTGGGATTCCACTTTAGGCCACTGTGCCCAGCCTAAAGTTTCCTTTTAAACTATGATATTTTTACTGTCCAATTTATTTTTGGCCTTTGCTACTTTTTAAAAAATTTGTAGTACCCAGTTCTTGTTTAATGGCTGTAATATGCTATAATATTTTGCTATCTTTTTTTGAAGATATTAATTCTTTTCTTCTTCATAGTCTTTATTTCTTCCTAGCTGTTTTTCCATTAGTTTGTTTTGGCCTCTACTTTTCTTATTATATTCCATCAACTATATGGAGATCCTTGGCTGCCTGCCCATCCATATCTGGGAGAAAGACACTGAAAAGTTTTTGGAAAGCTTGATTTATATGGTTCAGCCTGTCAACTATGGTTTTCTCTGCAGGATAATCTGTTGGCCAGAACTATGTGAAGGAAGTGAGAAAAGATGGCTAGGGTCCTTGACATTCAGTTATAAATTTTCAGTAGGTTGCTTCTCAGCCTTGCCAATGGCTGGCTTAGGAATCAGCTTTCTTGGGACTGACGACTGTAATTTTTCCAATTTCCAAAATTGTGTTGCTGCTTTTTCCTCTTCCATTACCTGTGTGCTTATGGACTTATGCTTTTAAAAACTTCATTCATCATAGTTTTGGTGAGTTTTCAGAAGGAACAGAAACTACCATGAATGTTGTCTGCCATTTCTAGTAGGAATTAAAGCATATATACCTTTTACTGTATAAGTATTAAAGTGTCTCCCTTTTGGCCCTTGCCAAACTTGCCAACCTCATCTTATGTCTGTTGCATACTCCAACTGCCTTTCAGATTCTCGAACCCGCCATGTTCTGCCTTTGCCATCTGGCCCCCACAAATGCTGATCCCTCTGTAAGAAACTTCTGCTTTCTGCGTGACTACCTCTATGGATCCTTCAGATCTCAGTTTAGGTGTGATTGCTCAGAGAGGATGTGTCTCACCCTCAAATTATGGTGAAATGTCCTTGCTGTGGCATTCAGTCTTTTCTCTATTTTAAAATGGGTCATGTTTTATTGTAAATGGTGGTTTTAACATCATTTTCCCTCACTAGTCTGTAAGCTTCGTGCAGGGAGGGATTATGACCATGCTCCATCTCACCCACTGCAGTATAACCAGATCTTAGCACAGTACCTGGGACATAGTAGGTGCTCAATATGTGTTTGATGAATAAACAAATGAAGACAAGTGAAATTACTTTCTTACAGTAAGGAAATAGAGTACTGAAAATGGAGCCTCCCACCTCTTTCTGGTTAACTACATCAACTGTCCCTCTTTTCTTGGTTTGTAATTAAAAGGTGGATCACACCTGTAATCCCAGCACTTTGGGAGGCTGAGGCAGGCGGATCAGAAGGTCAGGAGATCGAGACCACCCTGGCTAACATGGTGAAACCCTGTCTCTACTAAAAATACAAAAATTAGCTGGGCATGGTGGCTGGTGCCTGTAGTCCCAGCTACTTGGAAGGCTGAGGCAGGAGAATGGCGTGAACCCAGGAGGCTGAGCTTGCAGTGAGCCGAGATTGGGCCACTGCACTCCAGCCTGGGTGTCAGAGCAAGACTCCGTCTCAAAAAAAAAAAAAAAAAAAAAGAAAAGAAATCAAATATACTTGATTAGGTGCCCCAAAATTGGGGAAAGGAGATAATGACCACTTAAATTTGTAGGTGGTGGGGCCAGGATAATTGTCCATCTCTAATTTACAGTCAAGGAAGCAGAGGATTGGTAATACTACACAGATCATGATAGAAGATTCTAGAACTAAGAATTAATATCTTCTGCTTCTAGCCTTGCTTTTTCACTGTTTGAAACACACCTAGGATGTTTATCTCTCCAACTCATCCTTCATCTTTGTAGGTGCCTCCATGTTATCCTCTCTATCTGACTTTCATCAAATAACTACCATCGTGTTGCTATTCCGGGAAGTGAATCATTGGTTCTCACTTGATGGGGGCAGTGCAATAATCATCTTGGAGTCTTTTTCAATCTACACATGGCTCTTCCTCCTCCTGCCCTTCCAGTCCCTACCTAGAATGTCATAGAGCAGTCCTTTAAATGTGCATCCTAATAACTTTGGTGTGACTGTCTTCATAGGTAAGGAATGTTGGTTTAAATATTAATTATGACTAAGCTGTATTTTATTAATCTGCTACTGACATTAGTACTTTTCTTACTTTTCTCAGATGTGGAGGTGGTGGTATAATGTGAGTCAAATACCAGCTTTAGAACTTCTTAAATTTATTTTTTAATTTTCAGTTTTTACTCACACCATGGCTGCTTACTTATAGACAGCTTTAGAACTTGATTGACCTGCTGACTTGCCACTCACCAGCTGGGTTGGTTTGTTCCATTTTACCTTTTCATTTTGAAAATTAAAAAACCTACAGAAAGCTAAAAAGACAATGCAATGGAAACTGTATATTCCTCACCTACGTTCACCAATTTTTATCATTTTTGTCACTACCCTCTCCTGTGTGCGTGTATATATGCATATATACATACGGAGATAGATCAACATGTGTGTGTATGTTGCTATTAAATCATATGAACATAATTTTTGTTGTTGAGCCGTTTAAAAATAATTTGTATATATCATGACATTTTATCCATAAATACTTGTCATACCTAAGAAAATTAACTTGAATCCAACATCTAATACACTGTCAATATTTTAATTTCTAATCTTCTCAAATGTATTTTA
The DNA here is from genome assembly GCF_000001405.40 of Homo sapiens. Taxonomy (NCBI): domain Eukaryota; kingdom Metazoa; phylum Chordata; class Mammalia; order Primates; family Hominidae; genus Homo; species Homo sapiens. Next base: position 90,588,635 of record NC_000007.14, read on the forward strand.
CAACTGTGTGTTATAAAATACTGTGCGGTTTCATATTATTTTTTAATCCAGGAGTCAGACAAAGTTTGTGCATTACTTGTGGTTGCTATGTCTCTTTAATATAGAACAATACCCTGCCTTGTTTTGCTTTGTTTTTCATGAACAAACATGAATATTGATACCCTTTGAAAAGCCCCAATCAGTAATCTTCTAGAAGGTCCCACATTCTGGGCCTGTGTGACTGCTAAACATCTTTGGCAGAATACAACATAGGTGGTGTGGGTACCTCTTGTTGCCTTACATTAGGAAGCACATGGTATTCAGGATGTCCGCTATTGGTTGAGTCTATGTTTGATCACTTGGGCAAGGGCGTAACAGCCAACCAATCCATTGTGACTGTAATCTGTATAGGGTTACATTGTAGAGGATTGTTACCGCTACGGTTTAGATGTTTGTGTTCCCCCTAAATTCATACCTTGAAATCTAACCTCCATTGTGATAGTATTAAGAGGTGGGGACTTTTGCAGGTGATTAGATCATGAGAGTGGGGCCCTCATGAATGGGATTAGTGCCTTTATGAAAGAGGCCCCAGGAAGCTTGTTTGGCCCCTTCTACTATGTGAGAACAAAGCAAGAAGGCACCATCTATGAGAAATGGGTCCTCACCAGACACTGGATCTGCTTGCACCTGATTTGGACTTCCCAGCCTTCAGAACTGTGAGAAATAAACATTTGTTGTTTATAAACCACAAACTTTATGGTATTTTTGCTAAAGCAGCTCAGATAGACTAAGAAAATTACCATGTGGGTATTCTTTTTTTTTTTTTCTTTTGAGATAGAGTCTTGCTCTGTTGCCCAGGCTAGAGTACAGTGGCACAATCTTGGCTCACTGCAACCTTTGCCTCTGGGGTTCAAGCAATTCTCCTGCCTTAGCCTTCCAAGTAGCTGAGAATACAAGCGTACACCACCACATCCAGCTAATTTTTGTATTTTTAGTAGAGACAGGGTTTCACCACGTTGGCCAGGCTGGTCTCAGACTCCTGACGTCAAGTGATCCCACTCACCTCGGCCTCCCAAAGTGCTGGGATTACAGGCGTGAGCCACTGTGCCTGGCTGATATTCTTTACTCGACAAAAATATATCCAGTGATTTATTTGCCTCAATCAATGATTACATTGGGGTTGCAAAATTGTGACTTTCTAATTCTGCTGTAACTTTTACACTTACTCTGCTGAGTAGTGTTTCTCATTTTTTATTTTTTAGAGAGAGGATCTCACTCTGTTGCCCAGACTGGAGTGCAGTGGTGTGATCACAGCTCACTGTAGCCTCAACCTGCTGGACTAAAGCCATCCTCCCACCTCAGGCTCATGAGTAGCTGGGACTACAGGTGCATGCCACCACACCTGACTAATTTTTAAATTTTTTTGTAAAGATGGGATCTCCCTATGTTGCCCAGGGCTGGTCTCGAATTCCTGGGTTCCAGCAATCCTCCTGCCTAGGCCTCCCAAAGTGCTGGGATTACAGGTGTGAGCCACCGTGCCTGGTCAGCTGTGTAGTTTTAGGAAATTAATTTGATTTCAGGCCAGGCATGGTGGCTCATGCCTGTAATCCCAGCACTTTGGGAGGCTGAAGAGGGTGGACTGCTTGAGGTCAGGAGTTTTAGACCAGCCTGACCAACATGGTGAAATCCGTCTCTACTAAAAAATACAAAAAATCAGCTGGGTGTGGTGGTGGGCACCTGTAATCCCAGCTACTGGGGAGGCTGAGGCAGAGGAATCGCACGAATCCAGGGGTGGAGGTTGCAGTGAGCCGAGATCGCGCCACTGCACTCCGGCCTGGGCGACAAAGTGAGACTCCATCTCAAAAAAAAAAAAAAAAAAAAAAAAAATTGATTTCAATGGACCTTAGTTTTTTCACCTGTAAAATAGGATCATAAAAGACAACTCATAGGGTGATGGTGAAAGTGGAGGTCTTCAATTGCCTAGTATGTAGCAATGATTCCACAAATGATAGTTTAAAAATGTTTATTTCGATCACTTACAAACACCAATTAGAGAGGAATCCTTTTTCCAAAGTCAGTTGTACATCTTTCAATACCACACTTTTAATTTCTTTCCTATAAGGTAGGAAAAAGCAAAATACAGTGTCGTAAGTTAAAAGTTTGGATGCATTTATTAACCTGTCTGAGTATGGCCACTTTCTTGAACTCTCTTTGCTTCAGAAGAGTTCCTTTCTATACAATAAGGACAATCATGATTATACCAAAGTATATCAAAAGAAAAAGAAGTGACTACCATCATGCAATCAAAATGCTTTATAAAAGGAAACATTTTGGTAAACAAGTGTGTGTCAATTTAGAACTGGAACCTGTGTAATGATCTTGGGCACATACTTTTGGCATTTCTAGGCCCATTTTCTTGTGTAACCTAGTGATAATGATAATGCCTCTTGGGGTAGTATGAGTTAAGATAAAATGAGATCATTAATTCATAGCCTATTATAAAACCACAAGTTATAATAGTAACATTGTACAGTTATAAATATTGAGTTATTTTAGCTAGAGAATGTCATATGTGCAATGATACTATCAATATGACTTCTATAGATACTTTTTTTTTTGGCTTGTAAGTGCTTGATTAGAATAGACATGTGAATGCAGATGAACTGTCAAAGGGCCTGGGAGGAAAGACTAGGATGTTTTTGATAGAAAAGGTGCATTTCTGAACTTAATTGTCCTTAACAGGACTTGTCTGGACTGCACAAAAGCCATAAGGTTTTAGTTCACTAAGGTTTTAGTTTCTGTCCACTTTCACATCCATGTCCAGGGTTCAATTACAGGGCTGGTCTCTGAAGTTTAGTTTTGATGAATGCAACATGATACATTGAAATTGATGCCATTCATGACTGAGGACCCACAGTTAATGGCACATCTGTACCACAAATACAAGTAATACCAAAAGCATTATTAAGTGAACTGTATCTTAGAATAGTGTTAGATGTTTTCTCGTATAAATGCCTATAGTACAAGTTATGTAACAATAAAAAACATGAATGATATGCATTATCATATTTAAGCACGGTTTAATGGGAGAGGGGAACTTACCAGTTTTTAATGCATGCTTTGACGCTGGTAGTTTATCTTCTGCAAACTATTCTGAGCTAATTTATGTTTAACATCATTTGGATGTTTTTACAACTTCTTTGTCTTTCTTACAGTCATTGGCAAGTAGATCAATTTACTTAGGTCCCTTGGTCTCTTGAGATGTAGGATGAAAAAATGTACAATTACCTATAAAATAAGCAAATGTAGGTCTCATTTTCGAACAAGACTGGAGGTTTTGTGTCAGCAGACAGTGATTTCTGTAAACGTGAAAAGGCTCTGAATTAGGAAGGAGTAGGCAAAGGATGGGTGGTGGAACAAGGAGGAGAGATGAGGGAAGCCTTCATTGACCTGAGTTGTGAATACACTGGTTTCTGGAACCTTCCATTTTACTCCCCTTTCTGATTTCAATTTGCTCTTTGTCAAAGAAAAAAAAAAAAGAACTCTTTAAGTTTGGATACTGTCCAATAGTTGGAACATAAGGGTTGGTGACAAGAGTTTTAGAGTCAATGTACCAATTTTACTGATGACTCACTGAGAACTTTGTACAAGTCACTTAACCTTGTGTTACTTCAGTTCCTGATGTGTTCAAAAAGGATAAATTTGATCCTAAAACTAGTTAAATAGGTTGACTATTTAGAGCTCTAAGAGGATATTTAATAATGTAAATGTCTACCACTTTAATAATTATACTCTGGCACTATGTCTTAATCTTTAACTATCTATGCTTTGGCTAAATTCTAAAACTTTACATTATAAACATATCTTTTTGAAACTCATTTTCCAGCTCTATTCTTCATGTTCTTGGTATCCTTGTTTCATGGATTTCTTTTCTCTGATAATATTTTAAAAACTGTTTCAGATCAATAAGTCTGCTTTTGCTGGAATTTTGGATTCTAATTAAATCCTTTATATTTTATCTTACTTAAATTAGGATTCTTTCCCTTATAATCTACTACCAGCATACTAGCCTGATATTTTTCTTATGTGGAAAATATCCACATTTTATTTTATAATAAAAGCATAATGTATATGTAATGTGACTAGAAATGATGTATCTTAAATTTCACATAATTTTTGGCAATGAATCCTTGTCTATCTTATTTGTGTATGACTTACTCTTCATTAATATATCTATCTATAGTATATAAGATGGAAGAGGGAAAATTTCATCATTACATTTTATTTATCTATTAGAGATGGGTTCTTGCTGTGTTGCCCAGGCTGGTCTTAAACTCCTGGGCTCAAGAGATCCTCCCACCTAAGCCACCTGAGTAGCTGAGACTGTAGGTATGGGTAATTGCTTCTGGCTCACCATTAACTTTAGAATTAGAATTTTGCAGCTATGAATGGACCTAGAGGTTATCTAGTTCAAGCCCCTCATTTTATAGATAAGAAAATAGGTAAATCACTTACTTGTCTAAGGCTACAATGCACCTAGTGATAGACAGTAGGGACTAGAACTCATGAGTCCTGGGTCCCCAGCCACTTTTGTTACTACTGAACTCCAATACACTTGTATCCTTTAATTGGTGAATTTGGTTAAGGTCAACCCATGTTGGGTTCAGCCTCTAGATAAGCTTATCTCTTTGTACTTGAACACTGCACCTTTAATTCAGGCCATGCAAAACTATAACCTTGTAAACCAGAAGTTGAGATGGAGAACTGGCACAGATCCATTCTCCTACTGAAAAAACATGCTACACAGATGCTGGATAGTCATCTTTGTTTCCAAGGACAACACATCACTTCTCAGAGATAGCAATCCATTCTATATTTATTTGACAAACATTAATTTACATTCTCTATGCAACAGGCACTGTGTGTTTCATATCTTAGGGTCCCTGAACTTACACTGTTTAAGATGAAGGCAAATGTGAAACAAATAATAGTAGAAAGAGTTGAATAAGTATACATATCTTAAAAGCGTCAAGTTAAAAATGTCCTTCTTTGCATTGCAGTTTCTTGCAAAATTTGCTCTTTTAAAATATAACCAGGAAAGGGAGCAAGATGAGCATATAATGGAAAGTTGGTTACTCATAATTGCCAAGCTTTATTTGGCCCAGGCTTAACAGGTGTTTCTCCTGCCAGGTATACTGTTGTAACTAGAGGAAGTTGTTCTGGAGTTGGGAGAGCTGAAGTTTTGAAGTGGGGTAGGGAAAAGGAAAATATTCATTATGTTTATATTAGTATTTTTATTATTATAAAAGTAAAGCATTCTTAGAACATTCAAACTATACTTAAAGGTATAAATTGCAAAGGGAAAAGTTCTCTCTGTTCTGGATATACAATCAACAGTTTTCTGTTCTTTTTTCCAGAAATATTCTATGCATATAGGAACACATAGATGTGTATACATTTTTTCCACAAATGGTTTAAAATATTAAACATGCTTTTCTCCCAAATTAGCCTGTACATATTCACACATCAGTACACACTGATCTCATTTAAGAAAATTGGTGCATACCTTTGTATGCTTTTACCATAATTTAAGAAGAAGCTGACTACTTTTTTTAAGTCAGAAATACTGGGAAGGGGAAGAGCATGGTGGTGGTGCACGCCTGTAATCCCAGAACTTTGGGAGGTCAAGGCGGGCGGATTGCTTGAGCTCAAGAGTAGGAGACCAGCGTCGGTAACATGATGAAACCCCGTTTCTACAAAAATTAGCCAGGCGTGGTGGTGCGCACCCGTAGTCCCAGCTATTTAGGAGGCTGAGGTGGGAGGATGGCTTGAGCCCAGGAGAGAAGGTTGCAGTCAGCCGAGATGGCGCCACTGCACTCCAGCCTGGGCGACAGGCCCTGTCTCGGAAAAAAAAAAAAAAATACTGCGAAGGTAAAATAAACATATATTTAACATATTATATATTTGAAACAGCCATTGTCACAGTGGATAACAGTCACAGGTGTATAATAGTGAAAGTTCGTTAAATTAATATTTCTTCGTGTTTGTTGACTCGTACAACCCATTAGTGTTTTGATTGGTTGCATTTGTCTTTTCATTCATAACTGCTGAAAACTTTCTCCCTAACTAACCTGAGGAAGTGGTAAAAGTCAAACTTTTTTCCGGTATGAGGCCACCCTTGGTGCTGTCTGTAATTATCTAGACATGGCAGCCAGGATCCAACAGCTTTGCGTTTTAACTCATATGGTCTTTCCTGGCGAATTCCTTGCCCCCCTCTGCTCCCCACTTAGCTTGACTTCCTGTCTTTTATCATCCGCAATCTATCAAGATCCTACAATGTGCTCAGTGTAGGGCGGAACAAATCACTGTTTTACCTCACAATTTAAGGAAGGCAGGGGGCTAGTTTTTAAGATAAAAATCTTTTAACAAAACATAAACTCCCCAAAATTTCCTACAAGCCAAACAGCATTGTCACACCCTCACAAGCTCTTATTACTTACACAGCCAAATGACTCAAGATTACTAACGTTTCTATTCATAAGGAGTTTGCTGGCCTCAGATCAACACAATCAAGCCCTCCCCCACCTTCCTTCTCTCTCCCCTGGGAGACTGACGTTTGGAACTCACGCCGCACCAGGTTTTTTCAGAATGAAGACGATGTGTGTTCGCTGCTGGAACTGTTTGTCCTGGGATTTTATAAACACCTCCCCCACTCCTTTTTAAAGTTCTGTTTTTGAGGTGGGGGAAAAGGAGGTCGGAATCTGTTTAGCCTTTAAATCTCCCAATTCAGAAATATATTCTAAGAATTTAATAGAAAAAGACCAAGGGCTGTGTCTGCTATTTACTGCAGAACTGGGTATTCCTATCAGAAATCACCTACATGTGTCACCAAGATCAGAGACAAGGATGAGGGAAACAGCATGATCCCTGCCTTCTGGAGGGTTACAGTTGAAGCTTCCGCTGCTTCTGCACTTGACCTCAAAACAAACAAAAAACCCACCGCAAACAACAACAAAAAAATCCAGGCCCACCTTTCCCCTTGGATCTTTCACTTGACAGCTTTCTCGGCCCAAAATAAGGCACCCTACATCTGAATGCATCCCTAAGGCCTTACCGCACCCAGTCCAGGAGGCAGTCCTGGCAGCTGCCCTCCACCGAACTCCGCGCTTTTTCACACACGCTCGTGGAAGGAGAAAACCGCTCAAACAACTGGACTCGGCCCGTTTCCTTTCGGTAACCTCCCCACAGCCCAACACGCTGTCCCCAGACGCTGCCCGCTCCCACCCCGGTCCCTTCGTGATCCTCCCGCGCGCGGGCGGGGCGGGGGAGGAGCGCGGGGGCGGCCGGGAGGGGCGCGGCCGGGAGGGGGCGCCGCCGGGGCGCGAGCCAGACACAGAGGGCCGCGGAGGACGCGGGAGGCGAGCGGGGAGCCGAGGTCGTGCTAGGATCCCGCGCCCAGGGGCCTTCGTCGAGGGAGGGGCGTGGCGGCGGCAGCAGGAGGGCAGCAGGAGCTGTCAGGCTGGCGGTTCCGCGCCGCGGCTCCTTCTGCGCTGCGCCCGCAACTCTGGGCTGAGAACTTCTCCCGCCGGCCCACTCGCCCTCGCCCCGCGCACTCGGCGCCAGGCGACTCCCGCACCTTGTACCCGGCCCGCCCCGCCTCCTCCTTCGGCCGCACCACTCCCCCTGCCGGCCGCGCTTCTCTCCGTTACAAAGGAGGGAAAATGAGCCGGGCGGCGGCGGCGCGGCGCGGGGCCACCACGGCGGCGGCGAGCGCGGCCGCCCCCGGCACCACGTAAACCGCCCCCGCCCGCCCAGCTGCGGCCCAGGCCGGAGCGGAGCCTGCCGTCCTCCGCCTGCCTGCTGCTCGCCTCCCTAGACCTGCGCGTCGCTTCCCGGCCCGCCGAGGAGGTGGTGGAGGAGGAGGCGCCGCTTTCCCCGCGGCGCGCGCCCTCGCCGTTGTCTGAGCTGTGCCTGGACCAGTTTGGGGAAGTTGTCGGGGCTCCGCGTCGCCCAGATGTGTGACCTCATTGAGCCGCAGCCGGCCGAGAAGATCGGCAAGATGAAGAAGTTGCGGAGAACTTTGTCGGAGAGTTTCAGTCGCATTGGTGAGTAGCGCGCTGCCCCCGGCCCCCCCAGCGCCCGCTCCCCTCGGCCTGCGCCCCCGCCGCGTTCCTGGCACCAGCCATGCAGCTGCCAGCGGGGCTGGCGTGGGGTGCGTTGTAGGCGGGGATCGAGGGCACAGTGCTAGGGACCCGGGGGAGGGCAAGGACGTAAAGGAAAGAGACCCCTCTTCCTCAGGATCTGGGGGTTCATTTGTAGATTCTCTCAAGCCTACAATATGGGTTCTCCCCTCCTCCGCCACTAGTGCTCGCCCTTTCGCGCGCGTGGGGGACGGGCGAGGGGACCCCTCGGCCCCCACCGCGCAAGGGGCTGCGCGGCTGCTTGGGCCACTTGTTATTTTTTGCGCACAGGCTTGGATATTGGGCGTTTAGTCAGTAATTTAGCTTTGGAAATTGGTGAAACGTTAGACTGTGCCCTGGTATTGTTTAACGTATCCAACCTAAAGGGAAGTGGGACAGTTACCTTGGGACCTATTGTTCGGTACTTCGGGTCCTGGAAAGCGAGATTTGGGTGTTCAGTCTCGAGGTCTCTGAATCTTCCCGCTGCTGGAGAGAAATGCGCGCTGTGGAGTTGTCTGGACATTTAGGAATGTCTCTCGAACTTGTTCCATTTAATAGAGCTCAGGGGCTGTTGTCTTTAAACCAAACAACAAACCAACTGACCAACAGTGTTTAGGACAGTGACGAATAAATGCATGTCACAGGTTGTAATAGGGTGACAGCAGTATCACGTGGAATGGGTTTGTTAGATTTTGAGTACTGGGCATAGAAAACCCCTTTTAACCTGAAGAGTTAGCTGCCTCCCCTACTGTCACAACTTTCACTAATAACATGTAACTGCCCTGAGCAAGAGAATGCTATAGACACAAAAGATAACCCCTGCGAGTCCCTAGGAAGCTGCCTAGTCTTTGTTTCACTTGTTTTAAATGTCATCCATGTTAACGAAAGTGTTAATGGAAATTAAACATAAAGGTACTTAATTCCTTAAAATAAAACCCTGGGATGCACATGAGTGTTACAGATATCCTTCCACCCATTCATTGTAAGATATGCAAACTTTCTTCAAGTGAGAGAGTACAATGGATCGAAATTTAGCCAAGTTTTTTTTTTTTTTTTTGTCTTTCGACTTAAAATTTTGTGTTGGTATGCAAAATCTTTCCCCAGATGACTGTAAAGTTATGGTATGAAACCAATCTTTAGTTTTATTTATTGCATGTATTGGATATTAATTTCACTCTTCAGAATTAGGGATACATGTGGAGAGTCCCTGCATTAAGATGAAGTTTGAAGCCAAGAAGAGTGTGAGAGAGGGAAATGTTGAGTCGTGTGCATTATTAACGAGGATGTTTCAACCCTGACCCAAACCGTCGCAGAGGCGGGTTCTGGAGTCCATTAAGCCGTGTTCTAAAACACATTAACTATATATTTACTAATGCTAATGATTCTGCTGGAGCCCCTCCAGTTTTGTGTTAAATAATTCATTGCAATTGAGTCTCAGTAAGAAACCAAGGACATTAATCTAAAAGTTCCTTATATTTAAATAATTTCAAGGTTTTGATCGACAATCAGTAAAATTTGGATTAAGTACAGTGCTGGCAAATGGGGGTATTATAGTTAATTGGATTTTCTAGCTTACTGAGATTTAGTGATGTGAAACTCCTTTTGAATCCAACTCTTGTTAAAATGTCTTCTAAGAGCTGGTGGATTTTATATCCTCCCTTTAGGACACAGAATGCAGTGCAGTGAGCACAGCTGATTATTTCTTGTATTGATGGAAAATATGATTCTGAATCGTAGATCTCATTATGGAGTATTGTAATAGGAGATATTGAAGTGATTATAGTTGTATACCAAGCCAACGACATTCAAAGTAGCATTACAGAAACAAAATCTGTATCTTCTTATTTTCTTGATGTTTTATATTGTATTTGCAAAATTAAAACCAGTGAACTCATTCTGATTATCTAAGGATTTTTTTTTTTTTTTTTTGAGACGGAGTCTCGCTCTGTCGCCCAGGCTGGAGTGCAGTGGCGGGATCTCGGCTCACTGCAAGCTCCGCCTCCCGGGTTCACGCCATTCTCCTGCCTCAGCCTCCCAAGTAGCTGGGACTACAGGCGCCCGCCACTACGCCTGGCTAATTTTTTGTATTTTTAGTAGAGACGGGGTTTCACCGTTTTAGCCGGGATGGTCTCGATCTCCTGACCTCGTGATCCGCCCGCCTCGGCCTCCCAAAGTGCTGGGATTACAGGCGAGAGCCACCGCGCCCGGCCTATCTAAGGATTTTTAAGGCGCTAGAGGTTGTTGAGTTGAGGGCTTACTGTGGGATTATATAGTGCATGAGTTAAGAATGTGGGCTGTGTGTCACACAGACTGTTTCCCATGTTGCCATGCCCAGCCAAGGTCTCTCAACTTCTCTGAGCTTCAGTTTTTCATGTACAACTCAGTTTCGTTGTTGGCTTTTAGTGAAATAATGCATACCATGTCTTGTGTGGCACATTAAATAAAGACTCAGTAAACGTTCAAGATATGTTATCATTGTTTTTGTTATTATTAGGAATTCCATCATACTGACATAACTGATCTTATAGATAGAAAGCAAGAGAAGAGGGAAGTGGCCATTGACTTTGTAGTGTAGCCAGCCTTAAAACGGAGTTAGGCAGGCCTGGATTTGAACTGGGTTTTCGCTGCTTGCTCTGTGCCAGTGGAATTTTGCAGCCGGTGGAATTACCCTAAAGCCCAGAGTCCTCATCTGTAAATATTCATATACGGTGAATATATGTGAAGACTAAATCGGATAAAACACCTGAAAAATCTAGTGCAGTATCTATCACAAGGTGAAGGTCAATACCATAGGCTGTCATTGTTCCTTGCAATTTCTGTTTATACCCCATCATCCTCCTTTCTTCATTGGTACTTCATGAGGAGATCGAAGAGTGAATGGTTTATTCTTGTTGAATAATCCACACTGCAACATATTCATTCTCTTTAACCAATCTAAGCTTTTGAAATAGACATGCTGACTTTATTTTGCTGCTTTAGTATTATCCAAAAGTGTAGCTTGTTGTATGGTGAAATGTACAATACTATTATTTAGCTGTAAGAAATTATTAATCATTCATCTATTGAAAATGAGGAAATATTTGAAAGTATCTGATGTCTGGTCAGTGTTTATCATTAATAATAATAATTCTAAATACATAAAGCAGTGCTAATGTTTAATTTGTTTACACATTAGAGATCATGCTGACTTTGTCACTGCCCACCCCAAATACAGCTGAGCTGAGATTACTATATTATAAAACACATGGCTTTCAAGCCATAGTGCTCTAATTTATGACATCTGCCAGGGAATGACTATGATATAGTTATGGTTCTTTTATAAGATGAGTGTAATTGAATTTTAAAGTCACCCATCAATTTCGGTAGTATTTATGGTTTTCTACTAAATAGTGTCAGCGTGGTTCCTTATTTAGGAATTACTACAGTTGTCTCACACTTTTTTTTAAAATTTAGGCTAACAAAGACAAATGGGAATTTAATTATTGAGTAGTTTAAGTATTTTAAAGTTCATTTCCTCTTTTCTTTCTTGTTTCTTTTTTATTTTTGAATGTTAGCCTAGAAGGAGAAAGGCTTTATGTAATATCCGGTGTATGATTAAGGTCAAACTGACATTTTTTCATATTCATTTGAATGCATTGCTTCATACTTATTTGGACTGTCTCCTAGAGAAAGGAAGTTTATACTCTGCGATATTTGAGATGAACACCATGTATACCATTTCTTTAAAGGACATGGTTTGTGAGGGAACTAAATAAAAAGAAGAGGCTGTGATTACACTGAACTTTGGGGTTTGTTACCTTGTGCTGTAACTGTGTAATTCTAGAGTCCAGTTGTCATGTGACGAATTCATTATGTCAGAAAAGAGAAATATAAGGTTAAATGTTCAGACACAAAATTTAACTGTTGTACCACATTTTCCCCAATGCAACTTCAAAATATTTTAATTTGAAAACTACAAAATGGAATTTATATCCATGATCTTTTAAGAGAGAACCAGTGTAGCATTTTCATACACCAAAACTTAAGTGTGTCTCAAAAGATACTCTCCTTTTGCCATTGAGGTAGGACTCATTAATTCAACAAATAATTATTTAGTACCTCTTCCCCACTGTAGATATTGTTCTGACAGTCAGATCGACTGACTAATGTGGGTGGTCCCTGTCCTCAAGGATTTTAAGGGAAAACAGGCCAATTAACAGGCATTTACAATATAAAGTGACAGATTCTACCATGAAGATTAGCGAAATTTGCTGTTGGAGAACACAGGAGGAGCATCACTTTCATCTAGGTGAAATCATGAGAAGCTTTCTAGAGGAAGGACTGTCTGAGCAGAGGACTGAATAGAATATCTGCTGATCTTAAATATTTTGATATATGCCCCTTGGCTATTCCAGAATAATGTAATATGCTTGTTACTCCATGAAATCCTTAAAGATAATTGTGGATTTACATTTACATGAATGATTAATGGCAATCAGGGAATGTAATCAATAATGAGATCTTGTGTTCTTGTTTGGGTCAGAATTTACTCATCAGTGACCTGATGAACATCTGGCAAAGACATCTTAAGTTGGTCTTTGTTGTCACTGTTAACTGCTGTTCAGGACAAGGACTCAATATTTAGAAGAAACCGTGTAAGGTGTCAGTCTAGCAGTGAATGACTTCAGTGAAGTAATGGTGTTCTGTGGTACCTTGAGCTTGAGAGTATTGTGCAGATGAGATAATCTGGCTTCCTGTTCATTATGTCATAGCAAATACACTTGCAGTTTCTTCTATTTTCTCCTCTTGATACCTCCAGACCCCACCTCTTTGTCCAGAATGTTGGAGAATTGTCAGGACTTAGGAGATAAGAAGGAAATAGTCCAGTTTGGTTGTTCAAGGAATTCCAGTTTTCTGCTGTCTTCATTTCTCAACTTGAGGGTCTTCATTCCATATTTGCAGTTCCCTAAGGGATAGTATCTTTTTTTTTGGCGGCAGAGGAACAGGGTCTCACTCTGTCGCCCAGGCTGGAGTGCAGTGGCGCAATCTTGCTCACTGCAACCTCTGCCTCCCAGGCTCAAGTGATCCTCCCACCTCAGCCTCCCGAATAGCTGGAACCACAGGGCACCACCACCACGCTTGGCTAATTTTATGTATGTATGTATGTATGTATGTATGTATGTATGTATGTATGTATGTATGTGGTATTGTTTTTGTAGAGACAGGGATTCCCCCTGTTGCCCAGGCTGGTCTCAAACTCCTGAGCTCTGGCGACCCATCCGCCTCAGCCTTCCAAAGTGCTGGGATTACAGGTGTGAGCCACTGCACCTGGTGGGGTAGTGTCAACTGTAGTTCTTATTGGATGCTTTGCTTAAGAAAACACATGGCTAAATTTCCAGAACTTTTATAATGTCCAAAATAAAGACAGTATATTTAAAAGTTTGTGCCGTGAATTGTAAGTTTGCTGCTGTAGCTTTGCATCTTGCATGGCAGCCACATAGTGCGCGTGTTCCATTAATCTTTGTTAAATGAGCTAGGTATGAGGCTGTATGGCAATTTGCTTATGTTAGACTTTGTATTTGAAATCAATGGGCTATTAATTTCTTATTCCTAAAAGTTTAGTTTTTCAGATGAAGCAACTTGTCTCTATTTAGAATTACATTACTAATGTTTTGTAAAGGACTCATTAGTCAAAGTATGTTAATTAAAGGACACGCCTTGGGTTGAGGGAGTAGACAGTATGGTAATATTGTTGACTGGTATTTATACAGAGCCTTGTAGCCTAGAAGTTAAATTCTAGTGAAAATGCAGTCATTAGGAATTAGCTAGGATCTTAATATGGTTCTATCAAAACAGATTATTTTAGATTTAATGTAGGTTATTTTAGTTTTAATGTAGGTTAAGTTAAATACATAATTAAAACATGTGCAAGTAATTGAATGCAAGATAAGCCATTCACAACAAAGGACTATCTTTTTATTTTCCATTCACTTTCAGAAGAAATGGTTATCCAATAAAGAAAGATTAGTTTATTAGGCAAAAGGGAAAAATAAGAAACTTTTAGAAACGTTTTATTTCCCTCAGCCTACCTGCATCCCCCTTAACTCACCGCAATCACATTCTTCTTGAAAACACAAATATATGAAACAGAGAAAATAACCTTTTCACGATTGTTAGAGTATGTATCCTAAGCTTTTCTATGATAGCTTCAGTTTAGGCACATTACTTTTCTCAGAGCTTAATTGCCAGAATAATTTGCTTTTCATTGCTTTTGTCAGAACAAAGCTTTCCAATAGCTACCCAAGTGCTTCTATCCAGACTAAATCATGTATAAAGCAGCAAACACCTATGCATTGTTCCGTAAATTTGAAACATTTCTCCAGCTAGTAGTTTCAGATAAATTAGCTATTTAATGCATTCTTCTTAATATGAAACATTCTAAGTAATTGTAAAATGTAAGGAACTAGATGTTTGCCAACTGTAGGTGAAATTCTTCTTCTATGTTGGGTGAAAAAATTCCAGTTCTAAAGCTATGAACAGTCACGCATACTTGATGGTGGTCCCGCAAGTTTACAATACTGTATTTTTACTGTACATTTTTCTATGTTTAGATACACAAATACTTGCCATTGTGTTACAGTTGCCTATAGTATTTGGTACAGTAACATGCTGTATAGGTTTGTAGCCCAGGAGTAATAGGCTATACCATATAGCCTAGGTGTGTAGTAGGTGATACCATCTAGGTTTGTATAAGTACACTCTGTGACATTTGCACAATGAAATTGCCTAAGGGTGCATTTCTGAGAATGTATCCCAGTTGTTAAGTGACACATGTCTGGATTTAAAGTAAATTTGAAGTATTTTCTGGTTCCTATAAAATATTCTGAATGTATTGTTTTCTTTTGAAATACTTTGTTATAAAATTTATCATGTCGAAATGTTTAAATTATGTCTCTTACTCTGCAATGCTTGTTTTAGCAGGCTTAGTCTTTCATCAACACACTTACACTTCACTTAGTATGAAAATGTCATTCAGGGCTCTGTGCAAAGAAGGTGTCATCCTAACAATTGGTGATATCTTCTCAAAACCCAGGAGTTTAAGGGGAAATTTCTTTAAGATTACTTCGTGATTCTTTTATACTTTCATTGAAACATGTTCCAACTAAAGAAGAGATAGGGAACAGTTATGTGTGCTTCTTTCTAATATCTGGGAGGATAGTTCTATTTGCATATTTATAAAAAATATTTCAAAAGATGCATGCTGTGCAATTCTCTTTCATTTGCAGTTTTCATATTTGTATCATAACATTGTTATTCAGGTTGGGGTACAATTTACTTTCTGAAATGAAAACACCATACTGCCTTGTTTTTTTTTCTGTTTTCTATAACTTAGTCTCTTTGGAATTTTTCACAATAACTGTTTCCTTTTCCTTCTTATTTTATAGCTTTGAAGAAAGATGACACCACCTTTGATGAGGTAGGTTAAATTTCTTTATCTAATGTTAGATGTATTTAATGACTACCAGGTAAAGTCAGTAGCTGCCAACTTTGTACCTGGAAACAAAAAAAATGCCTTTAAAACGCGAGATAACATCTGTTTATTTCATTGCATTATTATATTTTCAAATTTTAAATAATCGTTCAAATGAGTTTTGGTAGCAAGTAACAGAAATATGTCTTTTTCAATTAATAAATGAGCTAATTAGAAGACACATGCAGGCCTTTGTGTTGTTGCCTTCTTGCTAGTGGTAGTGCTTGAGACACGCAGAGTGATGTACGTGCTTAAGGCAAGTCTGGAGCTGTTGGTAAGTTGGGCACCATGGCTCACCATGGCTCCTTGCAGACCTCAGCTGAATCAGGGTGTGATGTGTTGTCGATGCCACATATTGTCTGTCAGTCTCCCAAGGGAGGAGCTGACTTTTCCTGTTCTAGTTTTCCTATTCTTTGTATATCAGATCCGTCTTGATCTACTTGCCACAAAGTAGTGTAAAATACTGTTCAAGTAAGGCAGAGAGTTCATATGTAATTAAATAGCATCCTGAATGTGATTTTAAAATTGCAGTCATTCCTGAATTTTTGTAGTATAAGTAGGAATCACCAGAGAAATAGTGAATGTTTACAAAATATTTTCACAGTGCCAAAGAGTGAAATGTTTCATTGTAACCATCCTGAGCCACACTCATTGATCTGTGTTGTAAACTGGGCCACATGTGTATATAGATTGTGTTTTTATATAGGAACATGGGTGTTATCTATACAGTGTGCTTACCCTAAAGCCTGATGAAAGCATAAATCAGTTTGGTTTGGTGGTTTGGTTTGTTTTAATAGTTACATATTCCATGAAATATGCTACCTGTCTTCCCTCTGCTGCAGTGCTTCAGTGAGGAAAGGGCATTTGTGCTCATGGAAAGTCCCCTTGGCCATGTGGCTGGCTGTGGTGCATGGCAGGTCTGCTCAGAGAGAACCTGCTCCAGGCTGGGATTTCTGGATGGGGCCACCGTCATTTGGCTGTCACGGTCTGCTGCTTCATCTGCTGCACCTGTTCTCTTTTTCCTGGGCTGAGCTTTACAAAGCTGTGTGTCCCTGGACTCCAAAGCAACTTTCCCTGCCAGCATTCCTGTGACATCCTCTAAAAAACTTAATTCTTCTAGGCTTGAAGCAATAGAGGAGTCTTTTCTTCTTCCTTCATAGTGGGCAATAATGGAGTTTTCCTCTAAACATGTATTTCTGGAATTTCGGTAGTGTTGTTATTGAGATATTTTTCAGGAGAGTGTTTTCTTTCTTTTCAGGAGCAATCAATATGAGAATATTTGGTACCATTTTTCTCTTTGTAAAGAAAGTTTCCCCTCTAATTATGTAGATAATTTAAGCTTACATAAAAAGAGAGAAATAAGGAAAAGGAGAAAGAAAAAATCTCATAAATCCTGTTACCCCGATACAACAACTGTTGAATGTTCTTGCTTCTTTCTCCGTGTTTTAAAAAAAGCAGCCCATTATTATATCCCGCTTTTTTCTTTGATATGATAACATTATATTTTCCCATGTTTTTACAAACTCTTCCTAATCATCATTAGGCATTTCGAAAACCTTTTTTCTTGCTTAAACACTGTTGTTAGTGATTAGCTTTAAAAAGCACCTGAGGCTGGAGCCCAGCTGAAGGTTAAAGATGTGTCAAACCTGTAACTACTCCCTCTCTCTGTTATTCTGAAACCTCTGTATAGTCAAAGGTCTGGAGTTTGTAATTTGGGTCAAAATCATCCTTAGCTTTTGCAAAGTGGCTTCCTTCCTCTGCCACAAGAGATTGTAAACTATCACAAATCAGTAAATCACAGAATGCTCTACTTGGAAGATCCATTGGAAATAATAATTTTCCCACTCCATCATTACACAGATGAAGAAATTGAGATCCAGAAGGGGCAAGTCATTTCCAGCTAATGAAGGAAAGACTCAAGGCCAGAAAATCTTGGGAGATAGTGGTAATGAAGGCATGCCGGGGTATAATCCCCAATTCAACTACCCTCTGTTTGGGCATTTGACTTATTAATTTCATATCCTTTGTAAAATAGAGATAATAATAGTATCTTTCCTTTAAGGGTTAAGATAATTAAATAAGGTAATGCATATGAAGGTTTCAGAATAATGGCTCACAAAAAGTGAATAGCTCATAATTGGTGTTATCATCTTCATTGCCTTCATCATCACCATCATCATCGTCATTGATGCTTTCACTTTGACATCCACCTTCTGTAGTTGGAAGGGCTACAGAGTAGATAGAAGGATTAAAAATGAAGAATTACAGCTATGAGGAGAGTTAATTTCAGATATTCCTCTAACATTTCACCTAAAGCTTCATGTGATGACTTGCATATTAAAACTGAGAAAATATTATCTAAAACCCACCATTGTTTAGATTCCGTATGGGGGTGATTGGATTCACTTTTTAATCCCTGAGTGTGTTGCTCGTAGTTAACTTTCAGTACGTATCTATTGAATGTGAGTAAATATCTATTGTAGAGGAGTAGAGAGAGTGATGAATTAGGTGTTAGGCAATGTGGATTCTCATCTGCCACTTTCTAGTTATTTGGGCAGGTCGTTTAACTTACCCCGGCCATGACATTCTCATTTGTAAAATCAGTTGAACTATGATCTTCAAGTTGCCTCTTAGCTCTAAATGTAGGATTCTAAATAATGTAACAACCAACATAAGATTACAATTTTTTTTCATGTTTTATGTCAGACAGGTAATGTACTGACCTTGTAGTAAGGTTTGAGGGAGGCACATCTTACACATGAGGTGAAACCCCAATCATCACGCTTATGAACTATACAAAAGGATCAAAATGACAATTTTATCACATCAGAAAAGAGCACTAAAACTCTGCTTATGTACATAGGAACTGAGTTCTTCTGTGATCATTTTCAGATTATAATAGTAGAAATTTTTTTGAACGCTTGTTTTTTACCTTCTCTCTCCTGGAGCTGGGGAACTCTACAGTCCATTGGAATCAATTCAGATTTTAGTCTTAAAACTTTGAGGGTTGGGTCAGCTTCTTAGGTATGCAATAAGGTGTGGCAACTCTCCTTAGTATTTATGAGCTGGAAGGCTCCTTATTTCAAGGAGTGGCCTCTTCCAGAGAGTGCCTGAGCTGGAGTTTGGTAACAACTCCCTGATTCATGTAGAGGATGCCTCTAGAGTATGTGTCAAATGTTTGACCTTGAACACAGCAGAAAAAGAAATACAGACTTATTTAATCATAGACTGAAATGCCATGATTTCAGTCTAATCTGCTAATTTTCAAAACCAGACTGGAATTATATTCAGGAACTATGCTTGTTGTAAACTGGGCTGTGTTTGTGAGCACACGTGTGTGTTTGTGTGTGTGTTTAATTGAACAGTTTAGAAGTTAAGTATTGAGGGCTTCAGGTATTTACAATAAGCAAACAATAGGAATTTTGCTGAAGGCGGTCATAGTTGGAGAGGGGACATTCTATGAATGATCATTTTGCTTTTCATTCATTGTGTATTTGGTCCCTGACTACAATATTAGCCATTTAATGTTCTGTGGTCTAAATCTACACATTTTACTTGGATGGACTAATCATTTCTAAAATATCCCAAGTAAAATTTTATTAGTTTCAGTCCTTTTCCCCTCCCAGCTTCTTGATGTTTGGAAGGGTTTGACATAGTACTTGGCCACAGTGAAGGGGCTACATAATTATTGGAGAAACACATGGTTAAGCTAGATTGAAGGTGAAAGAAGATTGGTATTTTGTGTCATAGTTTTTAGTGGACATAATGTTTCTAGTGACATTGTGATGAGAGTTTTGGGTAAAGCATCAACTTCATACCTGTGAAATGACTGCAGAAATTTCCAAATGTCTTTTTACCCTTTTGTTCCTAATAAATGACCAGACCATGTCCTTAAGTGGCCCCATTTTTCCTGGAATAATGAACAATAACTACACTATGATTTCTGGTGAATTTTTGAATTTTATTTTTGATTTAATGATTTATTTTAGAATATTAATGATACCTAATATATGAAAGGTCAGAAAATACAGATAATGTCCACCAATGTAAAATTACCACGCGTAAAACCTTTTGAACTTTGGAGACAAAAGCTCTAATTAAGTGTATGTGTATGTGTATGTGGAAATAGTTGGAAATGGTGATAGCTACAGCAATTCATGAATTGTTCTCATGGGTAAATTAAAAGGTTAACTCATGCAGTTCTGCTTTATCCCTCTGTTTTTTAGCTTTGATGATTGCCAGAACAAAGTGTTGGCTCTGCCTGGCTCTTTGGTGAGAAATACAAAATTTTTAGCAATTAGAATAAACCTTTGAAATGCAAAGAATTTCATATGTTTATGGCATATAATCCAGATAATTAAGCACTTAGTTTGTTTCCTAAAAATGGGTGACCGTGTATGAGTTTTCTAATTCTTCTCTGCTTTGGTGAGTTATTTTATGTTTGTGAAGTAGAAGGCTGCTAGCACTTATTTTGTCATTTTCCAGCTATTTTATTTTTTCAAATCCTAGGAAAATGTATACAAAGCGTATAAAATTAAAAAAAATTCTACATCTGGTCTGTGAGTGCTCCAAGCACATTTTTATAGGTTAACTTGCTTACTTTACATTTAGTATAACAATTCTGTTAGGTGGAGACTGTGCACAATGATATTGGCTTCTAGTCCATGTCCCTCTTTGTTATTTTATATAAAGATATAATACCAGAGATAATAAAGGTGGCAGTTATTATTATTATTTTTTTGAGACTTGGTGTCCCTTGGTCATCCAGTTTGGAGTACAGTGGTGCCATCGCGGCTCACTGCAGCCTCCACCTCCAAGGCCCAACCTATCCTCCCACCTCAGCCTTCTAAGTAGCTGGGACCACAGGCATCCACCACCACCTGGCTAATTTTTGTATTTTTTGTAGAGATGGAGTCTCACCATATTGTTCATGCTGGTCTCGAACTCCTGGTCTCAGGTGATCCTCCCATCTCAGCCTCCTAAAGTGTTGGGATTACAGGTGTGAGCCATCACATACAGCCATGCAGTGATTTTTATGAGAACCAGAATCTAGGGATGATATGGTTTGGATCGTGTCCCTGCCAAATCTCGTGTTGGAAGGGGGGCCTGGTGGGAGGTGATTGGATTGTGGGGGTGGATCCTTCTTGAATGATTTAGAACCATCCCCTTGGTGCTGTTCTGGTGATAGTGAGGGAATTCTTGTGAGAGCTGGTTGTTTAAAAGTGTGTAGCACCTCCCCCTTCGCTGTCTTGCTCTTAGCTTCTGCCATGTAAGAAGCTGGCTCTCCCTTTGCCTACTGCCAGGATTGGAAGCTTCCTGAGGCCTCCTTGGAAGCAGAAGTCACTAGGATTCCTGTACATCCTGCATATCCGTGAGCCAATTCAGCCTCCTTTCTTTATAAATTACCTGGTCTCAGGAATTTCTTTATAGCAATGTGAAAATGGACTAATACAAGTGGTTAGATACAAATATGATTTGTGGATATTTCTGGTCATTCTTTTCCATTTATTGAGCATGGTGGAAGCTGGTTCAGTCTTTTCTCTACCCTGACTATCACCATTAAGGGCTGTCTCAGTGTCCATATGGATGATGTATACGCTGTCATACAACATTCTAGCATCCCTGACTTTCTCGTCTCATACCTGCTTTACCCTTATTTGGTTTCTGCAGGAACTGCATCTTACTGGGACTGTCCTAGATTTAAAATATTAAATCCCACTAACAATCTTTCCTGTTTAGCTTTCTCACTGCTGCTGTATTCCCTGTATCTTTTCTTTGCCGGCTTCCAGTTTCTAGATGATCCCTTCTCTGCCTGTCCCATCCCATTCTCATAGTCCATAACCCATTCTCCCCCATAGTTCCTTCCCTGATCACTCAGGGAACATCACTCTCTTGCTGGTATCCTCAATGGCCTTACCCCTTTGTACTTCATTTGTAATGTACGCTGCCAGCCCTTGATTTTGACCTGGCATCTTTTCCTATCTTACCTAGTGGCTGCCAAGAGCTGCTTGAGGAAATCACTCTATAAATAAATTTATCATTTCCATCCTTAGCTGGAACGTCAGGCAACTGTGGACCATCTTGCATTTGTGTCCTTGTGCCGCTGGCCTGTTTCCTGCTGAACTCTTTTCACTCCCCCTAAGCCTTCTTGCGACCCTCCTCCACCCTTTCTTCTTTTAGTAGAAGGCTTTCTCTCTGTTAGTTTCCTAGGGCTGCCCTAGCAAAGTACCACAAACTGTGTGACTTAAATAACAGAATTTTTATTGTCTCACAGTTCTGGAGACCAGAAGTCTGACAAACAGTAGCAGAGTTGGTTCTTTCAGAGGACTGTTAGAGAAGGCTCCATTCCAGGCCTCTCCCCTTAGCTCTAGATGACTACCTTCTCCCTGTGTCTTTTTACATTGTTTTCCCTTAATGCATGGCTGTCTATCTAAATTTCCCCTTTTTACAAGGATACAAGTCATATTAGATTAGGGGCTCACCCTACTTCAGTATGACCTCTTAATTTAATTACATCTGTACGACCCCCTTTTCAAAATAAGATCACTTTTGGAGGTACTGGGGATTAAGACTTCGATATATGAATTTTTGGTGGACACAATTCAACCTGTAATACCCTCCAACTTCTTAGAGCCCTTAATACCGTTAGGTGTCCACTCCCTGTCAACATCCTGCCCATTCATGTACCCTCATTTGCTCCAGTCTTACCTCCTTTTTTCCCATTGATCTCAGAGGGGGTTTTGTCCTTTGTTTTGTTCCAGGCCAGTTCCTCCTCCTGTCTTCTCAATTCCTTTCCCTCTTTTCTACTCCAGAAGCTTACATAATTGATTCTTTCCTTTCTTTTCTATGTTTTCTGCCCTCTCCTTTTTCTAGATACTTTCACCATAGGCTCTGAACATGCTTAAGTCTTCCCCATCTCGTCCATAACTTCAGCCTTCTGTCCTCTATGATCAGTTTTCATGCTCTGATTGAGTGGTTGATGTACACTTGACGTCAGTGTGGCTGACTCAGCTTTCTATTCTAACCTCCACATCCAGATGTCCAACTGCCCACTAGAAGTTTCTGCCGCTATGTCTCACAGTCACCTTGATTTCAGCACATATCATTAATTCTTGTATTTCCCCAAGCATGCATCTTCTCTTGTTCCTCTCTCTGCTATTGGCTGTACCAGCCACATGATTTTCCAAGCTAAAAACCTGATGCTATCCTAACCTTTTCTCCAACCCCGCATCCAGGTGTTGGCTTGGTTTTTGTTCCTTGCTGTCATATCCATTCTCACAGCTGATGTGCACACTCAGCTTTGTCATCTCTTCCTGGACTTGGAGTAGTTGTATAACTGACTTCCCTGCCTACGACTTGCCTCCTGCTCCAACAGAATGATGGGTCTGAAATACAAATTTGCCGATCCCCTGCTTACTGCTTTAAAAGGTGCAGGTTTAACTCCATACTCCTAGCTTATCTTTCAAGGCCTTTCACGATCTATCTCTTTCGTACCTTTTGACTCTTATCAAACAGTTATCTTTGTGTGTTTTTTTTTTTTTTTTTTTGAGATGGAGTCTCACTCTGTCACCCAGGCTGGAGTGCAGTGGCGCAATCTCGGCTCACTGCAACCTCCACCTCCAGGGTTCAAGTGATTCTCCTGCCTCAGCCTCCCAGGTAGCTGGGATTACAGACGCCCACCACCACACCCAGCTAATTTTTGTATTTTTAGTAGAGACGGGGTTTCACCAGGTTGGCTAGGTTGGTCATAAACTCC
The DNA here is from genome assembly GCF_000001405.40 of Homo sapiens. Taxonomy (NCBI): domain Eukaryota; kingdom Metazoa; phylum Chordata; class Mammalia; order Primates; family Hominidae; genus Homo; species Homo sapiens. Next base: position 90,612,060 of record NC_000007.14, read on the forward strand.
AGACCTCAGGTGATCCACCCGTCTTGGCCTCCCAAAGTGCTGGGATTACAGGGGTGAGCCAGCACACCTGGCTTCAAACAGTTATCTTTTATTTTCGTGACTTCATTATCATTGCAGCTGCTGCCATCTCAGTTCAGAACCTTTTCACTTTTACCTATTTTAGTTCAATAAACTCTTCATTGGTATCACTGCTCCATCTTATTCCTCCACTCAGCCTTCCCAAAACATCTTTCTTGTCATAGTACTCCCCTGTTCAAAGATTCATGCATCAAATGACGTTTGTTTTATGTCAGGCTGGATATGGTCTCAGCCTGACTCTTGATCTAGTTCAGCCTCACAGGCATTTATGGGTTGACCATCTCTCAGCATCTTACAGGGCTGGGCCTGGGTGGAGATTCAATCTCACTCTCTCTTATAGTAAGATTTTATAGGCCAGGCACGGTGGCTCACGCCTGTAATCCCAACACTATGGGAGGTCGAGGCAGGTGGATCACTTGAGGTCAGGAGTTCGAGACCAGCCTGGCCAACGTGGTGAAACCCTGTCTCTACCAAAAATATAAAAATTAGCTGGGTGTGGTGGTGGGTACCTGTAATCCCAGCTACTCGGGAGGCTGAGGCAGGAAAATCGCCTGAACCCGGGAGGCGGAGGTTGCAGTGAGCCGAGATTGTGCCACTGCACTCCAGCCCGGGTGACAGAGAGAGACTCTGTCTCAAAAAAAAAAAAAAAAAAAAAAGATTTTATATTACTTTCTGTACTGTTTTATTTTCACTGTGGTCATATCTGCCAGTCCTAGATGCTATGAACCTTCCATGCAAGAGGTCTAAAAGTTAGACTGTTCTTTAATTATGCCAGTAATCCAGAAAGTCATTATATTTCAAATTCAGCATTTAAGATAGCTGAAAAAGAACATCACTACCTCCTTAATTCTCTCATTGGAAATTTAGTTTTAATTTTCTGATGCTTAAAACTTTCTGTGCTTCAGTTTTTCCTTTTTATAAATGTTTGATCATATTTACCATCTCCCTAATTATGGTAGACATAATTATCATAATTAGGTCTAGTCCCAGACAGTGGCTCAAATGTCTGCGTAGTGCTGTAAAGATTCAGAGAGGAAGTACATGTCACAAAGTGCAAGATGTATGACATTTGGGAGAATTAGTCACTTTCAATTTGTAATTCTCAAAAGGCAGAATATTACAGAAATGGAAAACATGAGTAGTGTCCTCTTTCCGTTGTGAGCACCCTGCATCCTGGTGGCAGGCTGTATAGCCTGTAGGAAGTCTCTGCTGTAAGGGTGGTTAGTGTTCCCTCCTGGGCAGTGCTCTGATTTGCATGTTTGAATTCATTTGTTGAAAGCTGACCTTTGGGCCGGGCCTGGTGGCAATCCCAGCACCTTGGGAGGGATCACTTGAGGTCAGGAGTTTGAGACCAGCCTGGCCAACGTAGTGAAACCCTGTGTCTACTAAAAATACAAAAATTAGCCAGGCGTGGTGGCAGGTGCCCGTAATCCCAGCTACTTGGGAGGCCGAGGCAAGAGAATTGCTTGAACCTGGGAGTCAGAGTTTGCAGTGAGCTGAGATCGTGCCACTGCACACCAGCCTGGGTGACAGAGCGAGACTCTGTCTCAAAAATAAAAAAAAAATAAAAAAAGACGCTGACCTTTGACGTAGGAAGTCTTTCTGTACAGCCTAACTACTCTATTTTCTTCAACAAGTGCAAAATGGGCTCAGCTGCAGTACATTATGCCTATTTTCCTTCTGACTGGAATTTGAGTCATCAATTTAGAAATTTTTATATTGCTGGGTTGTGATTGGGATGGCTTCTCCTATTAGGAACCATAGCAATCATTGAAATCAGTGAAGCCAAGGTGGGTCAGAGTTTTCTCAGGACTGGACCATAGATTCCAGTCCTGAGTGTTTGAGACTATTTTTTATAGTCCCAAACACTTTTTTTTTTTTTTTTTGAGATGGAGTTTCGCTCTTGTTGCCTAGGCTGGAGTGCAATGGTGCGATCTTGGGTCACTGCAACCTCTGCTTCCTGGGTTCAAGTGATTCTCCTGCCTCAGCCTCCCAAGTAGGTGGGATTACAGGCATGCGCCACCTGCCTGGCTAATTTTGTATTTTTAGTAGAGACAGGGTTTCACTGTGTTGGTCAGGCTGGTCTCAAACTCCTGATCTCAAGTGATCCACCCGCCTTGGCCTCCCAAAGTGCTGGGATTACAGGCATAAGCCACCGTCCCCGGCCTAGTTCCAAACACTCTTAACTCTTATTATTCTTGTCATAAAACTTATAAAAGGCATAATTACAAGATATTGGAACCAGCAGTTTGCTTTCAGTTTTGCAAGCTTAATTTCTTTAGGTCTCATCAGCGTCTTAAAGGAGCTTTCATCATTTTAAGGGAATAATTGAAGTAATGTTCACTTTCCCTTCTGAATCTATTTTATTTTCAATGTGTAAAGTTCTGGTTATTTTTCCAACTTACTATTTATTTTTTAAGTTTTCCTTCTTTCTTAGCAACTTAGTTTTCTTAAATTTCTTTTTAAAATTAATTTTTTTAAAAAAATAATAAAAAAGATGGCATCTCATTGTATTGCCCAGACTGGTCTTGAACTCCTGGGCTCAAGCAGTCCACCAGTTTCAGCCTCTCAAAATGCTGGAATTACAGACATGAGCCACTGTACCTGGCTGTCTTTTAGTTTTATTTTATTAACTCTTTTGAAATGAACTGTTGTTTCTTTTAGGCATATGAGCCTGGGAATTTTCTTAAAATTAATTAATTTATTTATTTATTTTGCCTTGGTAAGTTTATTGTGACCTGGGTGTTCCACGAGCATCCTAAACTTAGGCTGGGGATATGGAAAATTATTTTACAGTGGTTTTAGGAAAAAGCCAGGTATTAGCAAAAAATTATAAGATTCTGAAATCATCTGCAAGTATGGCATGTCTTATAGTGCAACATTATATGATTAATTTTTTAATAATGAAATTAATAGTTTTCCTGTTTTTCAATAGCTACTCTAAATTCTATGATAATGATGAATCTTATGTGTATGAGTAAGGAATGTGTTGAAAAAAAATTTTAAGGTTTTTATGACCCATGTAGTTATAATACGATAGAAAAAAAGTTTTCAATATGCACTTTTATACCTAGATGAAAATGCATCAGGCAAGTACTTATTCGACCTTTCACTGATTAAGAATATCTTTCTCCAATCTTGCAAGTTACAATTTAAAAGACATTTGGAATTGCTTAGAGAACCCAGGGAGTCCTGGATTCTACAATTCTGTGTGCTCTTTTGTGTTTTCTCAGTCTCTGACTACCCTCATGTAAGATGTCTATAAAGTGTGGTATTTAGAATAAAACTATGATGTTTTTCAGAGTTTGGGAACTATTCTAGTCTAGCAGATCTCGAACACGTTATAACTCTGTGTTCTGATCAGCTGAAATATTGAAGTGTGTGAATACTTTTCTTTAAAAAATGAGTATATTGAAGTCAGTCTTTCAATTATGTTTTGGTATTTTTTTTGAGTGGGAAAGAAGGGGGCTGAGTTGCAGTTAGAGTACCAGGAATTTGGCTTATTCCAGATTTGCCCATGGGAATGTGCCAAATATGAAATTATAACCTGTGACATATCTCTTGGATAACTTAGTTGTCTTGGAGTATTAGTTTTTCTATTTTAACGGATTTTCAAAAAAGGAGATTGCACCAGTTCTATAAAGCAGTGATGGGCTGTGGTAGAGGTGGAGGGTGAGAGTTTTCAAAGTGCTCTGTAAAGATTTTGGTGCAGGTCTCTTCACTTCCCCTATCAAAATATTCACGCACCTTGAAAATTTTGCTGCTGTAGTTAGGAAGGGTTGTTATTGGGGGTGTGTCATATCCCTCAAGTGAGTTCAGAGTTTGAGAGCCTTTCTTTTAAAATATCTGTTGCTGAATTATTAGGAGTTGAAGATGGATATTGGTACAATCATATGCAACCTTAATTTTTTTTGGAACAGCTCTTGGTTTTAGATAATGCTTTCTGATTTTTGATTCAGAAAATATAGTCTTCTTAGTCCTAAAATTGTGTATTTATTAATATCAAATTCATAATCCAGAAATTTTAGCCAAAAGAAAAACTAAAACAGTGATACAGAAATTTCTAACAAAGAAATGGATAAGTAAGCATTATTTTATAACAGAGAAAAATGAGTGAGAATAACTTATGGTTACTTTTGATTTTAATGAAAACATTTTTTATTAAAAAATATAGGTAAAGAAGAGAGATGTTAGTTACAGTTATTCAGGGCATGAATTACAAATTCTTTTGTGTTATAGGTGCTCGTTTATTTTAAATCTTCAGCTATATAGCTCTCTTTGTATTGTCTTCAAGTCAATATGATGGAGAATGTCCTGCAGTGCCTGATTCTCTTCTCTTAAAAGGCAGACTATTTAATCTTACAAATGAGCATCCTTGGGTCATTACATATTGGGGTTCAGGTGTGCAAAAGGCTTGGTAACATATGGCTTGTCCCCAGATGCCCTAATTGAGTTCAAAACTTTCCCCAAGAGGTTTGCATTACTTTATCTAAATGATGTGTTACATGTGCAACAAAAAAGGTGTTTTAGTCATGAAAGGAAAAAAATAAATGTGTACTTGCAAGATACAATGCAAATTGTACAGTGTACATTGCACTAATTTCTATATAGTTATTAGAAGATAAAAAAGATTAAAACCCATAAAAGTGACATTAATTGGATGACCACAGTTTTGGATGATGCACTTTGATGATCTTCAGCATTCCCTTTAGTTACCTTATTATATCATCATCATCATATATATATATGTGTGCCTGTGTATATATACACATATTTTCCTCCATTTTGATTATTTTTTTTTCAGGCAAGATAGTTAGGCATATTAAACTCAATGGTGGACTTTTTTTTCAGCTTCAAAACCTTACCTCTTATCACAATTACATGTGTTTCATTGAATAATTTTAATATTTGCTATTAAGAAAAGTAATTATGTTCATGGCAGAACATGTATAAAATAGAAATTATTATTTACAGTGAAACAGCCATTGTATGTAGAGTATGATCTCGGTTTTGTAAGATTATAAGTATCCTCTCCATGGGGGAAAACATCTGAAAAAAAGGAAATACAACAAATGGATAATGGGGAGATTGGGGTTTATTGAAATTGTGACTTGCTCAGAGTCCCTTAGCTAGAAGGTGGTGGTTTAATCTAGTATTCTAACCTAGTCTCTCTGCATCCAAACTACGCTGCCTCCCAGGAGAAGGGAGAAAGGGAGAAATAACATCTAGGTACTACTACTACAGGTGCAGCATATAGTTGGGAAAACAAAGTTCTTACAAAGAAACAACTGATTTTGGTAGTAATTCTAGCAGATGAATTACTGCTAGAATTAGGCCTAAAAAAGGCCTAAAAGTGAACCTTAAAGATTCCTGCCATAGATCTATGTCATTTTTGAACTGAGTTACACACATTTTACAGAGAGGAAACTGAGACCCAGGGAGATTAAATCATTATGTTACTAAATAATGTTGCTGAAGAGAACATGGTTGATTAGTCGTTGTGAAATCAAGGGAGTTTCTTTGCTGAATTACTCTTTAGGTTTTAGATTTCAGTTTCAAGGTTACGTTAAAACTAAGCTTGTATTGCCATTTTTATCTGGATTTAGGTGGGGAGTGGGTGGATTGTTTGGTGAGATGTAAACTTGATCCTTCGGGTAGTAATTTGTTTAGTAAAAATTTCCTGCTAGACATGAGGGCTCTGTAGTCAATGAAGATTATGGAAGGTTAACTATTGGTTGAGGTACCATGGACCACCTTGTGATATACAGACTGGTTTGAGCTGGAAGGCATGATGAGAAAACTGCTGTGTTTTAACTAGCATGTTCTGAAAAAAGTGTCAGAACATCTTTCAATGGGTGTAAATTGCCTTCACTGAGCAAGGCAAATGGTTAGTATTGAACAGAAAATGTCAGATAATAAATTCATTCATTTTCTTCGAATCCTGAATATATACACTTGGATTATTAGCTTGTGCGTGTGAAGCCACTCTGGCTTCATTTTTATTTCATATTATGACAGCTAAAATCTTTGTGAAGATTAAAAATATGGAGGAAACAGACAGGTTTTTAATATTTACATCTTAGAAAGATGAAGACTTTAGGTGGGTATAGGGAGAAACATTCAATACTTTGGATTCTTTTTTATTGGTAGAGTGAGTGCTAAGAAAAGGGATAGACCAATTTTTTTTCTCTCTTTCTCTCCTTTTCCTTTACGTAAACATAAAATGCTTCCAATTCACTGGATTTTCTTCTATGCTTCCAATATCATTGCATTTTCTTCTTTCCTTTTTCTTTGTTCTTTCTGAAAACACCTTGCTTTTGGTGGTTTAGTTGCCAGCCACTGGGCTCCACCTTGCCCTCAAGCCTTTCATGACCCAGGTGCTGGGTCCAGTGAATGAACTTTTGGTTGCTTTTGCCATCTTTGTACCAGACATAATACTTTTTTGATGTGCAACTGGTGCAGGCAAGGGAAGATGAAGGGGGAAGTCTCAGGCAGGAGTTAGAGATGTTTTATAATGATTGGCCGTCTTCTGCTATTAGAGCACAGAATTATGGCTCCTAAAAAAAGACTTGGCTTTTCTGATGATCCCCACTGCATTTAATGGACTAGTTCTGCAAGTATTTACATTGTTTGATGTACTTTATCTTTCCTTTTTACCATCAGTTGAGTTGGAAAGATTTGAGGACACATACAGAAAGAGTGATTTTAGATTCTTTTCTGATACCATTTGGACTCAGAAGTAGGAGAATTTGTGCCTTATTGTGTCTTTTTCTTTTGCTTTTTGATGAGAAGGAGCAGGGAAGTAAAAATCTCAAGAGAGCAGAATCAGTTTTCCGGTCACCAAGCTCATTAAGTTAATATTTACTTTTAAAATGAATGTATTTGCCAGCCCTTCCCACTGTTTGTTTGGGAAGCATTTAACATACATTTGAGAGCCTCTAACTTGTTTCCACCTCCATTGGGTATTTCACTTCTCAGACTGGTGGCGGTGAGTGTGATGCGTGGATCCCAGTTGTAACATCTGTTTCTGTCACTTCAATATTACGTTTATCTTGAGGGTAAAGGAAGGGAAAGAAATGAAGCTAAGGCAATTTTTCCCTGTTTTTCTGTGTCTACTGCACAATATTGATTGAATGATATTTAACATCTCTAGTGCTTTTAAGCCCATTTCAAATAACACAATTGACACATATGTAGGGGTTTAAGGAAACTGGACATTTAAATAAAAGATACAGCCTGAAAACTCAAAGATTACATTTGAAAATCTCTTTCCAGTGTTCCATAAAATGATATTTACAGTTTTTTTGTCTCTTGATACCTGCAACTTTCTAGATGAAAGCTGTTATTTTTCTTTAGGCCTCAGATGAGTATTTTTTCACTATTAAAAATTTTAATGAACATAAAATACTGATTATTTTAACTTCTATAAATATTTAATAACCAAGGTCTTCAGGTACATTGTATCGTAATTTCTGTTGGTTTTTTAAAGCTTGCTGTGTGAGAGAACTGACCGTTATGTTTAATTATTTGAAGGCTGTTTTGGGGAATGTAAAAATTGATACTGAAGGAAAAAAAGAACTGGGTGCGGTGGCTCACACCTGTAATCCCAGCATTTTGGGAGGACGAGGTGGGCGCATTGCTTGAGGCCAGGAGTTTGAAATCAGCCTGGCCAACATGGCAAAACCCTGTCTCTACTAAAAAATACAAAAGTTAGCTGGTGTGGTGGCCCAAGCCCGTAGTCCCAGCTACTTGGGAGGCTGAGGCAGGAGAATCGCTTGAACCCAGGAGGCAGAGGTTGTAGTGAGCCGAGATTGTGACCCTGTACTCCAGCCTGGGTGACAGAGCAAGACTCTCGAAACAACAACAACAAAAACAAATACAGAGAGATATGACTCTTTATTCATGATCTAGTTGACATCCCCTTGCTGTTACAAGTATGTATATTAAATGTTTCTGTAATACATGTCCTACAAGATGATGTATCAATGTATAGTATTTTTGTCTAGTTGGCAACCTGAGAAATATTTATGAGCTTTCAGTGGGACATCTACCACTTCAAGGATCAGCAAGGCACAGACAAGCCACAGGAATTATTAACTCAACAAATTATTAACTTATCAAATTAATTATCTAATTATTAACTCAGTTGACTGGGCTGGGTATTTTTCTTTGAGATTTCTTTTATTTTTGGTGGATCGATTGATTGGCACTGGCATGTCAGGGGCAATGACAATGCTGTCTCTAGCTGAAACTCTGTGCTCTCCAGACGGCGGTGAGTGACGCTTCTCCACCTGAACAACCTCAGAATCTGGGTGTGAGTGGAAAGTGCAAGAGCGCTGGAATCTCCTTCACCCATCTTCCAGCTTGTCCCCGTATCCCTATTTATAATCTGTGTGAGGCCATCTAGTAGTCTCCTTTTCCTTATCTGTACAACAGAGGTAACCCTCTCCACCTGGCAAAGTTGTAAGAATTAATGAAATAATGCTTGTAATTCCTGTAAAGGGTCTTGGCACGGAGCAGGCACCACCGTTTCATAGAGCTGGGCTGTGCCTCTCAAAGCATTGGCACATGCAGTGTGGTGCTGCACGTGACATTTGGGCCATCCTCCACATGAGTCCTCACATCTGTGGGCACAAGCTGAGGGGCACATGGAGACTCCTGGCTTTATGATGGGAACACCAGCAGTCTAATTTTAGGAACCTCCACATTTTAAAGAGGGGGAAACTGAGTCTGTAAAGTCCAAATTTAGGCTTCCTCCTTTTGTTGCCCCACTTCTGCCCATCACAGTGGCCTTGCTATGACCACGTGTTACTGGATCTGGCAGAAAAGGAATGTCCACTGGTGGGGTTTGTATGCCAGGTGGTTTTTGGTGGATGGGAGTTTGCATCCCACAAGACAGTCAGGAGCTCTGCATATGTGAGCACTACTAACTCATGTTTTAGAAGGAAACAGCGTTCACATATGTCACATCTACAGTGTGCATCTGGTCACAGGATTTCCAGAGGTCTATGATGATTACCCCAGATACAGAGGGAGGGAAAATCTCCCTGTACCTCCTCGTTTTTGGGTTGGTGCCTCGCCAGAGGTTTTCTGATTCTTCTTGGTTCCCTTTCTTGTTTGCCTGCATTTGTACTGGCTCATGTTTATTGTCTGGCAGGGGAAGCCCCTTTGTCTCTACTCCATGTGTCTTGTGTTCATGTGTTGAGTAACTGGGGCATTTTCTCCATTGTAGACATCACAGTCTTGGGACCTGTTGTTTGAGCAGATGTTCACATCCTTAAAATACTCTCTTCCCCCTGCAAGACTGTGTAAGGTTCCTGAGGGCAGAGACAGCATTTCTACCTCTCTCTGAATCTCATTCTTTCAGAACAGTCCTTTGCACCTAGTAGGTGCTGAATAAAAGTTGCTTGAGAGAATAAACAGATAATACTTTTGGAGTCTTTTAGGTGAATTTGTTCCCATAATTCAGACTTTTTTTCCTTCCTTCCTTCCTTCCTTCCTTCCTTCCTTCCTTCCTTCCTTCCTTCCTTCCTGCCTTCCTGCCTTCCTGCCTTCCTTCCTTCCTTCCTTTGCCACAGGAATTCACCAACTGTTTATTCATGGGGATGGGATTTATCTTAAATGTTTTTTCTGTATGGACCTTATTTAATTTTCCCAGTAATGTTGGCACTATTATTTCTATTTTTACAGATGGGGAAACGGAAGTTTAGAGAAGTTAAGCAACTAGCACAGGGTCACAGGGCTAGTGAAGCTCCAGAAGTGGAGGTGACCCAGACACGGCCCTCACGCCAGTTTAAGTAGCAGCTGGAGAGACCTGCTGGATTGTTGGCCTTTGAAAGGGAACATTGAAAGTTGCTTGCATTTGATGATGATTGGGTTACATTTACTTGAATTGTGTAACTTTTAAGTTGCAAATTAATGCTAAAAGTGTATTAGGGTAGCCTTAGGCTGTGGGACTAATTGAGAAACGAAGTACAATGGAAGTGCTGCAAGCAAATGGATTTTCCTGCTTAGAGCAGGTATTTACTATTAATCCTGTGGCATTTGCCTTAAGGAGTTGGAGTCTTTCTTAGCTAATTAAAAAGTACCGGTCAGATGTTGAGTGTTGTCAATAATTTAGTGCCTGCATCTTTTTATCCCTGTTGTTTGGAAACTACAATTTGGAATATTCTGTGCACATTTAAAAAAATAAATGACTGTCTGTGTGGTAATGTTTTTGCTTAGTAAATGTATGCATTATCATCTTGAGCTTATGAGTTTTCTGTACTTTTCTTGAAACTTTTATTAGTAGAAAAACTGTCAATCTAACGCGGTGATCTTTCTCTGAAGTCCTCAGCATGCAATTGGGCATAAAAGTTGTGATCCCTGAGCACATGTTTTGGGGTTAATCCTATTCATATTTTTGGTTTTCTTCTTCATTCCCAAGATATATAAAAATTAAAAGCATTTGAGATTGCACATTAGTGCATTGGATTTTTATCTGGGGTGGTCCCTTCTCTAAGTGGGTAGTGGGAGTGTGGAAGGGTGAAGCAATATCTACTAACCTTATTTGTGATTTGGGAGCTAGATTATCCTTTTTCCAAAACATCCTAAGCGAAGACTACCCTGACTGTGTTTTTACTGAAAGCTCTTCCTGTCATTCTGGGTAGTTTATACTGTTTATTTACCTTGTATAAGGAAATTCTTTCTTTACTGTCCCATCTTATCTCAGATCAAAGTTTCCACCCAGGGATCCTACTTAAAAAATATTGTCTGAGACTGCATGTGTTTTCTTTCTTTTTTTTTCTTTTTTTTTTTTTTTAGCACTCTGAGTTTTTGCTCCATCTGCACTCTCTGGTTTTCCGTCCTTCTATTTATGACAATTGTGTAATGAATATTCATAGTTTCCATTATTAATGTAATAGCATGCCATTTGTCAGCTCACTGGCTTTCTCGTATTATATATATATTTTTAAAAATTCTTTTTATTTATTTTAAAATTTTTGTTGTCTTTGTCTTCCGTAATCTTTTTTCTTTATAGAGTTTGTGATCATGTGTTTTTCCTCTAACCCAGACATATACGTAGGTCTAAAACTGCACAGTGCAGGATGTCAAATGGCTTAAAAGGATTTCTGCTGTGACTGAAAGAGTGGATCTGTGCCCTTCTGGGGGTGTAGGCTGACCACATGAATACCAATAATTAGACATCTTTTATTTTAAGAAATGGGCAGCTGTTTCTTTAGTTGAATTTTGATATCTTTATAGTTACTTTGCTTTCTTTAAAGGGCTTTTCTCTGTATATATGCATCTCTTTGGCAGGGTTGATGGCAGACTGGGATACTGGCATGGCAATAGTGGGAAAGAAGGAAGGAAAAAAAGCACAACTGAAAAGGAAAACCTGAAGTGTTCTGAATATTAGATTTTAAGGTATTAGTTGTTTTTTTAAGTTTTCTTTTTCAATTTATTAAAAAGTAGAATATGTAAGTATTGTGAATATCAGGTTTTTTTTCAGTGATTTTAAGGTAAAATTTTCACCGTCTCACACTTGATCAGAAAGTCTAGCAATTAACTTTCCCCTTGAGCATCCTGAGCCATCCCTCAGAGGTTTGATTAGGATGGCAGTTACAGTGGTGATAATGCCTTCCTGGAGTTTTCAAGCCTTTTATTTAAATCAGTGCTTATTATCTCTCACTGTTGTTTTAAAACACAGCTCCTGAACCTGAAAGTCCAGTGAAGATTTCATCTGGAAGGTTGGGTTACTGGGTGTGTGGGATTAGAGGCACAGACTGCTGTCTTCCTCTTTGTCATCATCAGAAGCCCTGAAACCCCTTTTCATGCTTGCTAAGATTAGGCAGGAGTGTCATTGCATATTTATAATACATATTTTGTAGGGCTTCATAGTTTACAAAACAATTTCATATGATATTTCAGTGAATTTTTGCAACAAAACAGCCCTGTGAAGGAGTGGACATGTAGTTTCATCTCTGTTTTGTAGAGGTGGAAATTGTACTCAGGGAAGGTAAGTGCTGTTCCCCAGGCCACAGTCTTCTGTTCTCACAGTGGAGCTTTGTCTGGGACCCAGGTTTCCTGCCCTCTCACCCTCACCCCCTTATTCTGCTTCTCCTGAAAAGGTCAGGATTTAAAGACATTGCATTCAGCATCAGATTAGGGGAGGTATGTGACCTAGAAACCCTAGCAATGTGGATTTCGAAAAGGTAGTTATTTCTTCTATTTCATAACATTAATGACAAATAATGAGTCACTTTCTAATTTTCTATTCAGACAAACGCATTTTGTTCTCTATATTCTGTGTTTCTGTGTTCTAGATTTATGGACCTGAATGCTTAAGTTTACATAGCAGTGAGAAACATAAATCCTATTTTGTATTCTTTAGGTACCTCAAGAGCCAACAGCTCAAACTGTGGAGGCAGTACTGGCAGTTTGGCTAAGAGGAAAGAGAGAGAAGTGGCTAGCAACCATCCCCTGAGAATAGGAGAAAATGAGATATTTCTGACAGTATTACAAACTGGAGCAGAGGTTTGGTGATAACAGGAAGCTGCTTATGAGAAGGATTTAGCATTAGATATGGATTTGAAACTCTGCTCCACCACTTAGTAGCTTTGTTACCATGAACAGACAGTTGCTTAATCTCCCTGAGCTTCAGCGTCCTCATCTGCGAGTGAAGGCTGTGAGGCAGTCTCATATATTATAGGGCGATAAGTCAGGATGCTGGAACCAGCTGCTTGGTGTCATAAACCTGTAGTCAGTCATATCCAGGCTCCAACACTCCTTGGCTATGTGAAGCTTAACATCTCGATGCCTCAGCTTCCTCATCTCGAACAGGAGGATGCTAATAATACTTAGCTCATAGAGTTGATAGGATCACAACAGTTTCAAAACGTGTAAAACACTTAAAACGGCGAATGGCTCATAGTAAATTCTCTACTAAAAGTTAATTGTGTCTGGGCACAGTGGCTCATAATCTCAGTGCTTCGGGAGATCAAGGAAGGAGGACTGCTTGAGACAAGCCTGGGCAATATAACAAGACCCCAGTTCTAAAAAATAAAAAAAAACCTGGCCAGGCGTGGTGACACATGCCCATTGTCCTAGCTACTCAGAAGGCTGAGGCAGTGGGATGGCTTGAGTCCAGGAGTGCAAGGCCGAAGTGAGCTGCAATGGCTTCACTGCCCTCCAGCCTGGGCAACATAGCGAGACTCTGTCTTTAAAAAAGGTTATTTTTAAGTGGAATAAGTTACGGTAGTACCTGCCATGTACATTAAGCTTTCAGTTGGTTAGTTTCTTCCTCTCCTATTTAGATGTTTTGAAGTTAAGCCTAATGAAAGCAATTCAAAAACCACTAAAATACATTTATTTTAATATTTGCATCACATTTAATTTGTGTAATTATTGATCTCTTATACCTTGGACATTCATTTTTTAAATGTAGTATTTTAAATGTAATATTTTTGCACTATTAATCACTTAAAATATTGTGTTATATCATGTCTAGGAAATTCATTATAGGCCTTTCTAAGAGAGAAGGCTTTGTGATAAAAGCCAGCTGCCCAGACATTTCCAAACCCTCCTCACCCATCCCCCAGCATGCTACAGAAGCAGCAGGCTGGCAGAGGTCCAGATTTCCTAAGTGATGGGATTGTTCCCCCGGCCAGGAATGAGAGGAATCTGCCTAGATTGGAGATGGCTTTAGCTACTTTGCTTTTCTTCGTACTCGTAGTCTTATTCCCAAACTGAATCTGACCCAGCACCATTTTCCATTATTGGAGATGTTTTAACACTGTGTGTGGAGGTCTTGCTATTTAAACAATGATTTCTGAATCTACTTTTTAATTCCATGGGAGCTTTTCCATTTTTCTTTGTACTATGGAAGAAGAACTATGAGTTAATTTTAATTTATAGTTATACCTCTGCAAATCAATACAATCTTTCTGTGACTTCCACTGGTAGCACCATTCTTGATCTGAGGCGAGTATTGGGATTGTGGTTTTACTTTCCCATTTACTTAGAGGCGGGAAGGTTTAGTTATTTGAATGCCTTAGACCAGGAAATTATTGGCTATTGTCAGTGGAATTTGTTTATCTTTTCCACCCCTACATTCCTAGGCTGTGAGAGAACTGGTCATCACTGTGATTGCACCTCAGTTTTTATCAGTTCCTCCCCCAGCGCTATTTTTATTAAATACTTGATGTTTCTCTCTTCTTTGGGTATAAATTTAGAGACCCTCAGGCAGACATTTCTGAAAGGGCTCTCTTACTCAGCTGTTGTTAAAATGAAGAGATCAATACTGCCAAGCACCTCTTTTTGTTTGGCTACCTCCAAAATTCATGTTTTCTGCAGTTATTCTCTAGGATTATCTGTGATTATCTGTAATTTCTATAATTTATCTATAGATTATAATCTAAACTGAAGATTGATGCATGTATAATTCTAATGAGCTTCTCGACCAGCACTGTTCAATAGATACATAATGCAAATTTCATGTCATTAACATTTTTCTTGTAGTTACGTTAAAAACGTAAAAGAAGCCAGGTGTTGTGGCTCAGGCCTATAATCCTAGGTCTTTCAGAGGCTAAGGTGGGAGGATGGCTTGAGCCCAGGAGTTGGAGACCAGCCTGGGCAATATAGTGAAACCTCATCTCTACAAAAAAATAAAATTAGCCAGGTGTGATGTGTGTCTGTCATGTAGTCCTAGCTGCTCCACAGGTTGAGGTGGGACGATCACTTGAGCCCAGAGTTTGAGGCTGCAGTGAGCTCTGATTGCACCATCGCACTCCAGTCTCGGTGATAGAATGAGACCCTGTCTCAAAAAACAAAACAAAACAAAAACAGCAAAAAACAAAAACAAAAACAAAACAAAAAAAGAAAAGTAAAAGAAACAGATAACTTTACTTTTATTATACTTGAAAAACCCCATATATAAAAATATAATTTGGACATTAAAGTTATTATTGAGATTTTTACTCTTATTTTGTATTGCTTTAAAAATCTGCTTGTGTACTTTATTATACATCTCAATTTAGACTAGCCACATTTCAGGTGCTCATTAGCCACATGTGGCTAGTGGCTACTATTGGTCAGCACAGATTTTTTTTTTTTGACAGGGTCTCCTTTTTTGTCCAGGTTGGGGTGCAGTGGTGCAATCATGGCTCACTGTAGTGTCACCCTCCCAAGCTCAAGTGATTTTCCCACCTCAGCCTCCCAAGTAGCTGTGATTACAGGCGCATGCCACCACACCTGGCTAAGTTTTAAAAATTTTTTGTAGAGACAGAGGTCTGACTGTGTTGCCCAGGCTGGACTCAAACTCCTGGGCTCAAGCAATCCTCGTGTTTTGGCCTCCCAAACTGCTGGGATTACAGGCATGAGCCACTGTGCCCAGCTAGCACAGATCTTTACTGTAACTTTTCTTCTTACTATAAAAAGCATTGCGTTATACTGGCAATTATTTTCCCATCAAAGTGGCCTAGAAAAGAGACATGAATCTGGCCTCATGTCTTTGCTCATAATTAACACATTTCTAGAGAGATTTCCTTTGTTAGAAAAACTAATTGTGGGATTAATGATCTCAGAACGTGAATTCAACTGTAGCACCTAAACAGGTGCTACTGAAGTCACCTAAACAGCAGGCTGAATTCTTGACCAATAGTGATAAAAACTGCTTTGTCTTATGGTAGGAGTAGCAGTCAGGACAAGACTCAGCATTTAGCGAAATCCCTGGAGGGATTCTCCCACATAGGAGCCGTGCAACTCAGTTTTATGCTCCTAAAATCTACTGCAAAGCTGTGAATGCTTTTTGTTTGTGATTTGCACTTCATTTTTTTCTTCTCAATTATTATTATTTTTTGAGACAGGGTCTTGCTCTACTAGTCCAGAGTACAAGTGGTGCAATCATGGCTCACTACGGCCTTGACCTCCCAGGGTCAAGTGATCCTCCCACTTCGGCCTCCCAAGTAGTTGGGACCACAGGTGTGTGCCACTATGCATGGCAATTTTTATTTTTATTTTTGTAGAGACGGGGTTCTGCTGTGTTGCCCAAGTTGGTCTTGAACTCCTGGACTCAAGTAATCTACCTGCCTTAGCCTCCCAAAGTGTTGGGATTACAGGCGTGAGCCACCGTGCCTGGCCAGAAAGGTGATTTTTTAGGATTCTAGCTTGTTTGCTTTCCTTCCCACCCCAAGATAACTTTTGTTATAGCAGCTTGCCTGCTTTCTGTTTCATTTTTCACCCTGATTTTTCCAGGACTCCTCAATCACTTCCAAGTGTTAAAGGCCATTACTGATTCTTAAATGTAGATGGCTATGGCTGAATTTCAGCCATTGAGGGTCCATATGATCTATTCTGCCACAGTCCTTCTCAAACTTCAGTGTGGATGTGAATCACCTGGGGATCTTGTTAAGATGAAATTTGGGCCAGGCATAGTGGCTCATGCCTGTAATTCCAGTGATTGGGGAGGCTGATGTAGGAGGATCAGTAGAGGCCAGGAGTTTGAGACCAGCCTAGGCAACATAGTGAGATACCTTGTCTCTAAAAATATATATATATTTAAAAAACAACTTAGACAGGCATGGGGTTGCGTGCCTGTAGTCCCAGTTACTCAGGAGACTCAAGGCGGGAGGATCATTTGAGTCCAGATGTTGCAGGCTGCAGTGAGTTATGATCACACCCACCACTGCACTCCAGCCTTGGCGACAGAGTGAGACCCTGACCCTTAAGAAGAGAGAGAGACAGAGAGAGAGAGAGTGAGACTGATTTGATGCAGTAGGTCTGAGATGAAAGTTTGCATTTTTCACAGACTCTCAGGTAATGTTGATGACTCTGGTCCAGAGACCACGTAGAGATCTAGTATATGATAGCAAAATGCTGCTGTCTTATACCAGCCTGCAGCAAAGACATTAAAAAAAATGTAGTGAGGTTTTCCACCAAGCTAAAAGTACTTTTTTGTTTTATATATATTTTTTTAAATTCAGAGATGATTTCATTACTGCCTCTTGCTACTACGGCAATTACAAATGATAGTTATTATTAATATTTTTAAATGACCTTTCATGGCAAAATTATACAGCTGCCAACCCTACTTATGTCTCCAAGTTAATAAAAGAATTTTAGTAGTTCACAAACTCCTCAAGTCTGATGCCACCCCACCATCTAAATTAGCAGTTTATAGCTTTCCTTCATGGCATTTATAGTATTTTGTATTGACATAATTACTTGGACAGTTGTTTAATGTCACTTTCCCCACTGTGCTCTAAGCTCTTGCTCTGTATTTTTAATCACTTTGTCCCTAGTGTCTCACTAGCACTGGGTCTGGTGTCTGTCTGTCCCTAGTCAATACTTTTAGGATGCCTTTATTCAGTGGGTCTCAGTAGGAGTGGTACTGCCCTCTAATGGAGTGTTTTGGAAATTGATGGGAACTACTGGTTGTCCCAAATAATGAAGTGTGCTACTGGTGTTTGGTGGGCAGGGGTTAAAGGGTGCCAGACATTCTGTAGTGTACAGAACAGCTAACTAAGTGAATGCTTATTTGATGCCTTTTGCAAAATCTTTGAATGTCCATGTTGGAGATTCAATTGATGAAAAACCTATTTGTAATTACCTAAACCAAAAACCTAACTTGGCTGGGTGCGGTGGCTCACACCTGTAATCTCAGTCCTTTGGGAGGCCGAGGTGGGTGGATCACTTGAGGCCGGGAGTTGGAGACCAGCCTGACCAACATGGTGAAACCCCATTTCTATTAAAAATACAAAAATTAGCCAGGCGTGGTGGCGTGCGCCTGTAATCACATCTGCTTGGGAAGCTGAGGCACAAGAATCACTTAAGCCTGGGAGGCAGAGGTTGCAGTGAGCCAAGATAGCGGCCAAGATAGTGCTACTGCACTCCAGCCTGGGCAACAGAACGAGACACTGTCTCAAACAAAACAAAACAAAACAAAACAAAACAAAACAAAACAAAACAAAACACCACACACAAAACCACAAAAAACAAAACAAAAACCCAACTCCATTTAACATTTAAAGACAACTATATTTATGTATGTCCAGTTTTAATACACATACAGTCATGCATCACTAATGATGGGGGCACATTCTGAGAAATGTGTCATGAGGCAGCTTTTTTGTTGTACAGACATCATAGAGTATATTTACACACACCTAGATGGTATAGCCTATTGCACACCTAAGCTATATGGTATAGCCTATTGTTCCTGGGCTGCCTGTATAGTATGTTACTGTAGGTAGTTGTAACACAATGGTAAGTACTTGTGTATCTAAACATAGGAAAGGTATAGTTAAAATATGATAATATAATCTTATGGGACCAGAATTATATATGAAGTTTTTGTTGACTGAAATGTCATTATGCAACACATGACTGTATTCTGAAATTTTCAGAAATGCAGCTGCTGAGTACTTCAAAAGTTGTACTTTGACTTATTAGCAACATTACAAAGTAACGTCTACCATTCTGGCAAATCCCATCCTTAGTAGCAGTGATGTTTGTGGTATTTGAATTATTATGTATATAACTGCACTAATACACGTTTGTAGGAAATATGATGGTTATGTATATGTGTGTGTGTACATACAAATTTAGCCCTTATTCTAAATTATCCAATAAAAATTGTTGAGAATATTCAGGTGAATTTTTTTTACTTTTTTAAAATCCAAATTTACCCATTAAAAGTGGTTGCAAGCATCTCACTACATCATTAAATCATTTGGTGGTGTTATCTCTGAGTATTTACATCTTGGGGTGTGTATGTGTGTGTGTGTGTGTGTGTGTGTGTGTACCTAAATCACACATATGAAAGACAATAAAAGTTAATCTCTTTTATTTTCTTTTTATATTACATTTTGGACTTTATGTTGTTTTTCTTTCTCTGCATGCATACCATCTCTGTATATTACAAACACTTACTATCAAAAGGTGGTGGTACTCTGATAGGATTCAGAACCCCCCTTCTCATGGAAGCAGCATGGAATCAAGGATTTCTGCCTTCTGGTCTTGGTTTATTTCTCTAAGCTGCTCACATAACTTTTCTGAATTTGTTGGGTGATCTACATTATCACTGATAAGGTAAGTCATGATGTGATAAGTCACAGCAGATGTTTCATGAATGACTGGACATGTAGAAAATGCCTTGCTTACATGGTGACTCTTAGCCAGGGCTCCTCAGAAAGGCAGACTGTCCACCTGAGACCCACCGTTCTGCTTCACTTGCATTTTCATTTAGGGAGAGCAGACCACCTTGGAGGAAGGGATTTGGCTAATGATAAGGTATGAGGTAGAGTGGGGAAGTATGGTAGTGGTGGGGTAGTATTAATGAGTGAATAAAAGCAGAGTATGTTTTACCTTTCTGGGAAGCAGTTAAGATCCTTAGACTAGGGGCCACTATTGTAAGGATTTTTTGACAGTTCCATGTTTATCTGTTTCTTAGTGATTAACAACCAAACCCATGAAGACTTATAGACTGGGGAGACTTTTGTGTCTTGTTCAGCAGTTGGTTTGGAGTGGACCACAAAGCTCAGAGGCAAAAGAGTAGTGCACAGTGTACACAGTTGGTACTAAGAAAGGCCCTCGGGGACTGGGTTACGAGGTTTCGCAGCAGAAAGTCCCTTCAAGCACATGATTTTAGTCTGCCTAGATCTGGCTAGAATGTTGCTCATTAATTGGAGCTAGAAAGATACAGGAAGCTCAAGGGTAAATGGCACTGGAAAAAGGTCACTGAAGGTGAATCCATTTAAGATGAAGATCAAGGAACTAGTGCATGGCTGCCATGTTGCAGCAGGACAGTAATGATGACACTGAAGGTGTTTCACCCTTCAATGCAGAAGAGAAGACAACTTAGTAGACCAAAAATGCTTCTCAGAATAGGGGATTAAAAACAATAGACCAAAAAAAAATTAGACACCCAATAGCGTAATTTTTCTGTTTACTCTTTTGAGTGCATGCAGTTATAATCCATCTTCTCTGTGAATTGCTCAGCAGCAGCTATACTGCGTGGATGGTGACAGTTCTCTTGTTGCCATGTGATTTGGGGGCAGTGAAGACTGTCACAGGTAGACTGATGGTGGACCTGCATTGGTGGAATCATACTGATGAAGATGAGAAGAACCACTGGGTGTCCAGGAAGAGCCACTGGGAGTCCAGGAAGGCATCCCCTCAAGATAACAAAACTGTCTCAGAGGCTGAATCAAGGATCTTTTGGTTGGGATTTATTGCCTGTTCAGTGCTGTGGGTGGTAATTGCCTTTAGTGCCCTCTTCTTTTTTGGAGTAAAGTGATTGGCAGTGGTTATCATGGGTGTGGCGCTGCAAGATGCCAACCTATATGGTTACATCAGGTATAAAGTTGGCAGTAGAAGGAATTTAACCAGCATGGCTATCTTGTAGCCTGGAAAGCAGTTTTTAAGACAAAACAGTAAAGATAATCTGACTTCCAGACTAGAGAGAATGCTCTTATATCTTTTATTATACTGGGGAATGAAGACATTTTTGACACCGAACCTTTTAGTGCCCAGTCCATGTTGTAATGAGGAGTGTTGGCTCTATTTTTCCACTTAAAAGCTTTACTTGTTTTAAAAAAGGAAAATTAGTTTTTATACTTTTTATTTTCTTTCCAGTAGTTGGGGCTAGAAAATATGTTGTCACTAGAAACATTGTGAAAATTTGTCTTACAGGCTGGGCACGGTGGCTCACACCTGTAATCCCAGACCTTTGGGAAGCCGAGGTGGGCGGATCACCTGAGGTCAGGAATTCGAGACCAGCCTGGCCAACATGACGAAACCCCATCTCTACTAAAAATACAGAAATTAGCTGGGTGTGGTGGCACATGCCTGTAGTCTGTAGTCTCAGCCACTCGGGAGACTGAGGCAGGAGAATTGCTTGAATCTGGGAGGTGGAGGTTGCAGTAAGCCGAGACTGTGCTACTACGCTCCAGCCTGGGCGACAAAGCGAGATTCTGTCTCAAAAAAAAAAAAAAATTGTTTTGCAGTGTACATAGGTATGCACATAGTCATATAATATCAATATGTCCCAAATTAATGAAAATGTGTTCATTTACGTAAGTATGGAGACTTTTGCATTTTGATTCATAGAACATGAGAGGATGTTAGTCTGTCTCAAAACTCTGTATGTTTACATATTATTTATGTTGACTATTTTCAGAAGTAAATTTTGCTTCCATGATAAAAGTGAGCATTTTGGCTTATGCGTAAGTTAGAAATAATTATTAATTTTTAATATGTACCTCATGGTAAAATTTCTTAGATATATGCAAACAATTAAAAACCAAATTTGGGTCAGTGGTGTTAACTAGTTTCTGAAATTTTGTTTATTTTTATTTGTAACAATTCATTGACTTAAGGCCCAATTAATACAAATGGAATCACCATAGTTTATGTTTAAGGAATACACAGAGATTGCTACTGTTCCATTTATTTTACGGTAAGGATAGACAAATTTTACCTTGGAGCTTCCTACAAGCTGTTCAGTGTTCCTTGAGCGAATAAAATCTATCTTTTGTCTCTAAAAGAGCATTATTCATATGTCATAATGACAGTAATCATTTAAATACTTGGCATAATAAATGCCTAAAAGACATTTTATTTTATAAATCTTTTTTTTTCTTTCTATGATGGGTATATTGTAAATCATGCATTTGTATTAATGGTATTTCTTAAAGCAGTAGATGTAACTGTAAACTAAATCAGTCTACAAACTATTCTAGGCACCCATAGATTCTGTTGTAGGTACTGTAAACTTTGTTGGAGACTTTAGTCGGCAGATTATGTTGTGAATATATTTGTACTTTGTTAAAATATTTTAAAAGATGTTTAATTGAATACGTGTCTTTTTTGGACTAGTAGCTGTGAAGGTATAAAACTTTATATTTGTATAAAATTGCTGTTTATAGAGCAAAAGAAAATGAAGATCAAAAATTTATGGTTAATATGCATAGAAAGTTTGATTAGAATTGAGTCTTTTTGTTTCTTTTATGATTTTCTTTTTTTTAATTATTATTATACTTTAAGTTTTAGGGTACATGTGCACAATGTGCAGGTTAGTTACATATGTATAAATGTGCCATGTTGGGGTGCTGCACCCATTAACTCATCATTTAGCATTAGGTATATCTCCTAATGCTGTCCCTCCCCCCTCCCCCCACCCCACAGCAGTCCCCAGAGTGTGATGTTCCCCTTCCTGTGTCCATGTGTTCTCATTGTTCAATTCCCATCTATGAGTGAGAACATGCAGTGTTTGGTTTTTTGTCCTTGCGATAGTTTACTGAGAATGATTTCCAATTTCATCCATGTCCCTACAAAGGACATGAACTCATCATTTTTTATGGCTGCATAGTATTCCATGGTGTATATGTGCCACATTTTCTTAATCCAGTCTATCATTGTTGGACATTTGGGTTGGTTCCAAGTCTTTGCTATTGTGAATAGTGCCTCAGTAAACATACGTGTGCATGTGTCTTTATAGCAGCACGATTTATAGTCCTTTGGGTATATACCCAGTAATGGGATGGCTGGGTCAAATGGTATTTCTAGTTCTAGATCCCTGAGGAATCGCCACACTGACTTCCACAATGGTTGAACTAGTTTACAGTCCCACCAACAGTGTAAAAGTGTTCCTATTTGTCCACATCCTCTCCAGCACCTGTTGTTTCCTGACTTTTTAATGATTGCCATTCTAACTGGTGTGAGATGGTATCTCATTGTGGTTTTGATTTGCATCTCTCTGATGGCCAGTGATGATGAGCATTTTTTCATGTGTCTTTTGGCTGCATAAATGTCTTCTTTTGAGAAGTGTCTGTTCATGTCCTTTGCCCACTTTTTGATGGGGTTGTTTGTTTTTTTCTTGTAAATGTGTTGGAGTTCATTGTAGATTCTGGATATTAGCCCTTTGTCAGATGAGTAGGTTGTGAAAATTTTCTCCCATTTTGTAGGTTGCCTGTTCACTCTGATGGTAGTTTCTTTTGCTGTGCAGAAGCTCTTTAGTTTAATTAGATCCCATTTGTCAATTTTGGCTTTTGTTGCCATTGCTTTTGGTGTTTTAGACACGAAGTCCTTGCCCATGCCTATGTCCTGACTGGTAATGCCTAGGTTTTCTTCTAGGGTTTTTATGGTTTGAGGTCTAACATGTAAGTCTTTAATCCATCTTGAATTAATTTTTGTATAAGGTGTAAGGAAGGGATCCAGTTTCAGCTTTCTACAGATGGCTAGCCAGTTTTCCCAACACCATTTATTAAATAGGGAATCCTTTCCCCATTGCTTGTTTTTCTCAGGTCTGTCAAAGATCAGATAGTTGTAGATATGTGGTGTTATTTCTGAGGGCTCTGTTCTGTTCCATTGATCTATATCTCTGTTTTGGTACCAGTACCATGCTGTTTTGGTTACTGTAGCCTTGTAGTATAGTTTGAAGTCAGGTATTGTGATGCCTCCAGCTTTGTTCTTTTGTCTTAGGATTGACTTGGCAATGCGGGCTCTTTTTTGGTTCCATATGAACTTTAAAGTAGTTTTTTCCAATTCTGTGAAGAAAGTCATTGGTAGCTTGATGGGGATGGCATTGAATCTATAAATTACCTTGGGCAGTATGGCCGTTTTCACGATATTGATTCTTCCTATCCATGAGCATGGAATATTCTTCCATTTGTTTGTATCCTCTTTTATTTCATTGAGCAGTGGTTTGTAGTTCTCCTTGAAGAGGTCCTTCACGTCCCTTGTAAGTTGGATTCCTAGATATTTTATTCTCTTTGAAGCAATTGTGAATGGGAGTTCACTCATGATTTGGCTCTCTGTTTGTCTGTTACTGATGTATAAGAATGCTTGTGATTTTTGTACATTGATTTTGTATCCTGAGACTTTGCTGAAGTTGCTTATCAGCTTAAGGAGATTTTGGGCTGAGACAATGGGGTTTTCTAGATATACAATCATGTCATCTGCAAACAGGGACAATTTGACTTCCTCTTTTCCTAATTGAATACACTTTATTTCCTTCTCCTGCCTAATTGCCCTGGCCAGAACTTCCAACACTATGTTGAATAGGAGTGGTGAGAGAGGGCATCCCTGTCTTGTGCCAGTTTTCAAATGGAATGGTTCCAGTTTTTGCCCATTCAGTATGATATTGGCTGTGGGTTTGTCATAGATAGCTCTTATTATTTTGAAATACGTCCCATCAATACCTGATTTATTGAGAGTTTTTAGCATGAAGGTTATTGAATTTTGTCAAAGGCCTTTTCGGCATCTATTGAGATAATCATGTGATTTTTGTCATTGGTTCTGTTTATATACTGGATTACATTTATTGATTTGCATATATTGAACCAGCCTTGCATCCCAGGGATGAAGCCCACTTGATCATGGTGGATAAGCTTTTTGATGTGCTGCTGGATTCAGTTTGCCAGTATTTTATTGAGGATTTTTGCATCAATGTTCATCAAGGATATTGGTCTAAAATTCTCTTTTTTGGTTGTATCTCTGCCCAGCTTTGGTATCAGGATGATGCTGGCCTCATAAAATGAGTTAGGGAGGATTCCCTCTTTTTCTGTTGATTGGAATAGTTTCAGAAGGAATGGTACCAGTTCCTCCTTGTACCTGTGGTGGAATTCAGCTATGAATCCATCTGGTCCTGGACTCTTTTTGGTTGGTAAGCTATTGATTATTGCCGCAATTTTGGATCCTGTTATTAGTCTATTCAGAGATTCAACTTCTTCCTGGTTTAGTCTTGGGAGAGTGTATGTGTCGAGGAATTTATCCATTTCTTCTAGATTTTCTAGTTTATTTGCATAGAGGTGTTTGTAGTATTCTCTGATGGTAGTTTGTATTTCTGTGGGATCGGTGGTGATATCCCCTTTATCATTTTTTATTGCGTCTATTTGATTCTTCTCTCTTTTTTTCTTTATTAGCCTTGCTAGCGGTCTATCAATTTTGTTGATCCTTTCAAAAAACCAGCTTCTGGATTCATTAATTTTTTAAAGGGTTTTCTTGGTCTCTATTTCCTTCAGTTCTGCTCTGATTTTAGTTATTTCTTGCCTTCTGCTAGCTTTTGAATGTGTTTGCTCTTGCTTTTCTAGTTGTTTTAATTGTGATGTTAGGGTGTCAATTTTGGATCTTTCCTGCTTTCTCTTGTGGGCATTTAGTGCTATAAATTTCCCTCTACACACTGCTTTGAATGTGTCCCAGAGATTCTGGTATGTTGTGTCTTTGTTCTTGTTGGTTTCAAAGAACATCTTTATTTCTGCCTTCATTTCGTTATGTACCCTGTAGTCATTCAGGAGCAGGTTGTTCAGTTTCCATGTAGTTGAGCGGTTTTGAGTGAGTTTCTTAATCCTGAGTTCTAGTTTGATTGCACTGTGGTCTGAGAGATAGTTTGTTATAATTTCTGTTCTTTTACATTTGCTGAGGAGTGCTTTACTTCCAAGTATGTGGTCAATTTTGGAATAGGTGTGGTGTGGTGCTGCAAAAAATGTATATTCTGTTGATTTGGGGTGGAGAGTTCTGTAGATGTCTATTAGGTCCACTTGGTGCAGAGCTGAGTTCAATTCCTGGGTATCCTTGTTAACTTTCTGTCTCGTTGATCTGTCTAATGTTGACAGTGGGGTGTTAAAGTCTCCCATTATTATTGTGTGGGAGTCTAAGTCTCTTTGTAGGTCCTAAGGACTTGCTTTATGAATCTGGGTGCTCCTGTATTGGGTGCATATATATTTAGGATAGTTAGCTGCTCTTGTTGAATTGATCCGTTTACCATTATGTAATGGCCTTCTTTGTCTCTTTTGATCTTTGTTGGTTTAAAGTCTGTTTTATCAGAGACTAGGATTGCAACCCCTGCCTTTTTTTGTTTTCCATTTGCTTGGTAGATCTTCATCCTTTTATTTTGAGCCTATGTGTGTCTCTGAACGTGAGATGGGTTTCCTGAATACAACACACTGATGGGTCTGGACTCTGTATCCAATTTGCCAGTCTGTGTCTTTTAATTGGAGCATTTAGTCCATTTACATTTAAAGTTAATATTGTTATGTGTGAATTTGATCCTGCCATTATGATGTTAGCTGGTTATTTTGCTCGTTAGTTGATGCAGTTTCTTCCTAGTCCTGATGGTCTTTACATTTTGGCATGATTTTGCAGCAGCTGGTACTGGTTGTGCCTTTCCATGTTTTGTGCTTCCTTCGGGAGCTCTTTTAGGGTAGGCCTGGTGGTGACAAAATCTCTCATCATTTGCTTGTCTGTAAAGTATTTTATTTCTTCTTCACTTATGAAGGTTAGTTTGGCTGGATATGAAATTCTGGGTTGAAAATTTTTTTCTTTAAGAATGTTGAATATTGGCCCCCACTCTCTTCTGGCTTTTAGAGTTTCTGCCGAGAGATCCGCTGTTAGTCTGATGGGCTTCCCTTTGTGGGTAACCTGACCTTTGTCTCTGGCTGCCCTTAACATTTTTTCCTTCATTTCAACTTTTGTGAATCTGACAATTATGTGTCTTGGAGTTGCTCTTCTCCAGGAGTATCTTTGTGGCGTTCTCTGTATTTCCTGAATCTGAACGTTGGCCTGCCTTGCTAGATTGGGGAAGTTCTCCTGGATAATATCCTGCAGAGTGTTTTCCAACTTGGTTATATTCTCCTCGTCACTTTCAGGTACACCAATCAGACGTAGATTTGGTCTTTTCACATAATCCCATATTTCTTGGAGGCTTTGTTCGTTTCTTTTTATTCTTTTTTCTCTAAACTTCCCTTCTCGCTTCATTTCATTCATTTCATCTTCCATCACTGGTACCCTTTCTTCCAGTTGATCGCATCGGCTCCTGAGGCTTCTGCATTCTTCACGTAGTTCTCGAGCCTTGGCTTTCAGGTCCATCAGCTCCTTTAAGCACTTCTCTGTATTGGTTATTCTAGTTATACATTCATCTAAATTTTTTTCAAAGTTTTCAACTTCTTTGCCTTTGGTTTGAATTTCCTCCTGTAGCTCGGAGTAATTTGATCGTCTGAAGCCTTCTTCTCTCAACTCGTCAAAGTCATTCTCCTTCCAGCTTTGATCTGTTGCTGGTGAGGAACTGCGTTCCTTTGGAGGAGGAGAGGTGCTCTGCTTAGAGTTTCCAGTTTTTCTGCTCTGTTTTTTCCCCATCTTTGTGGTTTTATCTACTTTTGGTCTTTGATGATGGTGATGTACAGATGGGTTTTTGGTGTGGATGTCCTTTCTGTTTGTTAGTTTTCCTTCTAACAGACAGGACCCTCAGCTGCAGGTCTGTTGGAGTTTGCTAGAGGTCCACTCCAGACCCTGTTTGCCTGGGTATCAGCAGTGGTGTCTGCAGAACCGCAGATTTTCGTGTTACATGAATGCTGCTGTCTGATCGTTCCTCTGGAAGTTTTGTCTCAGAGGAGTACCTGGCCGTGTGAGGTGTCAGTCTGTACCTACTGGGGTGTGCCTCCCAGTTAGGCTGCTCGGGGGTCAGGGGTCAGGGACCCACTTGAGGAGGCAGTCTGCCCGTTCTCAGATCTCCAGCTGCGTGCTGGGAGAACCACTGCTCTCCTCAAAGCTGTCAGACAGGGACAGAGGTTACTGCTGTCTTTTTGTTTGTCTGTGCCCTGCCCCCAGAGGTGGAGCCTACAGAGGCAGGCAGGCCTCCTTGAGCTGTGTTGGGCTCCACCCAGTTCGAGCTTCCCGGCTGCTTTGTTTACCTAAGCAAGCCTGGGCAATGGCGGGCGCCCCTCCCCCAGCCTGGCTGCTACCTTGCAGTTTGATCTCAGACTGCTGTGCTAGCAATCGGCGAGACTCCGTGGGCGTAGGACCCTCCGAGCCAGGTGCGGGATATAGTCTCCTGATGCGCCGGTTTTTAAGCCCGTAGGAAAAGCGCAGTATTCGGGTGGGAGAGGCCTGATTTTCCACGTGCTGTCTGTCACCCCTTTCCTTGACCAGGAAAGGGAACTCCCTGACCCCTTGTGCTTCCCGAGTGAGGCAGTGCCTCGCCCTGCTTCAGCTGGCGCACGGTGCGCTGCACCCACTGTCCTGTGCCCACTGTCTGGCACTCCCTATTGATATGAACCCGGTACCTCAGATGGAAATGCAGAAATCACCCGTCTTCTGCGTGGCTCACGCTGGGAGCTGTAGACCGGAGCTGTTCCTATTCGGCCATCTTGGCTCCTCCCTCTCTTCCTTATGTTTAATAACTATCACAGTAAACACGCTTTTTGTTTAATATTAATAATGATAATTAATCTAGAAGAAAAATATTAAAGCCTAGAGTTTTGTGGTCACAGGAAATCATAGCCATTTAAAAATTTTAAAGTATGTATGAAATTTTATGATGCAGAGAAATATGATGGAGTATTTGTAAGTCGGTAAAAGACTTTAAGCATAAATGTATTTATTTCATTAGGTTGAAATTTGGATGGAGAGGAGGAATGAAATATGGTTTCAAAGAGGAAAGCATACAATGTAAATTTTAAAAGTCTTGTTAATGTATGTTTTATATGGATTATGGTGGGAATAAAATATGATATTTAGGTTTCTCTGGATACATTTAAAAGAATAATATTAAGAAAGTGAAAAGATAGGCCTCTGTGGTTTGATCTGTGAGATCATCAGAGTGTTCTAAAGTTGATTTTGTGGCTGTTTGGCACAACTCTAAAAAACCATTGAAAGCCTCTGTGGCTTATCTTTTCACTTTCTTAATATTATTCTTTTAAATGTATCCAGAGAAATAAAAATTTTACAAATCACATACCTGATAAGGGACTGGTATCCCAGAATATATAAAGAACTCTTACAACTCAATAATAAAAGACAACCCAATTAAAATTCTTGGCAAAGGATCTGAACAGATGTTTCTTCAAAGAGGATATACACATGGCCAATAAACATATGAAAAGGTGTTGAACTTTATTAGCCATCAGGGAAATTCAAATCAAAACCATCACGAGCTACCACTTCACAGGGAAATTAAAATCAAAATAATGATGAGCTATCTAGGATGGCCTGAAGAAAAAAACAAAAACAAAAACAGGTAATTGCAAATGTTGGTGAGGATGTGAATAATTGGAACTCTCATACCCTGGGACTGCAAAATGATTCACCTGCTTTGGAAAACAGTCTGTAGTTCCTCAAATAGTTAAACATAGAATTATGACATGATCCAGTAATTCCACTCCAAAGTATATACCCGAGAGAAATGAAAACGTGTCGACACAGAAACTTTTGCACCAAAGGACAGAGCAGCATTGTTCATAATAGCCAAAATGTGGGAACAATCCCAATGTCCATCATCTGATGAATGGATAAAGTGCAGCATATCTATATAATGAAATGTTATTCATTAATAGACAGAAATGAAGTACTGATAGATGCTGCAACATGAGTGAACTTTGATAACATTATGTTAAGTGAAAGAAGCTAGTCACAAAGGACCACATATTGTATGATTCTGTTTATATGAAATGTCCAAAATAGGTAAATCTATAGAGACAGAAAGTAGATTAATGGTTGCTTAGGGCCGAGGTGGAAGTAGTGGTGGGGAGGAGATGATGGGGTGGGGTGGGGGATTGACAGCTGTGGCTCTCTTTGAGATCATCAAAGTGGATTTTGTTGAGATCATCAAAATGGATTTTGTTGATGTTTGGCACAACTCTGTAAATATACTAAAAACCATTTTTATTAGTTCATTTTCACACTGCTGATGAAGATATACCCTAGACTGGGCAATTTACAAAAGAAAAAGGTTTAATGGACTTACAGTTCCACGTGGCTGGGGAGGCCTCACAATCATGGCAGAAGGTGAAAGGCACATCTCACATGGTGGCAGACAAGAGAGAGAGCTTGTGCAGGAAAACTCCCATTTTTAAAACCATCAGATCTTGTGAGACTTACTCACTATCATGAGAACAGCAAGGGAAAAACCTGCCTCCCTGATTCAGTTATCTCCCACTGGCTCCCTCCCACAACACATGGGAATTATGGGAGCTACAAGATGAGATTTGAGTGGGGACGCAGAGCCAAACCATATCACCATTGAACTGTACACTTCAAATGAGTGAATTGTATAGTATGTAATTATACCTCAAGCGGTTTAAAGAAATAATGTAATAGTTTCATTTTTAAGAGTCTGTGTTTACAATATGCCAGAAATGACATACTTTGCATTCTCAAATACACATGTGATGAACTGTTGCACATATCACCTTAAACATTTAAAAAAATGCAGTCTTAAATTACCAGTTTTAATGGTTGCATAATATTTCAGTAAGTTAATGTGGGATACTTTGCTCATTTTCCCCCTATATAAGTACTTTCTCATATTTTGATGTTTTAAATATGAATTTCTATACCTGCTAATTTTCTTCTTTTGCTACTTTCTTTGGATAAAATTCTGACTGACACTCAGAAAAAATGAATAGATAGCAAGAGTTTTTTTTTAATTAAATTTTTATTTTTTTATTTTTTATAGAGACAGGGTTTCGCCATGTTGGCCAGGCTGATATCAAACTCCTGGCCTCAAGTGATCTGCCTGCCTTGGCCTCCCAAAGTGCTGGGATTACAGGCCTGAGCCACTGTGCCTAGCATGAATTGGGATTGCTGAGATTTCTTGCATAGGTATTGCCATGTTACTTTCTGAAGGGTTGAACCAATTTTTCTCATTTACATTTTTTTTTTACTGTTAACTATATAATTTGTTCCACAGTAAACGTTTAAAGGTGTATTTCTTTGAGTATCAAAGTAAATTATTGTTAAACCTCCATTTGTTTCCTATTACTGCCTTGAGAGTGATGAAAGTTATTTATTAAATGAACTCATACTGAATACCCACTCTGTGTCAAAACTTGTACCAGATACTGGAGACTGGAGATGCAAAGTGAGAAAGGCTTAGTTTCGCACTCAGAAAAGTTCCACATCTCGTGGGGAAATAATTACAGTAGGTAACATGAAGGCGTCAAGTATGAAAAGGTGTTTGAGGAGGCACCTGGAGGTTGTGGCCAGCATAGGAGGGGAGGTGATATGTATGTACAGCTCAAAAGATGAGCAGACCTTTGCCTGGAGGCAAGATGAGGACAAAGAGAGGGCATTCCTGGTGCAATTACACACACAGCCTCCAAACACAGTGATCTGGGCAAGCAGTTCCCACAGGTTCCCTTTGACTGAAGAGTTGTCGGCTTTTTTGTGTTTCTAATTTATTCATTAGTACATTTGGTTGTTTTCTTTGTTTTTGATAATATGCTCTGTTCTTTGCATTCCATACACATATTAATAGTAATGTTAAATGTTACTTTTAAGACAAATATTTCCTTTTAGTCTGTCCTTTGACTTTTTATTTTTCATCATATTTTTACATTCTGGGATTGTGATGATTTGTTTTGATATACACCATATGGAAATTTCTTAATTTATAACATTATGGATTTAGCTGGTCCAGTAGTAGCAAAGCCTTGTTTCTTAAGGTGGTTTTCCCGCTAAGTATGAGAAGAGTTGTAAAATATATGTGGGGCCCTTATTTCTCATGCCCAAGCTCTTTCTGTGTCGAACCGCTTTATAATAATACAGCGTGACGTTAACTTGATGGCTGAGTTAGGAAGCCAGATGACAGCTTCTCTTTATTTACTGTCTTCTCAGGGTAGAATGGCTTCATTCACTTGATCTGAAGAGCCAAGCCAACAGCCCTACTCTGGGCCTCCACAGGTCTGTGGCAGCAGTAAATTGAAAAACCTGTTCACATCTCAACAGCCTCAAATTTTTATTTTTTTAGCAATATAGTAGATAGTAAGGAGTGAAACGATATAAATCAGATGGAAAGGGAATTGGTATGGACTGAATTGTTTCTCCCTTCAAAATTCGTATATTGAAGCGCCAGTCTCCAATGTGACTGTATTTATGGATAAGGCCTTTATGGAAGTAGTTAAAATTAAATGAGATCATAAGAGTAGGGCCCTGATCTAATTGGGTTAATGTCCTTATGTTGAAGAGATAACAGAGAACTCTCTCTCCCTCTACTCCGTGTGAGTATACAGCAGGAAGGCAGACATCTGCAAGCTAGGAAAAGGGTCCTGACCAGGAACCAAACCCTGCTGGACCTTGATCTTGGACTTTCCAGTCCCCAAAACTAAGAAAATCAGTTTCGGTTGTTTAAGTCAACCAGTCCATGGTATTTTATTATTGCAGCCTGAGCAGACGAAAACAGTCATAATGATAATAACCAAAACAATTATTTATTACCTAACATATATCCATTTTGGATTCCCTTAAAGCCAAGTATGAGTTAAGTCATATCTTTATCTCCGTTTTCCTGATGGGTAATCTAATCATTAAGTAACTTCCTTCAGGTCTCAGTGCCGGGAAGGTGAATCTGTGGATCCTTGTTGAGCTTATGTCTAATTTAGGTAACAGCTCTATGTAATTCATTTATATATTTGAGAGGAAAAGAGACTCAACAGCAACCACAAGTAGACTACAAACTCCTGCACAAATATGTTTGGGAAACTCACATCCTCTTCTTAGTGGATATGCGTTTAATATTCAAGACTCTGTGAAATCCTACACGGAAGAAACCTGTTTAACTTTACTTTATCAGAATACTTCTAGGGGCACCTCTGGTGATACCATGGGTAACAATGTTTCTTGGACATCAGTTTGGGAAGTGCAGCCCAGAGTGGTCATTAGATTCCTGCACTCGCCACCATAGGCCTATTCAATTTGAAACATACTTAAATGTTGATGAGCATGCATGCTTATTACAATTTATTGAACTAAAAAATGTAATGAGAATATACATATATGTTACTTCAAGAAATTCAGTCGAATTTAGCTTTTCTTTTTGCATAAAGATTAGACAAAACCTTAAGGTAGATGGTTATGAATTTTAGACATCTTACCGCTAAGAAAAGAAAGTAGATGGCTCTATAAAAGTAAGCTTTTTTATTATTATTTTAGTGAGCACCAAATGTGGTAGACATTTCTGTAGGGCAGAAAGGATGAGAGTTCCAGTCTCATGGAATTTACATTGTATAGAGATGTGGAGATTAAGGGTTACATGTGTTCTTCTCAACATGTTTATATATGTATATATATTTTACACATTATTGTAGTTGGAAGGTTTTTTGCACATTGTGGCCTTGGCCACTCATAAATACATCCTCAGTTTTTTTCAGGTATTAATATTTTGATTATGGAAACGGACTTTGGGCCTATGCTTGGCTTACAATGTTTCAGTCCACAAATGAATCTTATTTTTAATTATTGAATGAATGATTTCTCTTTAAATAACCTTAAAATGATTTAAAATCTCTAAAGAGACTTGTTAGTTTTATCCTTTTTTTTCCCCCGTAACTCAAAAGCAGTTTTAAAAAATCTACACATTTGCCAGGCTTGAATTGAAAACATTTGAGCATCTGAGTGAAGGTGTTGGTGAAGTTGGTTGACGGTTTTTTTCTTTAATCTCATGATAACATCACTTAAATAATTTATAAGAAAAATCCTGGGTATTTTCCTCCTTTTTTTTTAGAGATGAGATCTCACTCTGTCATCAGTCTTTTAAAAGTAGGTCCTACTACATACTTGATAACACTTAAAATGAATGTTTTTAGACAGTTATAATTTATTTATAGTTAGATGAACCAAACAGCCTTTAACTTCTGTTGCTAAAGCAAGCCCACTTCAAGATACAAAAGATTTTCCATCTTTAACATATTGGCCAAAGGAGAAAAAGAGAAAAAAGAACGTTGAAAATGTGTTGTCCTACTTCATTTTCCCTTCTGTGTCACACACAGTGAGAATAATTAACAGCCACTTAGTAGATTTCTTTTAAGCAGATCACTGATCTGGGAAGTGCTCACTTAGTCTCAGAAAGGATTTGGTCAGTGGAGAAGAAAATCACAACTGACATTTATGGGTGGAGTCTGTGGGCAGGAGCAGCCAGCTTTTTGACAGCAGTTGTGAGCTCTGGGTAACTCCCACCAGTTAGTGAAATTAATGCCAACTTCTTTTTGTTTCTTTAGCCTTGCCACTGTTTGCCTAAACATTCAAAGAAAGGCAGTAATTCCATCATATTTCTTGATTCACAAAGCTTAAGGGCAGGCAGGAGGATGTTCATCTTATGGAAGCCTCCGGTTGTTGAGTTAGTGTTTTGCATTAAGATGGCAAGAGAAAGCTGTTGTTGCTTAATTAGTGAGAGGCATACTGACAGTATGAAGGACTTTTTTTTTTTTTTTTAATTCTGCTGGAGGTGATTTTTAATGGTTCAGCGTGCATGTGAGTATTCTAAGCCCAAAGCCAGACCCTGGTTCCTTTGATGGACTGCTTGCAAATTAGTTGAAAAGTAGCTATAACTTAAGCCTTTATTCTTTTCTCTTGTTCTTTTTCCCCATTAAGCTTTCCCCCTCACTTAAAAAATAAAAATATAACATATGCATATCAAACAAAAGAGCATAAAATAAAAAGTTTTCCTCATGCTCCCAAGTCTCTGGTTACCCTTTTTAGAGATAACTATGAACAGCATTTTAAAAACTGCTTCCAGACATTTTCTTTGCCTATGGGTCTCTTCCCCACCTTGGGCTCCACACTAGTGGAGCTTTTCTTCTTAGCAATGTATATTGAAGAGTGTTTTATATCAGCATGTATATAGATCCAACTCATTCTGTTCATAGGTTGCATGCTATTCATCGTATGGATGTACTATAATTTATTTACCTGTTTTTAAAAATTGGTGAACATTTAGGTTGTTTATTGGGTTTTATTCTTACAAACAGATGAATGGATAGTTTTGTTAACAACTAAATATTGAGTCACATATGGTAATATACATTTAAAATTATAATACTATATATATTGCCAAAATTGCCTGATGAACTGACTCACACCCTCATCTGAAATGTCTGTTTTTCCACCTTTACCCTTGTTGCATTTTCTGAAGCTTGCAATCTGGAACATGAAAATATATGCTTTACTAGTTATTTTAAATTTACATTACTTTAATTATTAGTGAGGCTGAGCATATTTTCTTTTTATGTTTATAAGCCATTAAATTATTTTTTCTTGTGAACTATAGGCTGCTTTCAACACTTAGTTATACCTGATGAGAATTACTGTACAGGTTTGGGAGGACATCCAGAGACTTGTAGAACCGTCTTAGTGTGTTAGGAACCTTGAAGACGATCTAGTCCCACCTTCCAATTGGTATAAAAAATATTTTTATAACCTCTGTGACTGGTTCTTTGATTATCTGCTTAAATGCTTTCAATATTAGAACAATCTTAGGGGGCCTGACCTTGCTTGGCTTTGCTTGCTTTACAATGTTTCAGTCTATAAGTGAATCTTATTTCTAATTATTAAAAGAATGATTTCACTTTAAGTACGTTAAAATGATTTAAAATCTCTAAAGAGACTGGTTAGTTTTATTTTTTTATCTTTTTTTTTTTCCTCCTGTAACTCAAAAGCAGTTTTGAGTGAAGGTGTTGGTAAAGTTGTTTGGCGAGTTAAAACTTCATGGGCAACTAATTCCTCTTTTGGCTTTAGTTGACAGAAATTTCAAGATATGTTAAAAGAGTATTTGAATAGATAGGGAAGGTGGGAGCAGCTGAACTCTTTAAATAAATTGCTACATTAAGCCAGGTGCAGTAGCTCATGCCTGTAATCCCAATTACTTGGGAGGCTGAGGCTGGATGATCACTTGAGCCCAGGAGTTCGAGGCTGCAGTGAGCTATGGTTGCACCACTGCACTCCAGCCTGGACAACAGAGTGAGATCCTGTATTAAAAAAATAGATAAGAAATAAATACATGACATTTATGAAGCTAGAAGATTGTTTCAGGTCCAGTCAGGGGATCAGGAGCAATGCATGTTTACTGAATCTTGTCCTTTTGACTAAGAATGAGAGAATTTATAATTGAAGAGGGTCCTTTGAGGGTATGTTAGTTATCTATTGCTGCATAATAAATTACTCCTAAACTTCATGCCTTAGTGCCTAAACAACAATAAACATCTGTTCTCTCACAGAGTTTCTGTGGGTTAGCAATTTGGGAGCAACCTAGCTGGGTGGTTTAGGCTCTGGGTGTCTTGGAGGTTGCGGTCAAGATGGCGGTTGGAGCTGCATTCATTTGAAGACTTGACTGGGCCATGTGGTTCTGCTTGCACAATGCCTCACTCACATGACTGTTGGCAGAAGGTTAAGGAATGAGGTTCCTTGCCTCATGGACCTCTCTGTAGGGTTGCCTGAGTGTCTTCACATTCTGGTGGCTGGTGTTTTCTAGAGTGAGTAATCCAAGCAAGGGCAAAATAGAAGCCCTTATGTGTTTTAAGACCTCAGAAGTCACACATTGTCATTTCTGTAATATCCTATTGCAGGTGCAGTATCCACACAGGTCAGTCCTATTGGTATGGGAGGGGGCTACACAGAAGAGTGAATACTAGGAGGCAAGGATCAGTGGGGCCTTTCTAGGGAATGACTACCTTCTGGCCCCTAGAGATTCAGATCTCACCCACCTGGGAAACAAAACATACTCACTTCTCTCAGGGCCCCCAGACCTCATCCCAGCACTGAGCCCAATTCTGTGGAGGAGAATTGGAGGATATTTAAACAGATTTGGGGAAGCTAGGAATCTATTAAGAATTTTCCTTTCTTGGAAGAAATGTTGGATTTGGGCAGTGTTTTGAATAATAAAAGCATTTCTTTATGCCCTGTCCTATGAAACTTCTGGCCCAAATAAATAGGAAATAGATTTATAATCCTGACAGAGGAATGGTGTTCTAGTGAAATATTCCAACTTATTTTTATTCAGAAAAGCTTCATAGCATTTGCTAGTTCTCAAATATGAGGGTTAGGTTCTTGGAAAACCTGAGAACTGAGAGTTCTCAGTTGAGGGACTTGAAACCTAATAGGGAAAATATGGATAGCAAACTGTGCTGGCTATTTAATTGTGGTTTCAACTTCAACCTCTCCATTTTATACTTTGTTTTGTGAGGCTGGGGTTGGAACTCTGTAAATTATGCTTCCCAGATTCACTGGATTTCCAGTTTGTTCCTGGCAGTAGGAGACACTGGTGGAGAACTGAAATGCAGTAGGGAGAGAAAGGACTTTGCTGTTCTCAGCTCCTGTCACTATTTCTCCTAGAGTCAGCAACAGCTCTAGCCTATAGTTTCTTTCTTTCTTTCTTTCTTTCTTTCTTTCTTTCTTTCTTTCTTTCTTTCTTTCTTTCTTTCTTTCTTTCTTTCCTTCCTTCCTTCCTTCCTTCCTTCCTTCCTTCCTTCCTTCCTTCCTTCCTTCCTTTCCTTCCTTCCTTCCTTCCTTCCTTCCTTCTTTCTTTCTTTCTTTCTTTCTTTCCTTCTTTCTTTCTCTTTCCTTCCTTCTTTCCTTCTTTATTTCTCTTTCTTTTTTTTTAATTAAAGTTCTAGGGTACGTGTGCACAACATGCAGGTTTGTTACATAGATGTACATGTGCCATGTTGGTTTGCTGCATCCATTAACTCGTCATTTACATTAGGTATTTCTCCTAATGCTCTCCCTCCCCCTGCACCCCATCCCACAACATGCCCTGGCGAGTGATGTTCCCCGCCCTGTGTCCAAGTGTTCTCATTGTTCACTTCCCACCTGTGAGTGAGAACATGCAGTGTTTGGTTTTCTGTCCTTGTGGTAGTTTGCTGAGAATGATGGTTTCCAGCTTCATCCATGTCCCTGCAAAGGACGTGAACTCATCCTTTTTTATGGCTGCATAGTATTCCATGGTGTATATGTGCCACATTTTCTTAATCCAGTCTATCATTGATGGACATTTGGGTTGGTTCCAAGTCTGCTATTGTGAATAGTGGTGCGGTAAACATACATATGCATGTGTCTTTATAGTAGCATGATTTATAATCCTTTGGGTGTTTACCCAGTAATGAGATCACTGGGTCAAAAGGTATTTCTAGTTCTAGATCCTTGAGGAATCACCACACTGTCTTCCACAATGGTTGAACTAATTTACACTCCCACCAACAGTGTAAAAGTCTACTTATTTCTCCACAGCCTCTCCAGCATCTGTTGTTTCCTGACATTTTAATGATCACCATTCTAACTGGCGTGAGATGGTATCTCATTGTGGTTTTGATTTGCATTTCTCTGATGACCAGTGATGATGAGCATTCTTTCATGTGTCTATTGGCTGCATAATGTCTTCTTTTGAGTAGTGTCTGTTCATGTCCTTTGCCCACTTTTTGACGGGGTCGTTTGTTTTTTTCTTGTAAATTTGTTTAAGTTCTTTGTAGATTCTGGATATTAGCCCTTTGTCAGATGGGTAGATTGCAAAATTTTTCTCCCATTCTGGAGGTTGCCTTTTCACTCTGATGGTAGTTTCTTTTGCTGTGCAGAAGCTCTTTAGTTTAATTAGATCCCATTTGTCAATTTTGGCTTTTGTTGCCATTGCTTTGGTGTTTTAGTCATGAAGTCTTTGCCTAGGCCTACGTCCTGAATGGTATTGCCTAGGTTTTCTTCTAGGGTTTTTATGGTTTTAGGTCTAACATTTAAGTCTTTAATCCATCTTGAATTAATTTTTGTGTAAGGTGTAAGGAAGGGATCCAGTTTCAGCTTTCTACATATGGCTAGCCAGTTTTCCCAGCACCATTTATTAAATAGGGAATCCTTTCCCCATTGCTTATTTTTGTCAGGTTTGTCAAAGATCAAATTGTTGTAGATGTGTGGTGTTATTTCTGAGGCCTCTGTTGTGTTCCATTAGTCTATATATCTGTTTTGGTACCACTGCTATGCTGTTTTGTTACTGTAGCCTTGTAGTATAGTTTGAAGTCAGGTATTGTGATGCCTCCAGCTTTGTTCTTTTGGCTTAGGATTGTCTTGGCAATGCGGGCTCTTTTTTGGTTCCATATGAAATTTAAAGTAGTTTTTTCCAATTCTGTGAAGAAAGTCTTTGGTAGCTTGATGGGGATGGCATTGAATCTATAAATTACCTTGGGCAGTATGGCCATTTTCACAATACTGATTCTTCCTATCCATGAGCATGGAATGTTCTTCCATTTGTTTGTGTCCTCTTTTGTTTCATTGAGCAGTGGTTTGTAGTTCTCCTTGAAGAGGTCCTTCACATCCCTTGTAAGTTGGATTCCTAGGTATTTTATTCTCTTTGAAGCAATTGTGAATGGGAGTTCACTCATGATTTGTCTAGCCTATAGTTTCTTTAGGAACTCACTGTGCCAACTTTACTATGGCCCCTAACCAAGATCTAAGTGGCAATTACACTGTGTGCCCCACCCCCCATTCCCCCAGTTCCACTTAAGGTTCTAATACCGATCCCTCCTTTGAGCACCCAGATGCTGGTAACTCCACATCTCCCTTTGTGTTTCTTCACCCCTAAGGTTGGTTTCTGCTTCTAGCAGTTACTAATATTGGGGTTGCCTCTGTGACCCCTTTTTATTTTTTTAAGTCTCTTAACACCTGTATAATCAGCTTCCTGTATTAAATTCCTTCCATTTAAAATACATAATGTGTGAGGCTTCTGCTTTCCATTGAGTGGAACAGTTATTAAGGTTTCTGGATATGTCACCCCTCACAATTACAGTGACATGTTTGTAGTTAATTTTTCTTTCTTGCCAGGTGACAGTCATACCAAGAGGCCACTGTCTTCTCCATCTGGTCCTTTGTTCAAATGTTTAGTGATTTTTTTTTTCATTTTTTTAATGCTCGTAGCCATTGACTTCATGGATCTGGCCTCTTAGAGCAGGCCTCCAGGATCCTAATTCCTTAGTCCGCAGTGGTCCTAGACATCCAGGTTATCTGGGATGTTGAGTAGTTTGGTTCAGTCTGTTTAATACAAGTACTTATTCCTATGTATTTTCCAATACAAAGGAGCATACACTGTATAATTTTGGCTTTACCAGTTCCTGCTTGCCTGAGTGCCTGCTCTTTGAGCCTCCTTTACACACTTCCCAGTGGCCTCCATCCTCACAGACACTGCTCACCAGTGGGCACTTGCAGGACCAGCACTTACTTCCCCTCATCTTTCTTTATTTTTCCCAAGACTTTTACTACTGCTCTGTCATCTGCTTTGTTTCCCTTTTCTATTTCCAAACCCTAATTCCCTCATTTTCTTATTATCCCCAATTGGAGTGACTGATAGTTTGTGTATATTAAAATTTGAAGTACTTGCTGAGAAGGGATATCTGCTGAATTACTTGAATTTTACATAAGGAGAACCTCCTGCATGAGGAAGCATAATTATATCAACTTATGAATCAAATGAACATTTTATAGACCAGAGGAAAATAGCTACTGATTTAATTAATGGTACTTCTGTTCTTCAGGTTAATAAATTCGTTACGCCTTTCTACTTTTATTAGAGGAGTTACTTTGTTTCTTTAGTAAACATTTATTGTGTTGTCATGTTTACACAGCTCTATATCAGGTAGGTGCATTGAGGGATAGCAAAGGAGTAAAATGACTCAGCTCTTGCCTGCCTTGAAAGACTTTGCTCTGTACTTGGGATATAGAAAAGATACATTAAATAGTGAAGGGACCAAAATAAGTGTGAGACGATGTGCTAGAAACTGTATTTAAATATGTGTTGTGGGGCAGATAATAATGGTACTTCCTGTACACAGGCACTGAGCACTTTATTTATGTTGTCTTCTTTAATTCTTACAATTCTGAAATAGTTACTCTAGTTAGTTGTAATTTGTAAGTGATAAACCTGAGGCTTAAAGGTTAAATCATTTGCCCAAAGACACACATCTACAAAGTGACGGAAGTTAGGATTTAAACCTTAGGTTGGCCTGAGTCTAATGATCATGATAGATAGAAGTGAAGGTTGCATACAGCTGTGTCTTTGCTTGTTTGCATGTGTGTTTTCAAATATGCTAGATATCTTGTATTTGCTCCCCTGAATTTCTTTTCCATCCTGCTCTGTACCCTGGGTTGGCTGACCTGTGTGGATTACACCAGTGAACACTCTTGCCCTTTGGTTCTAGCCAGGTTTGACCAATGTGAAGAACTCAGGAGATCTGAGGGTAGACTGAGAATGATGTTGGGTGTATATAATTTTGGCTGTACCAGCTCCTGCCTCTAAGTACCCCTTGATTAGGTGTACTTATACACTGTACACCTCCCACTCCCCCAGCCCCACTTAGGCTTCTAGAGCCAATCCCTCCTTTGAGCACCCAGATTCTGGTAACTCCACAACCCCCCTCTGTTTCTTCAGCTCTAAGGCTAGTAGTTGCTTCTAATAGTTACTAATATTGGAATTACCTCTGTGACCCGTTTTAATTTTTTTCAGTCTATTAACAGCTATATAATCAGATTTATTATTCCCCTAGCTCTTCTCCATTAGATTCGCACCTGTTGGCTCCATCTCTCTGTGTCTCCTTCTATCCTTTCCCATTTTTCCTCCTTTCTCTGGATCCTAGGAACCACTCCTTGACCTTTCCAGCACCGAGAGGGGTAACCATTCCTTGTCATGAACACTAACCCTGATCATGACTTTAAAAGTTGTCCCTTGATCAAACTCCATTTGAATGCATCATGCCCAATTTGAGTGTTTTATGGATTTCCTGCTGAGGCAGATTGGTATGCAGAAATTCTTTTATTTATTTATTTATTTTTATTATACTTTAAGTTCTAGGGTACATGTGCACAATGTGCAGGTTTGTTACATATGTATACATGTGCCATGTTGGTGTGCTGCACCCATTAACTCGTCATTTACATTAGGTATATCTCCTAATGCTATCCCTCCTTCTCCCCCCACCTGATGACAGGCCCCAGTGTGTGATGTTCCCCACCCTGTGTCCAAGTGTTCTC
Organism: Homo sapiens; assembly: GCF_000001405.40. Classification (NCBI taxonomy): domain Eukaryota; kingdom Metazoa; phylum Chordata; class Mammalia; order Primates; family Hominidae; genus Homo; species Homo sapiens. The sequence continues at coordinate 90,653,880 of NC_000007.14, forward strand.
ATTGTTCAATTCCCACCTATGAGTGAGAACAGGTGGTGTTTGGTTTTCTGTCCTTGCGATAGTTTGCTGAGAATGATGGTTTCACACTTCATCCATGTCCCTACAAAGGACATGAACTCATCATTTTTTATGGCTGCATAGGATTCTATGGTGTGTATGTGCCACATTTTCTTAATTCAGTCTGTCATTGTTGGACATTTGGGTTGGTTCCAAGTCTTTGCTGTTGTGAATAGTTGGTATGCAGAAATTCTTGTAAGGCATGCCTTCCTTTCTTCTTCCCTTTCCCACTCCTGTCCTTTCTTAGTATGTTCAACCTTGAGGATAAGAAATAGCTAAAGCATGGTCCCTACCCTGAGGAATTTATAATAAAGGTTAACATTTAATTAATAATAATGGAAATGAAAACTAGTAATGTACTTGAGAAGCAGAGTGACAGAGAGAGAATCTAGCAAATGAAATTAGCTGATTACTCAGTGGAAAATGCAGACAACAATTCACAAATCAGTTGCTAATTCTTTCTACCATGTATATTAACTTTGTCCCTTGGCCAGAATTTTGAAGTTATTTTCTTTATTTAGCTTAATGAAACAACATCAAGGAGAGTGTAAAGTCTTTTTCAATGTAAAGTGACTGAAACTTTGCTTTTTAGAACTCATCATTTCACTAAAAAATAAGTTCACCGTAAGAACTCTCCATCAGATAGAATTCCTGATGGATGTTCCAGGATTTAAGATGCATACAAAGTTTGGGAAGGCCTGTCAGTTTTTTAAAAAAATTAATAGGCTTTTTTTGGGTGGGAGGGGGCTCAACTTTCAGTTTACAGGAAAATTGAACAGAAAGTACAGAGTTCCCATGTTACTTCTCATTCCCTATTCCAGTTTCCCCTGTTATTAATATTTTGCGTGAATATGGTACATTTAGTATAATTCATGAACCAAGATTGACTCACTATTATTAACTAAAGTTCATAGTTTACATTAGGGTTCACTCTGTGTTGTGCCGTTCTCTGGGTTTTGACAAATGAATGACATGTATTTACCATTACTGTATCACACAGTATAGTTTCAGTACCCTAAAAAATTCCCTGTGCTTCACCTGTTATTCATTTCTCCTTCTCTGCCCTGAGCTCCTGCCAACCACTGATCCTTTTACTGTCTCCATAGTTTTGCCTTTTCCAGATGTTATATGGTTGAAGTCAAATAGTCTGTAGCCTTTTCAAACTGGCTTCTTTCACTTAGCAGTATACACTTAAGGTTCCTCTATGTCTTTCCATGGCTTGACAGCTCATTTCATTTTATCACTGAGTGGTATTCCATTGTATGGATGTACCATAGTTTGTTTCTCCATTTACCCATTGATGTAACATAGTTTGTTTTTCCATTTACCTATCTTGATTGTTTCCAAGTTTTGGCAATTATGAATAAAGCTTCTGTAAGTATGTAGTGCAGGATTGTGTTTGGATGTAAATTTTGTACTGGTGTCCCAGGATTTAAGATGCATGTGAAGTTCGAGATGGTCTATCGGTTTAAAAAAAAAACAGCCTGGAAAAATGTGATTTCTGAAAAGGGGTTTATTTAAACTAGTCACAGTTAAGGGCAGATACTGACTTCCTTGCCAGACATACTTAGGCTTGATTAATCACTTAATCACATACTTAAGTATGATCTGAGAATTAGAGTTGAAATACAAACTGAATATCTGACATAAATCAAGTATAAAATTGTTATCTGTTTTATAATTGCACATGAGCAACGTACTCAACCACTTTTATTTCAAATTGAGGACCTAAACACATTACAAATGCATATCTAGAGTATGAACACTTCTTTGGTTGTTAACATAGCTCTTACTTCCTTTTGAGTAAGCAAAGAGCCATTCTTTCAAGACTTCCTGTGGCCACCAATAATTCTGCCGAGGGGTCTGACATCTTGTGAATTTGCCAACCTTTCATCAGAGACTTTGACTCATGCTGAAACACCCTTCATTTCTAGTGGTCTGTTTCAATCTTCTGGTTCAGTGTTGAGCCAGAACATATAAATTCCCATCTGAAAACCTAACTTCAGGAAAATCACTTGAACTTTTTTGTGTCTCACCAAGTATGAGGCCTGTCTCTGCAGCCTGGGGATGTTATAAAGGTGGATTAGCCCATGTTTTTAAAGCACTTACAGCTCCCATGGGGAAACCTTTTGCGACTTCCAGGCATAATTACCTGTGTATTCCAGCTGGAATAAGGCAAACAGAGTGCACTCACTTTAAAGCCAAATGCTCATCCTTTTCTTTTAGGGACTCCATTTGGCTTCCTCATATGGGGTATATTAATATCTTGAACGTGAAAGCATTTGAGTTACAATGGGGAATGTTTCACTTATTATTCAACATTTCATCATAAATTTGGACTCATTATTATTTTGATACCTGAAACTAAATACGTCATGCATGGTAGCCCAGAATCTTCCTTAACCTAAATTAGAGTGGACTGGTGCTTCTCCTTTTTTCTTTCTTTCTTTTTTTTTTTTTTGAGACAGAATCTTGCTCTGTCACCCAGGCTGGAGTGCAGTGGAGCAGTCTTGGCTCACTGCAACCTTTGCCTCACAGGTTCAAGCGATTCTTCTGCCTCAGCCTCCTGAGTAGCTGGGACTACAGGCACGTGCCACCATGCCCGGCTAATTTTTTTATTTTTAGTAGAGATGGAGTTTCACCATATTGGCCAGGCTGGTCTTGAACTTCTGACCTTGTGATCTGCCTGCCTCGGCCTCCCAAAGTGCTAGGATTACAGGCGTGAGCCACCGCGCCCCGCCTTCTCCTTTTTTCTGAAGACTGTCTAGAGCTTCTTGATCTGGTTGTGCCCACTTAATGGAAGCATTCCAGTCTGCATTATTCTCCATGTAGTTAGAGCATCTTGTGTGACAATAAACATGAGAAACAACTTTATAGTTTTTTTGCAATTATTTATAAAGATCATAAACATGAAGTTTTTTTAGTAACTGAAAAACAGGCACAACTAACAATAGTGGAAAAACACAGTCTGTTTCATAGAAAATGACTTAGGCTAAAATATGACACATCTCACTGCCTTTTGAGATTTATGCCTCTCTCTGCTGACACCAACAAGATCGTGTGAACTGGAAATACTTGCAGAGAAATATTTAAAAATATTTTCTAAAAAATATAATTTATAGATGAAAAATTGATGTCACAAACATTTGGTTGATTAGAAATTCCTGTTTCTCATTTATGTAACTCCTTCTCCCTTTCATTTTTCAATAGTAAGAGACTATCATAGTTTTACATTTTGGAGGTGCAAATGGTTTGGACTATTCAATAGCCCAAATGGTCAAATGGTTTTGGGCTATTGAATAGCCCAAATCATTCACTGTGATAAGGACTTTGAATACAGTTTGATTTATTTTTGTTTCCTTGCTTGAAATATATTTTACAAATATTTTCAGTGGACATTCATCAACTTAGTTCATTCTCCATCTTTTCTTTGCCTTGACAGAGCTCTCAATAGTTGATGCTAAATTTATTAAAGTAGATGTAAAAATCTAAAGCTGGATGTAAAATTTAGCATGTGATAGTAAATTTTAATATCTTTAGTTTTCTGGCATAGTGTTGGCAGAGATGTTCTAGATCTATATAAATTAATCTTTTGATATTTTTCTAGATCCATGCTGTTGAATGTGGTAGGCACTAGACACTTAGGATTTTTAAGCATGTGAAATGTGGCTCATGGGTCTGAGGGACTGAATTTTTAATTTTAATGAATTCAGATAACCACATATGGGCCAGTGGCTACTCTATTGGACAGCACAGCTCAAGTGAGTCATTTGGTTGCCAAAGGCTTAAACTTTATCTTAATGACCTGGCCAACTTAACAACGACAGCAAAAATAAAAATTTAATGGCCATCTGTTTACTTCATGCTAGGGATATCACAGAATATTTAATTTTTACTATATGCAACAACCCTATAAGCTCCTATTTTACCATGAGGAGACCAAGGCCCAGTGAGCCTAGGTAACTTCATGAAGGTCATAGAGCTAGTCCACATCTTTGCTCCTTCTGTTTTGCCATAAGATCTAATTTTTGTTCAAACTGTAGGATCAATTATTATGTTGAATGGCTCTCAATTTAGATTTGTCTGACTTTTTTTATAATTAGGTTGAGGTTTCCCAATATTTTCATCACCCTAAAATGAAACCCTGTGCCTGCTAGCAGTCACTGCTCCTCCCACAACCCCTGGCAACCACTTACCTACTGTCTGTCTCTAAAGATTTCTCTATTCCAGAGATTTCACCTAAATGGAATCACGCACCATCTTAGTCTATTTGGGCTAGTGTAACAAAATATCTTAGACTGGGTGACTTATAAACAACAGAAATGTATTTCTCATAGTCCTGGAGGCTGAAAGTTCAAGATCAGGATGCCAGCATGGTTCTGGTGAGGGCCCTCTTCTAGGTTGCACACTTATGAAGTCTTACTGTATACTCAGATGGTAGAAGGGATACTCTGATCTTTTCAGCCCTTTATAAGGGCACTTATCTCATTCATAAGGGCTCCACCCTCGTGATCTAATTACCTCCCCAGGGCCCGCCTCGTAATACCATCATATTGGGGATTAGATTACAACATACGGATTTTGGAGCGAGGAGCATAAATGTTCAGATCTTAGCATCCACTGTATGGTCTTTTGTCACTGTGTTCTTTCATTTAACATGTTTTCAAGGTACATCCTTGTTGTAGCGTGTATCAGTGCTTTCTTTTTATGGTTTACTAATATTCCATCATATGGATAGGACACATTTTGTTTATTCATTTGGTTGCTGGAGATATGGGTTGTTATCATTTTTTTGTTATGGTGAATAGTGCTGCTATAAACACCCATACATAGGTTTTTTTATGGAGAAATAAGGTTTCATTTTGTTTGGGTATATACCTAAGAGTGTAATTGATGTGTCATATGGTAACTATGATATGTTTAGCATTTCTGAATCGGGGGTAGTTTCTTTTTGATAAATGCGATTGGTTCTTCATTCCTTCTGGTAGTTTCTGTCTAGTAGTGAATTAGAGTTACAATGGAGTATAGATTCAGGATGATAATAATTAAAGAACAATAGTGTGTCTGGTACTCTCCCTAAATTCTGGGTTAAACATTTAAAAAATGACTAATACTTGTTTTTGGATTTTGGGGCATAGTGTTAAAAACATTGGGGATTAAAAGAATGCATGACAGTCTTTCCTCTTATGTCTTTCTTCTTACATTTGTTCTAAAAACCTATACGTTGGTTGGTCATTATATATAAAGTGGCATTCCCAGTGTAATCTAGACAATGGGAATCCACAGACTGTTGGTAGAATATTGGTTGAAATAACAGTCTGCACTTTGAGTAAGTGTTAAAGATATCAGGGGGAAAATTCACGAACCCAAAGCAAGACAATAATCCCTGTAAGTTTATAGCATTTTCGCAGGCCTCATATTATGTTCAGACCCCAAAGGGTTAGATTATATGCTTCCTGCTGATTTGTCTGCAAGAAACAGCAGAATTTTAAGGTAGTACAGCTTCTTTTTGTTCAATAAATATACGTTTCTTGCTGAAATGACAGAAATTTGAAACTACTTTTAAAAAATATACATAGTTTAATAATTCCATGAATGTTGCCAGGAATGATCTTATTAAAAATAGGGATATGATGAATTTGGCCCGCAAGAATATTACCCTGAAACAGTACCTTTGGTTAAAAAAGAAAAAGCAATTCTGGTATAAAAATGTCCATTCTTTTGATATTCTCCTGATTTCCCCTGTTTTGTCAAGCTTATACAAATAATGATATAAGGTAGAAATGAAGGAAAGTGTCCAAGAATGGTACAAAGGGCGGTGGGAAAGTTCCAAGTAATTCAGAAAGAGCTCAGCAGTCTGGGGTTTTTGGAGGGGATGGAATCCTGGAGCCAGGGAATGCTTCTCTCTCTCTCTCTCTCTCTCTCTCTCTCTCTCTCTCTGTGTGTGTGTGTGTGTGTGTGTGTGCACGCACGTGCTCATGGGTGCAGATTTTTTGGATTGACTCCAACAGTAAAAGCACGACCTTATTAATTTGGACTCCACTAATTAGAAAATTACTGTGAAATGGATAAGGATTGAGCTTAAAGTTAAATAGCATTTTCTGAGAAATTAATGGCATAGATATAAAGTAAATGTTTGACCTATTTTGGAGAAGATAATGGTTTACAGTGCTTCTGTAATGAAGGATCCATGCATAATCATTTTAGTAACAGTTATTGAACGTGTAGAATGTTGAGAAAGAGTAGTGTGATGGCTAAGAGCATAGATTGGAGCATCACACCCCCTGGGGTCAAATATTGGCTCTACCATTTACTAATTCTACAATTTGCTAAATCAAATACTGGCTAACTCAAATATCTATTTACTAACTCAAGTATCTATTTACTAACTCAAATATTGGCTCTACCATTTACTAACCTGGGCAAGTTACTTAATTTCTCTCAGCCCCAGTTTCTTCCTCTGTAAGATGGGAATAATAATATTGCCTACCTCTTAGCTTTGCTGTAGAGATTGAATGTATTAATATAAAAATGCTTAGCTCTATACTCGGTACCTGATAAATGTAACATTAAGTGGTAACTATTATTACTGTGTTCCTGGCACCCTGCTAAGTGCAGTGAGAAGATAAAAGAGAATTTCTGGTGTCAAAATGTGACGAACTAACAGATAAAATAATGTGTATTGATATATACATACAATATCAGTGTCATACAGTACAAATAGGTACATATTTTCTGTGTAGTTTACTGTTTATAAACTGTATTCAATTCAATGATCTTTCAGAAACTTAGTTTGAATCTCTTCAAATGGTGGAAAAATAAGCATTTTCTATAACATGCTCTGTAGCTCTGACTTTTCCTTAAGTTCCGAATGACTTTCTCCTGGTTGGATTGGTTTAGTGAAGTGTGACTATTTGGCCCTCCCATGGAAATGCATACACTGACCACATGTCTCAGGTGAATGGACCCATCAGGAGGGAATGGTCTTGTTTCTTGAATACCTTTTTGTGGCCCAACTGCAAAGCAGTGGCTCCTGAGTCACAGGAGGTAGAAACTGACAAAACCATGGAGTGCAGCCACTGTGTGAATTGCCTTCAACCATGACTGCTTGGCTTTTAGAGATGGAACAGACATTCGTCATATGGTTATTCCCCAGTGATTCTGAAAACTTTTCTGCCAAAATGTTAAGGCACTGGTGAATTGAGTTCTATGTCTGCTGCAAGAGTCCTGTGGAAATTCTTGAGAGTCTGAAATTTGCCTAATGCTTTTTCTCAAACTGAAATTAAAAGCCAAAACAAAACATCTTTTGCAAAATATCTATTGCTGCCCTTTTTTCTAGCTTCATTTCTATTTTAGAAGTGTGTTGAGCAGGGCCACTGTAGTGTACAACTCTGAGGGACACTATTCATAGACAGCTTACGTAAATTGCACCCTCTGGAATTTTGAGTACGTGATCTACATAGCCACACATGGAGGTCCTTGTGCCGAATTGTTTGTTAGTTATGTTCATAGAACCTGTTGTTACAAGTTCTTTGGAATATATGCTAGTCTTAGTGATGAAATTGGGCAGTGACTGGGTATGGTCTTTAAGTCTACATATTTAGATAACCCTGTATTTAACCACATGCCTTCTGTGTCTGGTGGCATTAACCCAAATTCTCAGTGTTATCATCAAGATTATTATGACATGCCTTGTCACTGTAGGTCATCTGGTGACTAGTTTTTAACGGGTTTCTAATCCTTGTGTGCTGGGACCTCACTAAGCATTCTTCACTTTTGAGCCTGGCTTGTGTTATTACAGCCACTGTTGCTAGGACTGATTCTTCTGTTGTCACTTGAAGGTCTAGGAGGTTATAAATGTATTGAGGCTTGTGTGCAAAAGTTGCTCTATCTCATACAGCAAGGCTGGCTCAATTCATACGGTGCCCTACCCATGTAGCAAGGGTCTCTGGAGCAAATGTAACAGCTGCCTAGTGGTAGTCAAAGAACTCCCTGCATTACAAAAGGATTAAATATGCTGCTTGCTAGAGCTTGTCTGGCAGGAGCTTCAGAGTCCTTCCAGGGAGTAAAAACAATTATATTTCAACAAAGGAGTAAGAAAAATTGGCACGTCCCTCCATGAGGTCACTTCACTTTGGAAAAAGCATTTGTGTGCTTTATTTTAAACAACTTTGTCAATACTTTGAGGAACACTTTCACATGTTTGGAACTTAGGAGAATTGGTATACAACAAGTCCATCAGTTTAAACCACAGGCATTTAGAACTGAAAGAAATTCTGGTATCATTTATCATGAGCTCCTCATTTTACAGGTGACAGAGTCTAAGGCCCTGAGAAGCTAAGTAACTTGTGGGAAGTCACAGAGCCCATGGGTGATAAGAAGTGAACCAGCACCCAGGTTATGCTGTGCCAGTGAAATACAAGTCCTGCTTTGCTCTCTTGCTCTCTTGATTTTCTCCCCTGAGGAAAGTGCCCTTGGCAAAGCCAGAGATGGGGACATTTAAATGGGGACATTTAAAGAATCTGTTGCCTTTGGGGTGATTTTCATTTGAATACTTCATTGGCATGATAGTGGAATAATGCTTATGGAATAATTCCTCTGTTAAGAGGAATAACCTTGGGCAGTTAGTTAACCTCTCTGTGCTTCACTTTCCTCCTTTGTAAAATCACATTTACTTCCTCACAGAAATGCAAGGATGCTATGAGTTCACACTTGTAAAGTACTTGTAACAGTGCTTGGCACAGGGAAGGTGCTATGCACCATGAGCTGTTAGGATTATGAGCTGGAAGTTGCCTTTTAATTTTTTATAGCTCATTTATAAGAGAGGAAATATTTGTAGAAAGGTTTCATCATCTTGCTTGTATTGCTTTTTCTCAAGAAGAACTCAAGTATGACAAGAGCAGAGACTTTGGTACCAGATAAACATGGGTTTGAATCTGGGCTCCTCCACTTTCTAGCTATGCAACCTGATCACCTCATGCCCCTGTTCAGTTTACTCATCTGTAAAGTGGAGATGTGAGCATGTACTTTACTGTGAAGGCTAGGGGAAATGGATGTGAAACCTAGCTGTAGCACACAAGTATTTTTTGTTGTTGTTGTTCCCTTTGCGTTGAGTGGAATGTCTACACACACTTTGGGGTGATTGGAACTAAGATGGGAACACACACACACACACACACACACACACACACACACACGTAGAGTTCTGTTACCTCCATGTAGGCCACCCCCTTCTTTCTTACCAACTTTGGGAAATCTCTCTCCATATAAAAAATTACACTTCACTTCATGTGTATTGCTTTGAACTATTTAAAATTGTTTATTACATATTCACACTCTCTCTCAGAAATTGAGTGGTTGGGAAAACGTTAAGATTTATTTATCTTGGATCACCCTGTCTTTCATACGGAGGGTGTCGTAGATACTTAGTAAGGAACTGCTGATGTTAATGGATGAGTCTTAGCACAGTGAGCAGGGAGAGTGGGGCTCCTGCCAGTATGTTCACAACCTGCATTCTCCAGTTCTTCCCCTCCTTCAGTGTGTTAGTTTATGCCTTTGAGCTCTGAGGAGAAACCATTGTTTTCTTGTCTCCATTTTTCTAGTGTGAGAAACTAGAAATATTCCCATGCACTGAATTGTTACTAGCAAAATTTCTGCTTCAATATTTTGGTCATACTCTTCTATTTAGTGTCTCTCTCAAAATTCATTGCAACCTTCAGTCACCTTTGGTTTTAATAAAACAAAAACAGATTTTTCTTCCTTTTAATGGTTCAAGAGCTCCTCGATAATGTTTGCATTTTAATAGTACCTTTACTTTGGAAAATAGGAATTGCTTTGCAAAAAATACTGAGTTTTCAGTGAAAATTAATTACACTATAAATCTGAAAGTAATATTTTCTAATACATTTTCTGTAACTAAATTTTACACTTTTCACATATTTTATATTTTCCTTAAAAACTTTCCAAATTGTTGTTTTTTTTTCTGAGTGTTGCTTAAAAATCATGTTTTTGCAATTAAACTAAAGAGCTTCTGCACAGCAAAAGAAACTACCATCAGAGTGAACAGGCAACCTACAGAATGGGAGAAAATTTTTGCAACCTACTCATCTGACAAAGGGCTAATATCCAGAATCTGCAAAGAACTCAAACAAATTTACAGGAAAAAAACAACCCCATCAAAAAGTGGGCAAAGGATATGAACAGACACTTCTCAAAAGAGGACATTTATGCAGCCAAAAAACACATGAAAAAATGCTCATCATCACTGACCATCAGAGAAATGCAAATCAAAACCACAATGAGATTCCATCTCACACCAGTTAGAAAGGCAATCATTAAAAAGTCAGGAAACAACAGGTGCTGGAGAGGATGTGGAGAAATAGGAACACTTTTACACTGTTGGTGGGACTGTAAACTAGTTCAACCATTGTGGAAGTCGGTGTGGCGATTCCTCAGGGATCTAGAACTAGAAATACCATTTGACCCAGCCATCCCATTACTGGGTATATACCCAAAGGATTATAAATCATGCTGCCATAAAGACACATGGGCACGTATGTTTATAGCGGCACTATTCACAATAGCAAAGACTTGGAACCAACCTAAATGTCCAACAATGATAGACTGGATTAAGAAAATATGGCACATATACACCATGGAATACTATGCAGCCATAAAAAATGATGAGTTCATGTCCTTTGTAGGGACATGGATGAAACTGGAAACCATCATTCTCAGCAAACTATCGCAAGGACAAAAAACCAAACACGGCATGTTCTCACTCATAGGTGGTAATCGAACAATGAGAACACATGGACACAGGAAGGGGAACATCACACTCTGGGGACTGTTGTGGGGTGGGGGGAAGGGGGAGGGATAGCATTAGGAGATATACCTAATGCTAAATGACGAGTTAATTGGTGCAGCACACCAACATGGCACGTGTATACATATGTAACAAACCTGCAGATTGTGCACATGTACTGTAAAACTTAAAGTATAATAATAATAAAATTTAAAAAGAAATCATGTTTTTGCTAATAGTATTTAAAAAGCACTCATTCGGCCAGGCAAGGTGGCTCACACCTGTAATCTCAGCACTTTGGGAGGCTGAGGCGGGTGAATGACTGGGTCAGGAGTTCGAGACCAGCCTGGCCAACATGGTGAAATCCAGTCTCTACTAAAAATAAATTTAAAAAATTAGCTGGGCATAGTGGCGGGCGCCTGTAGTCCCAGCTACTCGGGAGGCTGAGGCAGGAGAATTGCTTGAACCCAGGAGGCGAAGGTTGCAGTGAGCTGAGATTGTGCCACTGTACTCCAGCCCGGCAACAGAGTGAGACACTGTCTCATAAATAAATAAATAAATAAATAATAAAAACATAAAAAATAAAAAGCACTCATTCATTCTTTAGTTATTTTGCCCTCTATGGCAGGTACTGTGCTGGTTTCTGTGAATATAGTGGTGAATGATAAACAGTTGTTTTTTGCCCTTGAGGAGTTTAGCAGAAAGCAGGAAAATATGCAATGGATAGCAAACAAACCAATTAAAAAGCAAATCCCCAGTAAGGCTGTGAGGGTACAGTTTTTAACCTCAGTTTCAGTCCGGGTTATTAATTGAAAGTGCAATAGGAGAAATGATGATAGAGTAGCTTTTAAGTAATGAGGGGAAGTTCTTTCAGGTGGTAGCAGATCCCTGAAGTCTTCTCTCCTTTCTAGAAATTCAGGCATCAGGGAAAAAGAAGATTTTGGAAAGGAATTTTCTAGTGTATGTAATACAGGAGAACTACACATTTAAAAATTTCTGCATTTGCAGCCCCTAATAGCAATAGTTAGAGGAGTAGTAGTATTCCATAAGTGAATTATACCTTGGCTGAAGTTTGAGTAATTACAAATGTAGACTGGGAAGTTGCTTCATTTAGCAAATCAGTTCTGATATAGACACAGGACTTATCTCGATAAAATCATCATGCTTCAGGATGGATGTACACCTATTTTGGGACACCAAAAGGAACTATAGGTGTGACCATAGCACTCTGTTTAGTCCTTCAGTGGCCTTTTCCACTGCTCTCACATCCAACTCAGTAGCCCAGCAGAGTTCCCTGCCTAGTCCCTGCCTTCCCCTGCAGCCTCATCTTCTGCCAGCCCTTGTCCTCTGATGTACTTCCATTGCCCAGTAATAGGTGGTTACTCTTGGTTTCCAAGTGCTTCATGGGACCTTTTGTGTTTGCATCCCTGTACCTGCTATTCTTATTGCCTTGAATACAACGTTGCTTGGTTAACTTCTTGTTTTGTTTCCAGGCCCAGCTCAGATATCTTTTCTTAAGCAAAAACTTTAAGACAGTATTTCATAAACTCTGGATCAGGGTTAATGTTAAAAAATATACAAAAATTTTATTTTTATCAGGCTGTGGAAGTGATTCTGATTCTCTGCCAGGGTTGTGACGCTGCAGCTTTCCATGAAGTACTTCACAAGTAGGTATGCTGTAGAAATAAGTGGATTCACACCAGTTTCCCGAATGAGACATACTATAGCCCTTTTTGGATGACTTGTTGCACATGTGGGCATATTAACAGCTTTGAGAATTAGTGTAGCAAATACTTTAACTTTGATGCAGTACTTCTCAAATTTATTTGACCGTGTAACACTTTGGTTTGAAGATATCTGTCAATATCTTGAGAAATGTCTGTTATTTCACGGAACATAGTTTGGGAAAATGTTGCCTTAAAACATGGTTTTGGTTAAGAAGAGGCGGTATCTTAGGAAGGAAGGTCCTGAAAGTAATGGAAACACCAGGCAGGTTTTGTTCCTCTTTGAATGGATTCCATGACATCGTTTCAGTATTTCAATATTTACTTCATTTTCAGTGGAGAGTCATTAAAGCCATTGCTGTCCTGATTGCCACATAGTCCAAACACAAGAAATGCACATTTTGTATCGCAATCTCTTTCAATAATTTTTTATTTGAAAATTTTCAAACACATGCAAATGTAGAGAGAAGAGGACAATGAATCTGCATATGCCTATTACCCAGATTCAACCCTTAGCAAGGTTTTGCCATATTCTTTATCATCTAACTTTTTCTTGCTGAACTATTTTATTTTTATTTATTTATTTACTTATTGATTGATATATGATAGTTGCACATAATAGGTATAAATAATTTTGGGGTACATGTGATGCTGAACTGTTTTAAAGCATAGCCAAGAAATCATGTCATTTCACTCTTATAGTCATCATTGTACATCTTTATAAAAGGGGACATTGCCTGGTATGACCTCAATAGTATTTTTGCACCTACCAAATTATAGCAATTCCTTGGCTAATACCCAGCCCGTATTCGAGTTAAAAAATTGAGATAGAAATAATATACCATGAAATTTATTCTTTTAATGCACAATTGGGCTTTTAGTGTATTCACAAAGTTGTACAGCCATCACCACTAATTCCAGAACATTTTTATTATCCTAAAAGGTACCTGTACTCATTAGCAGTCACTCCCCATTTTTTTCTCCCTCCACTAACATAGTTTCTGCATTTGGATTTTGCCTCTTCTGGACACTATGTGGTTTTTCTTTACTGGCCTCTTTCATTTAGTTTAATGTTTTCAAAGTTCATCCATGTTGTAGCATGTATCCGTACTTTTTTTTTTTTTTGAGACGGAGTCTTGCTGTCACCCAGGCTGGAGTACAGTGGCGCGGTCTCTGCTCACTGCAAGCTCTGCCTCCTGGGTTCACACCATTCTCCTGCCTCAACCTCCTGAGTAGCTGGGACTATAGGCGCCTGCCACCACGCCCGGCTAATTTTTTGTATTTTTATTGGAGACGGGGTTTCACCGTGTTAGCCATGATGGTCTCAATCTCCTGACTTTGTGATCCGCCCGCCTCTGCCTCCCAAAGTGCTGGGATTACAGGCGTGAGCCACCGTGCCCAGCCAGTACTTTCTTTTTATAGCTTTATATTCCGTGGTAGGGATAGATCACATTTTGTTTATCCATCCATTAGTTGACGGACATTTGGGTTGTTTCCACTTTTTGGCTATTATGAATAATATTGTTAGGAAATTCATATACAAGTTTTCATGTTGATGTATGTTTTAATTTTTCTTAGTGGGTTTGCTAGGTCGTATAGTAACTATACGTATAACTTTTTGCGGAACTGCACAATCATTTTCCAAAGTGATTGCAACATGTTATATTTCTACCAGCAACTTACAAGGTTTCCAATTTCTCCATATCCTTACCAATACCTGTTGTCTGTTTGATTTTGGCCATCTCAGTGGATGTGAAGTGACATGTCTTTGTGATTTTTATTTGTGTTTCCCTACTGACTAATGATGTTAAGCACTTTTTCATTGGGGTATTAGCTATTTGCATATCTTCTTTGGAGAAATGTCTGTTCAAATCCTAGCCTAGTTTTTAAGTAGGTTATTTGTCTTTTTACTACTGAGTTGTGAAAATTCTTTATAGATTCTGGTTGTTAGTCCCATATCAGATAAATGAGTTGCAAGTATTTCTCTTTGGGTTGTCTTTTCATTTTCTTAATGTTATACTTTGAAGTACAAAAGTGTTAAATTTTGATTATGTCCAATTTGTCTATTTTTTCTTTTGTTTGTATTTTTCGTGTCTAATCTAAATTGTTGTCTAATCTGAGATCAGATAGATTTATCTCTTTATTTTCTTCTGAGAGTTTTATAGTTTTAGGTCTTACATTTAGGTCTTTATTTGAGTTAATTTTTTTATATGGTGTAAGGAAGGACTCGCATTCTTTTTTTTTTTTTTTTTTTTTTTTTTTCAACTGGGGCCTTGTTCTGTTGCCCAGACTGGAGTGCAATGGTGTGATCATGGCTTACTGCAGCCTTGGTCTTCTGGGCCCAAGCAATCTTCATGCCTCAGCCTCCTGAGTAGCTAGGACCACAGATGCGTGCCACCGTGCCTGGCTATTTTTTTTTTGTTTATTTATTTTTTTTTACAATTTTTATTAGAGACGGGGTCTCACTGTGTTGCTCACACTGGACTCAAATGATCCCTGCTGCTTGGCCTCCCATGCTTAGGATTACAGGCATGAGCCAGTGTGCCTGGCCTCACACACTTAAAAGTAGAATTTTAGCTTCAGTTTTCAGGGTGATCTAGAAATATTGCTGTTTTCTCTTTGCCTGCATCCACTTGTGTACCTCATCTGCCATCCCATCTCCTCCTCCTCCATTCTTAACTAACCATGACATAATTTATTAGAATCTGTTTGCGTAGTAGGTAGTAGTGCAATCAGAGTCTATGAAAGGACAAAGTCTCTATTACCAACATAATTACATTCAATTAAGCAAACAACCAAGTTGTAATGGATATCTGCTGTTTCTGCCTTCTGTGCCCCCTCTATTTTTCTGGACGTGGGACTTGGTTTGCTCTTTGTGAAACTCCCTACCCACAGTTTAGTCTACAGACTGACCTTGCTCAAGGAGTGGGCAAATTGCAGTGATTTGGCCAATGAGGATTGTGTCTCTGGAGCTACAGTGGTTGTTTCAGAGATGTACACAGACCCAAAAAGGGTCATGAGAGAGATACCTATAATTAGTGAGAAAGAAAACTGCTGTAGCCTGGAATATTGCTGCCTTACCACCAGAAAGTGGTGTCTATTTATAGAACCAACATGAAGAAACGTGAGCCAAGAGATGGAGAGAGACAGATTCTTAACTATCAATTAAACAGCTGGATCTAGCTGTGCCTGAAGCTTAGACTATTTCTGGACCTTTTAGATACATGAGCCTGTACATTCCTTTTTAGGTTTGCAGCTGAAATAGTTGTGACTGTTATACAGATCTAGTGGTTGGAACTGAGAACACAAGATATAAGAAGATATTTTCTGCTTTTGTGGACTTGACAACCTAAAAGTGAGACAGACAGACATGAGTAAATGAATAAATGACAAATGCAAGAATTGATATAGAATAGATTGACAGCACAGAGGCAGGAGTGGGTAACTATTGAGGAGGGTTTAAGGAACTGGAAAAAGTCCTCAAAAAATATAAATTCTGATTTGGGGTTGGAAGATAAATTTGCATTTACTTTGTTTTTCTGTAAACAACAAAACTGATTTTTCCACAGTAGCCTGTGGGAGTTATTTTCACTATTTTATAGTAGTTGGATGTGTTGTTACACTCTACCATTGGTATGACTATACCATGGCACTTTTCTACTAGTTATGCAGAGGCTGTAGGAAGTAGGTATAGCAGGTTATATAATTTGGGAAGTGGCATTAAGTTTTTTTAGAACCTTATTTTATTCAGTGTATTTTCGAATGAGTTTCCAGTATGGTATTTTGCTTTAAGTTGACTTAACTCTGTAGACTTGGGATCATTTAGTTCAACTAATTTATTTCATGGAGAAGGTATTGTAGCCTAGATAGGCTAAAGAATATGCCCAAAGTCACATAGGACTGAAACTATAATCTTGATTTCTTTATCCTTAGTGGAGTCTTTCTACAATTTCATACCTTCTGTTTGAGGCTTTGTGTTAGACTATTCTTGCATTGCTATAAAGGAATACATGAGACTGAGTCATTTATAAAGAAAAGAGGTTTAATTGGCTCACGATTTTGCAGGCTGTATGAGCATGATGCCAGCATCTCCTTGGCTTCTGGGGAGGCCTCAGGGAACTTTTATTCATGGCAGAAGGCAAAGTGGGAGCAGGAGCAGACACATCACTTGGCAAGAGCAGGAGCAAGAGAGAGTGATGGGAGGTGTTGCACCCTTAAACAACCAGATCCTGTGAGAACTCACTGTCATGAGGACAGCACCAAAACATAAGGAATCCACCCCGCGACCCAAAGACCTCCTCCCACAGGCCCAGCCCCCAACACTGAGTCTTACATTTCAACATGAAATTCGGGTGGGACAGATATCCAAATCATATCATTCTACCCTTGCCCTCCCCAAATCTCATATCCTTCTCACATCTCAAAATACAGTCATCCCTTCTTAATAGTCCCCCAAAGTCTTAACTCATTCCAGCATTAACTTTCTTAAGAACAAAAGCTGGTGGGCTTTACAGTAAAATTGCTGAGGAAAAAAAATAAAGAATAGGGGAGGTTTTTATGTGGATGAGCTCTCTGTTTAGCAAGTTGCCAGCTGGATGTCTTCATCATTGTAAGTTTGGTGCCCCGGCTCTCCTGGAATGGCTAGTTAGATGGCTCCCGTTTCCCACCCAGATGGTGCTCTCTGTGTCTGTTCAGTCAGGTAGGAAGTTGTGATGATCGTGCAGATTGTCAGCATACCTATTTCCAGCGTTCAGGATTTCCACCATACTGAATTTGAGATCAAGTAATCCTTAGAAGCCATAGATTCTTCCTCTCAGGAGATGACTTTTTTTTTTTTCTTTTTTCGGGTCTTCATTACTGAGCCACCATCTCCCTTCTGCAACCTTGATAAGAAGGTTATTTAGGTTCACTGTAGCTTGAATAAGGTTATCAGAAGCAATTCAGAAAATGTTAAGATGTAAACAAATGAAAGAAAAAAACAAAACTAAAGAAAGAATTTTTTTTCCCTAAGGCAAACCAATGTTAGGTCCTTTGCAGTGGCACTCAAAATCTTTATATAGGACAGCACAGAAGGGAAATCTGTGTGGCAGTCGAGATGGCTTGTCTTGATGTTTCATTTTGATAGCAAGCTCGTATATTTTTATCTTGTATGTTACTTGGGGTGGCTCAATAGGGGGCATTTGATGGCATTGTGGGAGAAAGGGTAATGCCCTCCACTTTAGCTTATATATCACCACTAGGCATTTCTTCATCTCTCTCCTGATGCTCAATGGAATTGTTTCTAATGAATTTTATGACTGTTGTGGTTATGAAACTTGCATAACAAACAAGCAGTTCCTTCAGCATATGTAAAAACAGAAACTAAATCAATATGGTATAAGCTCACTAAAAGTTTGCTGTTTAAAACTGAGGATGCCTTAAAAAAGACAATCGTGTTTAAGCCCAGTTGCAAATTATTCTGCTCCATTTGGAGTCTAGGAACCATTTGCCAGAACTTCAGGAATTGAGTTTCTGGCCAGTTATCTTCGCAGTAGTGAATGTAATTTATTTGGGGGATGAATGAAGCAGGAAGAATAACTTTTGGAGTTGCCTGGAGTTAATGTGGAAAGGTGACTGGACAGAGGTGAAATCTGAGTAAAGCTAAGAGAGGAGAATATAGAATATGAAGATACTGTATTCTTTTTCTTGGGTAATACCTTTATTGATATATAATTCATATGCCGTCTAATTCACCCATTTTAAGTATACAATTCAGTAGTTTTTAGTATATTCACAGGGTTGTAAAACCATTACCACGGTTTTAGAACATTTTCATCATTTCAGAAATAATCCTTGTGTCCTATAGCTATCACCCACTTACGTGCCCTCCTTGCCTTCCAGCTGTGAGCAACTACTAATAGCTTTTCTGTGTGGACCTTTTTAAAAAAACACATGGAGTCATACAATTACAATATGTGATTTTCATCTCTGGCTTCTTTTACTTAGCATAATATTTACAAAGTTTATTCATGGCCTATGCATCAGTGCTTCTTCTTCTGTTTTTTTTTTTTTTTTTTTTTTTTTTTTTTTTTTAATAATTTGGTCTCACTTTCTTGCCCAGGCTGGAGTGCCATGGTGTGATCATAGCTCACTGCAGCCTCAAACTCCCGGGCTCAAGTGATCTTCCTTCCTCACCGTCCTGAGTAGCTTGGACTACAGGTGTACACCACAACATCTGGCTAATTTTTTATTTTTAGTTTTGTAGAGATGGGGTCTCACTATGTTCACCAGGTTGGCCTTGAACTCCTGGGTCATCCACCCACCTCAGCCTCCTAAAGTGCTGGGATTACAGGCCTGAGCCACCTCGCCTGGGTCATATTTTTTAAATACATTTATCTAGTTGATGGGCATTTGGGTTGTTTTTACCTTTCGGCTATTATGACTAATGTAGCTATAAACATTTGTGTATATGTTTTACTATTACAGAGGAATAGGTCAGTGGGGAAATTATTCTAAGATACTGGACACATTTTAGGTTGCCATAATTTAAATGCTGGTTGATTTTTTTTTTCTTTTAACATAGAACAGTAAATTTACTAGTAAGGAGTGGAGAAAAAATGATTTCACTTCAGTTTGTGGAGCTGGAAATTTTCAACTGGTTCCATTCTAAGGAATTATTAAATTAGTTTCCTCATACACAGTTCTCACATTCTTAATAGCTTTCCATGCCTAAGGGATAGGACTTCTCCCATCAAGCTGTAGGGCTCTATGGCAGTGTTTCTTAAGGGTCAGGGAGGAGCAGTAGTAGAGGAAACAAACATATGGATATACTTCAGTGTGTTAGGTGCCGTTATAAGGGTACCAAAGATTGGGGAAAGAAGAGGGAGTGATGCTTTCATCCTGGAAGGGTCAGGAAAGGCATCACTTCACAGATGTGGCCACATTCAAAACTGAATGGGAACCTGCATTCCCTCCCTCCCTCCCTCCCTCTGTTGCCCAGGCTGGAGTGCTGTGGCACAATCACAGCCCACCCGGTGGCACAGTCACGGCTCACTGCAGCCTCAACCCCTTGGGCTCAAGCAGTCCTCCCACCTCAGCTTAAAATTGGTTAAGTCTATTAAGCAATTTAAAATTGGTTAAGTCTATTGCTCAGAGACACAATAGATGGTGCTTGTTAACAGTATTTTTTCTAGGAGTCTTTTGACTTCAGTATGATAAATATTCCAACACACATCATTACCCTAAGAAAAGTTTATAAGTGAATAATCACAAACCTATGGTTTTGTAAATCACAAAAGTATAATTTCATGCCTTATTTGTTGTGCAACATATCCTTACTTTGCTTTCATAGTTACTGCTGATTGTACCATTAAGATAATGGAGTACTGCAACTGATGCATTTTTAAGTATTCTCACCTCCACTGACTTGTATCAAGGTTAAAACTTATTTTTCATAGATATCAAGGACCTAATAAGCTGAGTTAACAACTTGTTTATCACTCCATATGTACACACCACTTACAGCTTTTGTGGAGTGTTCAGTTGTGCTGATTGCATTGGGATGAATGTATTATTATGGAAACACTATTTGACGTTTGGGAGCTTAACTAAGTTGTCTTGGAGACTCTAGTTCTATAGTGAGATAGTCTATTGTTCATAATGAAGGGGACATCAAATTGCACAGAAATTCTGAATGAGTCTTAATGAGAGGGCTACTTTTAAGGATAAAACACTATTTTTAAGAATATGATTATCTATAGCGAGAAAAAAAATGCAGCCTTTGAAGCACAGCCATGTATTAATTACTGGGATAGGAGTCAACTAGAGTAGGATCATTAAGGAGAATCTGTATTGTTGAACCTCTAGCTGGTGGAGGTGGCTGGGGGCCAGTTGCTGGGATTGTCAGAGTTTAGATGAGAAGTTTCAGCTTCAGTAAATCTTATCAGTCTTGAGAGAGGATAGCCATAGCTAAAGACAATCAGTTAGGGAAGGTGGGAACACAAATTCCCCTAGAAGAGTATTAAAAGATGAATTTCTGCAGATGTAGATATGTTCATTGTGAGAAGA
Organism: Homo sapiens; assembly: GCF_000001405.40. NCBI lineage: Eukaryota > Metazoa > Chordata > Mammalia > Primates > Hominidae > Homo > Homo sapiens. The sequence continues at coordinate 90,674,511 of NC_000007.14, forward strand.
GAAATGAGCTATAGACGAACCTCAGTGCTTAATTTGCTTCCATGATTATATTTGGAAATGGGAATGTAGAAACAAAACAAACTTAGATTTTTAGATTTAGAGGTTTAGGGAGGATTCCCTTTTCAGAGGGCTGAAAAATACCATAAAATGCATAATTATGGTTGATGTAAGCATCTTTTTCCAAAACAGTTTGGTCTAGGCAGTTTAAAAAATGGTAACTGGAAACCACAGTGACACCCTTGCCTCCCCCTGCAAACTGGCCACTCCAGACCTCCTGGGACAGGCCAGGACACCACCTCAGCACACCCAGTCTGGCTCAGCCTCCAAACAGGCACTTTTCTCACCTCTCCTTCCCTGCCTGGACAGGAGCACCACACCCCAAACTGAAGGTGGAGCTCAGCTCTGTCCATCTGGAATATTTTGACATATGGTGTAGAATAAGATCTAAATAGTTTTTATTTCCCCAAATCGTCAATTTCAGTAGCCCCATTTATTAAGAATAGTTTTTTTCTTATTATGTGGTAGTTGGCTATAGTTAAGACAGAGGGCCAGTTTGTATGGCTCAACAACCTGGATCTCATTAGTGCTGAGATGGCTTAGGGTTGGGAATGGTTTTGAGGATAAGAGAGCCTGGAATTTTGCCCACTCAACCTTTCTTTTCCATACATTTAACCTTTCCTATATAGTAGGGATTTTTTTTTCTTCCTCCAGGCATTATTTTTCATTTATCTGCATGTCTATTTTTGTGCCACAGCTGCTGTTTTATTTGTTGTAGCAATATTATAACACTTTCTTATAACTGGTATAGTCTGGCCTTTATTTTGCTTTCAAACTTCTTAAAAGTATTTTCATTTGTTTGAATGCTTTGCTTTTAAGGTCTGAATATAGGATTTTTTTTTCCTAAATGAATGCTGTCATAGATCATGTAGAGCTTTTTTTCTTGAAATATAAATTTGGTAATTGCAAAGTATCATCAACAGTTAACTTTGGCTATTTTAAAGTTGATAGGACGGAATGTGCTCTATAACTTTTAAATAACCAGCCAACTCTATAAGACTTTATAAAACTTTAAAACACCACTTTCTTGAATCTCCTTTAGAAATAGAAACAATTTAATACATCTATGTATTAATAATTTGTTCTCTTTTCTGTATATATGCAAACAGATATACAAATGGGCTGCTTTCTAAATCAGTTAAGTATTGGCCTCCTTTCCATGATCTTAGAGTAATATGATTCAAGGATAGCAGAAACATGCAAAACTGAGAGAAAACCTTTCATGGCAACTAAAATCTTGCTTCTGCTTATTGATTTGTTTATATTTTGCTTACTTTTACAAGTTATTTCAGATTGCTTATAAAAGTCCATTTTAATAAGACCTAAAACAGTCAAGGCAGGAAAGAAGAAAACTATTATAGAAGAGGAGGGGATGGCAAAGAGCCTTCAAGGTGGAGTTAGCAAACTACAGTTCATCAAGAAGGCAGTCGGGAGACCATCCTAAGAATAATCATTATGTAGATTCATTCATTTGTTCAGTAAATATTTATTGAGCACATACTATATGCCTGTAATCTCTTAAGCAGTGAAAATGCAGTAATGAGCAAATCAGACACAAATCCCTGCTTTCACAATCATAGAGGTTGCATTTTAGTGGAGACAGTAAGCAAAATGTTTAGTCTAAATAGTATGTTACATAGTAATAGTTGCTAAGGAGAACACATTAAAGCAGGAAAAGGAGATAGGAGGTATTGAGGGAGGCTTTACATTCTTCATGGAGTTGTCAGGAAGGGCGTCCCTGAGAAACTCACTTTGGAAAATGGCCGGAAGGCTGTGAGGGAGCTGTAAGGGTGTCAAGGGAAGAGTGTACCTGGCAGAAGGAATAGCAAATGCAAAGACCCTGGTGCACTTATAGGAGGAAGTTGCTGGGGAGAGGTTGGGTGGAGTGAGGGAGGAGAGGGTAGTAGGAGGTGGGTCATGGTTGGCATCTGCAACTCCAGGACCAGTCTTAGATGTTTCATTTTTTTTTTTTTTTTTTTTTTTGAGCCAGGGTCTCACTCTGTCACCCAGGCTGGAGTGCAGTGGCGTGATCTCGGCTCACTGCAGCCCCAACCTTTTGGGTTCAAGCGATCCTCCCACCTCAGCCTTGGGAGTAGCTGGGATTATAGGTGGATACTACCACACTTGGTTAGTTTTGCTCGTTTTTTTGGTAAAGATGGGGTCTCACTATGTTGCCCAGGCTCATCTCAGACTCCTGGGCTCAAGGGGTCTTCCTGCCTTGGCCTCCCAAAATGCTGGGATTACAGGCATGAGCCACTATAGCCGGCTCAGTCCCAGATGTTTCAAGGCTCTTCAGAGAAGAAAGAGCAGGGCAACAGCTAAAGCCAAAGAAACTAGCCTTGCTGTACTTTCTACATGTTTATTCAGTTGTATATCAAGTTTTTTTTTTTTATGTGTTTGGAGTTTCTGATAGCTTGAAGAATGAAGGGAAGTAATGATGTATGCAAGTTTACCATGTCTGTTATATTTAACTTTGACATAGACCATTTTGAAATCTTAGCAGATATTTTAGGATGTTCTTCAAAATTTGATACATCACTGTTTATTTTGGAAGCAAATAACAAAAGACTTCCCTGGATCGACTTGTCATTACAAGTGCTTAGACAAATACCCACTAACAGAGTATTATACTATATAGACTGGTAAGTTCCATGGTTCGTAGTCTTGTTTAAGCAATCAGAGTGATAAATCCTGAAATACAATTTTCTGACATTCACCTACCTACCAATTCCCTCCTAAATTTATTGGTTCCTGTAAAACTTACTGTGAAACTTGAGCTACTTGTAATAGTTTCATACTAATTTTCACTTTTTCCAAACAAAGGTGCCTTAAAGTTATGCTGCCAAAGTCTTGTAGTAATTTTCTCACTTTCTTATTGTGTTGCAGGCTGTTAATCGGCTTATTTTAAGAAAATAGAGAGATGTTTGTAAAATCTTGGTTTCAGTTGTGTTCTTAAAATCTAACCTGATAGTGATTTTACTGAGGCCTCTTTTGTGTATTCACTAAAGGAAGAAAACACCAAATCACTTTGCCTTTTGGAGGTGATGGAGAAGAATACATAATATGTTTTCCTGGAAGCTGTTTTTTTTTTCCCCTTGTGAATAGGAGGAGGAAAGCCTACCAGCTGTGCCCGATGCATTTATAATTAAGCCTCTCTTCTCTGAAGTTGATGTTTTGGTGTCTAAAATGACTTGATTTTTTCCATTTTAGTGACATTTACGAATCTTATCCCTTTGTTTAATGGAAAGGGGAAATGGGAGCAAGTGTTACAATTGTCAGGTCTCTGTGATTGATGCCTTAGTGCCCTGCTCTAGGGCATGTCGTTTCTTTAGGCTGTCAGGAATGGGTTAGGATGATGCCCAGTGGTGCCAGCTGTGTGGCTGACAGGAGCTGGGCCACTGAGTTGCCTCTTCGGCAGAGTCAACATTTGGGCCAGAGAGACTGCGACTCAGCGATGAGTGTAAACATTTGTTTAGTTTGAATGATTAGGAGCAGAACTGGTCTTGGTTATTAGCTGATTGTAAGAATCAAGTGGAGCAAAGCCACAGCCTTTGTTGAGGAACAGTACTGTAAGAGGCATATAACATAGGGGCTTTAAGGGAAGCCCGCTTATGCTCAGAATTTCAAATGAAGCCACAGCGTTGGAGGATGGGCGGTTGGTGGGTTCTCCAAGACTAAGCAGAGGGAACAGCAGAGGAGGAGAGAGTGGAAGTGCTTTATCTGGCCCCCTTGGCTGATGCTTGGGGTGAAGGCAAAGTGTTTGGTCGCTGAGACCTTTCCCAGTCACATCAGCTGGCACATGAGAGAATAAACCTGACCCAAAGCTTTAGAGGAGAAGAAACAGGAAAAAATTACCACCTGTATTATGATTTGTTTGTGTTCGTCTCTTCCACTAGACTGTGGATGTCCTGAGGGTGATGTCTGTGCTTATTCATTTTATATCATCAGTGTTTATTGAAATGAACTGAAAGGTGTGATGAATTCCTCCTTTAAATGTGCCATTTTTTAGCCTCTTCAGGTTAAGGGTAACTTGTTATTCCGGTATGTTGTGAGAAGCCTCGGTGCATAACCTTTTCATTTTTTTTTTAAAATAGAGGATTTAATGAAGAAGGATTGCACAAGAGCAGAGTGTAGGGTAATCACCATATAAACTCAGAAATCATAATTGGTTCATTGTTCATTCATTCATTCATCAGCACTAGCTATTATTTGCTAGGTCCTGGGGATGCAAATCATGACATAAAAAGTTCCTTAAGAAGGTGATCACATACTTCTGTATTTGAGATAAGAAGAACAAGAGAATAATTATCCACCTTAAATCAGTAGCCTACAAAGGAATCGTATCAGGAAGAGTTGCAAAGAGAGTTGGAAACAATTTTGTTTTGTTTTATTTTCATTTTGAGACAGGGTCTCACTCTGTTGCCTAGGCTGGAGTGTAGTAGTGCAAACAAGTCTCACTTCAGCCTCAGTCTCCCAGGCTCAAGCAATCCTCCCACCTCAGCCCCCCAAGTAGCTGGGACTACAGGCACACGCCACCATGCCCGGCTAATTTTTAAACACTTTTTGTAGAGATGAGGTCTTGGTATGTTGCCCACGCTGGTATCAAATTCCTGGGCTCAAGTAATCCTCCTGCATCTGCCTCTCAAATGCTAGGATTACAGATGTTAGCTACTCTACCCAGCAGGAACAGTTCTTAAATCTAGCTCAGAGATAATATTGTGTGATTGGCTTAAACTGTATTAACTGATTGCAACTTGAATTAACAAAATAATCTGAGTTGCATATACAAACAAATACTTTAAAGCTTATTTAAGTTTTTAAATAATTTACCTGAAGTATTTCTATGTGTGTTTGATAATAATATTAATGACTTACTAGTGTAGGTAATATACTGTCTCTTTAATAACCTGTAATGAAAATTATCCCTCACCAAATAAATGTATATTTTGTCAAGTTGTCTATCATATATTCCTTCCAAGAACCTCTAGATGCACCAGTCCCCAAAGCAGTTTATTTTAAAAGAGACTTACAAGTAATAGTACAGAGAAATGGAGAGCCTACTGCTATAATTTTTTTAACCTCTTAAAATATTCTGCAAATTGTGAATATGCTGGAAGTGCTCTTAGTGACTCCAGTAGTTTTATTGAATCAAAAGTAGTTTACTTTCTTAGCAAATCAATCAATTTTTGCTGGCATAGTACAGCTATGCTGTATGATTTCTTGTATAAGTCATTGAATCTGTCATTTTTAAGAATGAATTTTTAAAAATGATCTTTTGCTATATAGATTTATAGTCAGCATAGGCTATTGAAGAAACTGTCTCAGAGCATGGAGGATGAATGTCTCCAACTCAAAAATGTGTTGTGGCTCTCGGAGACTATTGTCTTCATTATCTTTCTCCTGGTGCTTTAGATGTAATTAAAAATTACTATGTGTAATCAAGTATAAGGCGGTTATAATAGTATTCTGTTTTTGTTTATATATAAATAGAATTTTTGTTTATATATATGTTTAGTTTATATATATTTTTCGTTTGTATGTATATCCCTGTAAAACCTTTATGGTAGTTTGAGGACTAAATAAGACATGTCTGCAGTAAGATAGGAGTGTTTTGGAGGATCTGAGTTTCTTTATATTGTGAAATATTAGCTCAGCTAATGATATTAGAAGGACATCAGTTTATATCTGCCTCGGACTTATTGACAACCTCTTTGAGATGAATTTAAATTTGGTTGTATCATTAGACATAGCTTCTAGTATCTGATTTAAAGTTACTCAGTTTAGTTTAATGTTATATTGGGTCTTCAAATATTATTTGGTATAATTAAATTTTTGCATTCATAACACAATTTGAATAGAAGAGCACCAGTTTTTCATTGATTGGAGAAATAAAATATAGCATGAATAATAAATTTAAAGTCATGATGTAAAAGAAGCCAGATGAGACCCTCAGGTCAGATAGAATGAGTTTCTATTTGTCTTGCTCTAAAAGACACTGTGTTGGAAAAATCTATTGGGTGAATTAATCAGATTCCCTCTGCAGGCTCTTCATAACTTAAGGCAGTGAATAGAGTTGCATGTCTCGTTGTCATCACATATCAGATATGCATAATATGTAGCGATTCAGATCAGCTGCGGGAGTGTTTGGGCGCTTTTGTTCCTTTGAGTCTTTTAAAGTGGAAAAGAAGTGGCAGTGCATAAAAGTTAGCTCCAGCTATTATTATTTTATTGACCTGTTTCTTCCTAATGGAAACAACATTGTGATCACAAATTAGAAAATGAAAGAACTCACTTTTAATGGTTTGAAACTTGTAGGGCAAACAAGATTTTGGCCATACGTGGATGTACTTTAGAACATGGCTATGTACACATTTTCCAAAAACTCTGTTGGAAAATTAAAGTATTTTTTAATGGATTCTGTAAAGAGACAGATAGTACATTGTGGAGTTTATATGTATTTGAAAATATGGATAGTTTGATTTATTTTACAAGAGTGCATCAAGGCCAGAGTTTTAATTCTCCTCTTATGTTCTGTTATTCCCTTTTGATGTGCATATTTCTGTTTTTTATGAAATACTTTAATTTAGACTTAACTACTTGGTACACACGTTTCAAACTATTATATATCGCCTGGCACCAGATGTTTTTGCTTTCCCGTATTGTTGGTCTATTGGAAAACAGGGAGGCTCTTAACTGAGGTTGCCTGTAAACTTGATCAAATGTCACTTTAATCCCTGTGTACTTTTGGCAAACTGAGAGCTATTTAGGAAGTACTTAGTTCGCTTGTTTGAGACAAATATTTCCATTACAGGCTTGGTGGAGGTGACTCCATTTAGGTGTCTTCTAGACACTGTAACTGACCTCCATTTAACAGACTCATGGGATGAACGGGTCCTTTACATTCTCTCTGAGAACATACTGACTGGTGGTGCTCAGCTGCTCTCTGGGATGCCTGTGCACTCACTGCTGCTTGCACTGTCAAGCTGAATGTTTATGCCCATTGTACTTGTGTTTGTAATAATATAACAATTAACTGATAAAATATAAGTGCATAAAAAAGAATGTGGCTGTTTCTATGAAAAAATAAAGTAATTGCATTAAAAATAGGATACAGGTGTTACTAAACTTTTTTATTGACTCAAATGTAGGAGAGACAACTCTATATAGACTGCATAGATTTAGGAGACTTCAGCCCTAGTGTCTTTAAATCCTCCCCTTATGAAACCTGATACTGGAATTTGTAGATGATGCTTTGGTTATGGTTAATGTGGAAAAAATAGCTCAATTCCTGGACCATCTTCAAAGAAAAATTCTTCACTGCATTTCAAAAGATACTTGAGTGAATGTCCATTTATAAGAATTAAGTTAACTGAAAATTTTAAGGTATATTTTATAATTTATTTTTATGATTCACCATTTTAAGTAACATTTTTGCTTTGTCCATTTACTAGTGGTATCCACTGCATTAATAATGGTGGAGTATTATTTTACATCCTTTACCTGTATCTGCATTAATTACCTGTATCTGTTTATGCACTGAGGGTGTATTTGAGCCTCATTACTTTGTTATTTTCAATTACCTAGTTACAGGTCCTGAATATTAAAGTTTACCTTTTCACTATCTAGTAAGAACGTATCCAGTAAACAGTAATAACCTAGAAAAATCTTTAAGGGAAAATGTATAAATATCTAAAAAAAGACTTGACCTGTTTGTGTAGAAGTAAGCTAAGTACATTTTAAAACTTTTTCTTTGGAAATAATTTAAACTTGAAAACCTGTAAGAAGAATGCAGAGAATACTAAAATATCCTTTACCACTAGCTTTGTTATTTTTTATCAATCAATCATCTGTCGGTCTATTGTGTGTGTATATAGATAGGTAGACATATAGTCTCTTTTTTGAACTATTTGAAAGTAAGTTGCATATAAGATAGTATATATTTCTTAGGGATAAAGATATCCACTTACATTATGCAGTGCAGTTATCACCTTCAGTATGTTTATACCTATTCAGCATATCTGAAGTTATCAACCTCAGATACGATACTTATTATCTTTTATATGGTTTGTTTTCCAATTCTGTCAGTTAACCCAATACCACCTTTTATGGCTTCTGTTCACCTCAGTGCAGAACCAAGTGTAGAATCATGCATTACATTTACTTGTCATATCTTTTTAGTCTCCTTTAATTTGGCATAGTTCTTCAGCCTTCTTCTATATTTATGAATTGACATTTTAAAATATAGGTCTTTTTAAAAATGGAATGTCCCTCATGTTATGTTTATGTAATGTTTCCTCTTGTTTAGTTTTAGGTTATGTGTTCCCAGTGGGAATGTTATGTAACTGATATTGTGCCCTCAGGGTTTCACATCTGGAGGCACATGGCGTCCATCTGCTTCTCAGTTTTGATGCTAATTTTGATCATCTAGTCAAGGTGTTAGTCGATTTCTTTATGCTATTTTTTCCCCTTGCTACTGTGGGCAATCTGTGGGGAGACATTTTAATTCCATACAGATGCCTTGCTCCTCATTAAAATATTTCCCCTAGAGTTAGCATTCATCGATTTGTCTTTACTGTGGTGGTTACAAAATGATGACATTTCCCTCCAAATTGACCCTTGGCCTTCTCACGTGCAAGATCCCCTATATTTTCTTTCTTTCTTTATTCATTTATTTCTGGTGTGAACTTACAGATTCCTGTTTTCCTGCAATGGCCTATAATTAATTACTGTTTTTAAAGATAATTTTGGTGCTCAGATTATCTGAATGGGCAAATAGGAACCTCTTCAAGTTGGCTCCTATGTCTTAGTGATATGCCCAACTATTTTAGCACCTTCCTACTTTGTGACATAACTAGATTTTACAGGCTTTTATTTTATGCTTTTGTGCTTCAGCATTTCCCCATGGACCCTGATTCCTCTGCATGGGGAATGCTATTAGAAACCAAATTCTGGGCTGGGCACAGTGGCTCACACCTGTAATCCCAGCACTTTGGGAGGCCAAGGCGGGCGGATCACCTGAGGTCAGGAGCTTGAGACCAGCCTGGCCAACATGGTGAAACCCCATCTCTACTAAAAATACAAAAATTAGCTGGGCGTCGTGGCACATGCCTGTAATCCTGGCTACTCAGGAGGCTGAGGCAGGAGGATTGCTTGAATTTGGGAGGCAGAGGTTGCAGTGAGTCGAGATTGTGATATTGCACTCCAGCCTGGGCGACAGAGCGAGACTCTGTCTCCAAAAATCCGCAAAAGACCAAATTCTGGGTAGATGTGTTCATTGGTACTGGGAATCTGCTTTTAGGGCCTTTGAGCAGATAGAGCTAGAAAATGTACGTGTGTGTGTGTGTGTGTGTGTGTGTGTGTGTGTGTATGCATTCATATATACATTCACATGCATGTATGTGTATATATGCACATGCATGTGCACATACATATTTTAAAACTGTGTCCACTTATAACCTTAATTTGAATCCATCCCTGTAGAGGTTTTTTATTTCTCCCATGGTAAGAACCCTAACTTGCAACGACTTCAATATATTTACTTGTTTGCTAAAATCTATATTATATCTAAAGTACTTTCAGAATTGTTGTGCTGTAGCACTACAAAATCAAACCTAATAAAAAGAGTTTAGAGTTATTTATAGTTCTCTTCCCATTTTGACCAAGAATGTTCTCCAATCAAGAATACTGTGTTCATAAACTTCCATAAGTTGTTCTTTTATTGTATATATTTAATGTGTACAACATGAAGTTTTTATAAACATATAGATAATGAGAAATGATTACTACAGTAAAACCAGGTAACATATCCATCACTTAGCAGTTACCTTCTTCTTCATGGCAGTGGGGCTATATTACACATTTGAAATACAATTTGGATTTGTTTGTTTACTTTCAGTTTTATTCCTTCTTCCCCATCCTTGTTGATTTAACTTTATTTTTTGAATGTCAGTAACAGTAACATGTTTCAAAAAGTCAAACTATTCAAAAAGATATACTCAGAGAAGTGTCACTTCCTCTAGTGTCCTGTCCAGTCTGTTCTTACCTCTCCACCCTCCATATAGGTAAACAACTTCAACAGTTTCCTATTGTAGCCCATACTAAAGGGGAAGGGAATTAAGATCTGCCTTTTGAAGTGAGGCATATCAAAGAATTTGGGTACATATTTTAAAACCATCACACCGTGTTTATGGTTCTTTAAAACTTACCTGTCTGTCCGTCCATCCATCCATCCATTCATTTATCCATCTACCCACCCATGTATCTACTGCACATATATATGTTTCCTTGTTTTTAAGAGCTGATTGTATTGCTAGGGGCAGTAATCTTTGCCTTTCATATATATATATTCATATTTTCATATATATAGTGAATATTTTTCTAATTTTCCATCTTTTAAATATGTATATGTTTTTATGCATAGATTTTTTTTTTTTCATTTTTAGGGAATCATCCTATTATGGTTTCTGGTTTTGGGGTATGTTTATAAAAGTTTTCACCATTCTAATATGAGAAAAATATTTACCTATAGTTTCATCTTTTATATTTACATGCTTTAATTACCTGAAATTTATTTTAGCATAAGGATTGAGTAGGAAATTCATCCTCTCTTTTCTTTCACATTGCTTTCTGGTTGTCTCAGTAGCATTTATTGAATAATCCATCTTTTCCCCACTGCTTCAAAGTGTTGCCATTATCATAAATTATTCTTAATATATGCTTGGGCCTGTATCTCAATGATGATATTATATTATTTGTCTTTTCCTGTGTCAGTACCACCCTCTTTTATTTACTGAAGCATGATAATGTGCTTATCATACAGTTAGTCTTCCAGTAAACATTAGAATTACTTGTTTCAAAATTTAAAACATTTTCTATTGAGATTTTGATTAGCCTGGCATTGAATTTATTTAATTTATTATATTTCTTTAGAGATAGAGTCTTGTTCTGTCACCCAGGCTGGAGTGTTAGTGGCACTGTCATAGCTTACTGTAGCCTCAAACTCCTGGACTCAAGTGATCCTCCTGCTTCAGCCTCCCAACTAGATAGGACTACAAGTGCATGCCATCTTGCCCAGCCAATTAATTTTTTTTTTTTTTTTTTTTTTTTTTGTAGAGATGAGGTCTTGCTTTGTTGCCCAGTCTGCCCTTGAACTCCTGGCTTCAAGTGTGTGAGCCACAGTGCCTAGCCAGCATTGAATTTAGAAATTAGGAAGAACTGATATGTGTAAAATATTCAAGTCTTACTGTTCAAATACAAGTTCTCTCTCCAGTCATTTTCCTTCTGTTCCTTATTTACATTTTCTAGTTTTTCTCATATAGATACTGTATATTTCTTATTAATATTTATTACCTGCTGCTTCATGTTTCTTTTTGTTGATATTTTGATTGTACTTTTTATTTAACTAAATTTTCTCTTTTAGTATTGGTACATAAGAAAGCTGTTTTATTCTACATATTGAGTTTAACAAACAGCGCAGCATAGTGTGTGTTTTTGGACAAGTTACTTCCTTCAATATTTTCATCTTTAAGATGATATTGTAGCTACTTCATAAGAATAATGAGATGATCTTTTAAAGAGATTAATACATAGTTCTCAATTAACAAATATTAATTCTTATTATGATGATTTTTAGTTTTCTAGACGTTAGTCTACTGAATTTTCTTTTGTTTCCAGTAGTTTTTTCAGTTAACTTCTGTGGTTTCCAAATATTGAGTCATTTATCTCTAAATAAATATTTAGCCTTCTTTTTCCAATTAGGGAAGATTTTACAGTGCCTCTCAAAAGGCAGTTTAATTCAGCGAGAAGAAGTCTTGGATCATTACCATGTCAGCTGCCTTTGACTTTTTGATGAAAATGTCAGCCATGTTCTAATGAGAATGAATTTGGGGAATTAACTTATGAAAAATGAATTATACAATATAGTTTTGTTTATTTCATTGAGAAGCTCCTGGAGGACATGGTCTGTGTTATTCCTGATGACCTTGTTGAAAATTGAAGGACACTATTATCTTAGTAAAAGAAAAGGACTCTGTCTTAATCCTCACTGTATCCCATTCCCTATCATGAGTACTGGCAAATGTTGTCAACTAAATGAATTAACCAGAAAGCATAATATAGAGTGCATAAGATGAAATAGGAGTATTTCTGTGATTTTCTAAAAGTAAGATTGGCGGAAAGTGGTTAAGTCCAAATTCCTACCAGTGGCCATTAATCCTGAGATAAAGATTTGTTGGGAGAATCAATGGAACTTTTTTTTGTCTTTGATGAAAAGTTTTCATATGTTAAACATTCCAGTGTGCTTAAAGTGAATTTTAAGTGAGTAATGTGGTTCAATTATATTGTATGAGCAAGAGAAGATGAGAAACTCTAACCAAATAGCAAATTGTTTGTGAACTAAAGACCAGAGAGGAATAAAAGACTTAAAAACTCATTCATGTGACTGCCTCTAATATGTGAATACATGATCTAGTTGTGATTGAATTTTTTTTTTAAGCAGCAGCTGTGACTTATGCAACTTAGAAATGTTAACTTTCAAGTAGATCAAATCATCCACATCAGAACAGAGGGGTAATTTATTCAAAAAAAGATCTCCCTATTTTCTAACCCATGATTTGAGTGGGCTGTAAAATGTAAACATGAGAAGTAGGGAGATTTGAGGGATACGTGTAGGGTAGCCAAATATGTTCTTTTTTCTTAAACCTAAAAAATCATCCTCAACATGAGTCTATTATATTTATTAACCGAGCAGAGTTAAGGGTCTATTTAGGGCTGGTCTAAAAGTTAGGCCAAGAAGCAGGTCTGAACTTCTGGACTTTTGGGTTGAGGAAGGCTAATTAAAACAAGAACTGTGAGAAAAAGCTTTCTTTAGAAGGCTACGAAGGGTGAGTAGGGTTTTGGTTTGATAGAAGATGGAAAAGGAGGGCTTTTTGAACAAGGGAAAAAGATGGAAACAGTAGTACTGAAAGGAGAAATAATTAAGGGATATGAAGATAATAATGGATCTAGATACATATTAATGACTAAATGTGTAATGAGATGGGGAAATGGGGAAGTGATATGCTAGGTTTTCAGAGGGTCTTGAAAACAAGGCAGAAAGTTTTCATCTGTGATGCTTTTGGGTAAGAGTCTCCTTCTCACCCCCCAAGAAGGATTTCAGTTATTTAAAACATAGCATTTTACCTTTAAAACCTGTTTACATATTTTGAAAGACATTTGAAAGAGAAATACATTATATTAATCTTGAGAAACAACTTGTAGTATAAAAGCAATTTCTGAGGTACCCTGATAAATAAAATTGTGGAATAGTGGCCTCTTTCTTTTGATGATGATCTAAAGCAAATAGGAACAGTTGCTGCAGCTGAAAGTGTTGATAACTGCTGAAGGACAGAGAAGACAGCCAATAAATACTTGATTTAAACCACAAGATTTGACAAGTGAGAAATGTGACTTAGAATTATGATTTCTTTTTTCCTCAGTGTCACCTAAATCAATACGAATAATATTAGAATGACAAAGTATAAAGTAAAAGGCTAAGGCTCTAAGGGAAGTATTAGGGGGGAAGTTCAAGAGATCCAGGTTGGACTGTGGTTATCATAGCAGTCAGAACACACATTCCTATGACCTGTTCCTACATCTAATAAAATGATTGTTTCAGAGATTTCTGGTGGACACTCAATATCTGGTTTTGATGCCTGAGATCAGTCACAGACCAGTGAATACGGATTTCTAATGGCAGTCAGTATTGACACCTGAGAAATTAAATAGGAAAAGGAAATATAAAAGGAAAAAGCCCGTCATCTTACGATCATATTGAAGAAACTTAACTTGATGATTTAATCTTTTTCTCTTAGGGTCATAATTAGCCTTTGCTATATGTCAGTATTTTTAAATTGCATTATTCAAAATATAATAATTTCTCTTTTTTAAAAAATTGTTTTTTATTATTTATAGGGCAAATGGAAATGACTTAAGGATGCACGTTAAAGCACCTAGGTAGTAATTAATGGGCAATGACAGTAAGAGGTATTAAC